>NC_000014.9:100520713-100823713 GCF_000001405.40 Homo sapiens
CTAGGGACTCTAGCTCTGGCTGGCTGGGGAGGAGAAGGTTTACAAGCATCGGGCTCGTATGTGTCAGGCATTTAGCTGGGCACAGCACCCTTAGTTCCTCAGGTGGAGGTCCTGTTGTTACCCCTACTTTACAGGTATGGAGACTGAAGAACAGACGGAAGTTACTTGCCCAAAGTAACTGTGCTTCAGGTCTTTTAAAAGAAACCTTATTTGTGCAGTTAAGCTACGAAATCAATACATGGTTAATTTTGTTTGCCTAATTTTGCTTTCACATTTTAGAGATTGCTTTTTAAGTTAATTTTGTTGCATAATTTAATAAAATGTGTATATGAGTCCAGAGAAAGGATTGGCAAACTACAGTTGATGGGTCTTATCTTGCCTGTGACCTGTTTTTATATGGTCTTTGAGGTGAGAATGGTTTTTACATTTTTAACCAGCTCCAACAAACACACAGACACACACATAGACACACACACACACACACACACACAGAGAGAGAGAGAGACAGAGAGAGAATTATATATAACAGTGACTACATATGGCCTACAAAACCTAAAATATTTACTGACTGGCTCTTTACAGAAAAACTTTGTAACCCTTGTTCTAGAGTCAAATCTGCAAAACAAGGTACATTTCGAGAAATCATCCATGTTCCACCTCTAACCCTGTCTCCCCCATTCTGCTCCCCTCCCTTCCTCTTAAGGCAGTCTTATTTATTTGCTTATTTTAGTTTCTAGTTTGTCTTCTTATTGCTTCTTAGTGGAAACACACACATGTTCACGTCCCCTCTTCTTTACACAGTTTTTTCTCCCACTTTGAATTTTTTTTCACTGAACAATGTGTCCTGGAGATCGCTTCATAGCAGGATAGGTTCCTCATTCTTTTTTACAACTGCGTAGTGGTCCAGAGTATTAATGTACTAGAGTTTATTCAGCCAGTCCTTTCTCGATGAACATTGGGTTGTTCCCTGTTTTTTATTTTTACAAATAGTGCTGTTTTCAGTGGCATTGTGCTTATATCTCTTTGGGATTTTGCCAGTGTAAGTTTAGGATTAGTTCTTAGAAGTGGGGTTGCTGGGTCATGCATATTGCCGAGTAACGATGCATATGTTATTTTGCTCAAAGTTGTCTAAATCCTTTCTGCACAGGGCTTGTACCATTTGCATTTCTGGCAGCCATATGTAGATACCTAACACCCCCAGAGCCACCTAACAAGGGTGTTGCAAAACTTTGGGATTTTGTTAATTTGATAGGCAAGTAATGGTATCTCTGTGTGATTTAAATTTGCATTGCTTTTGTTAGGAGCAAAGTGGAAGGACCATTTCATTTTTTTCTGAGCTCTGTTTCCTTGCCCGTTTTTCTGTAGAGCTATTGGTCTTTTTCATCTATTTTTAGGGACCATCTGTGTATTACAGATAGTGACCTTTGCCTGTAATAGAAGTTGTAAATATTTCTCCTACTTGTCTTTTTTACTTTATTTATTTATTTACTTGCTTGCTTTCTGCCATCCCAAAGTATTTTTTTTTAATTATTATTGTTTTTATATAGTCCAGTTTATTCAACTTTTCACTTATTGCTTCTGGGTTTGGAGTCATAGCTGGGAAAGTTTTCCCTAGTCCCAGGTTGTAGAGAAATTCAATCATGTTTTTTCTCATAGTTATGTTATACTTTGTTTAATGTAAATGTCAGTTGCTTTTGATAGCCACCATCCTATGTGATTGGCGACTTCTGCTTTTGCGACTTTAAACCAAAGCAGTGGGTCCTGTGCTACCTTTCCACTTTGCCTTGCATCTTGGCACTGGAAGAAGACAATGCATTTATTATTGAGAGTTGCCCAAGAACTCACAGCTCCATCCTAGGGACTCTAGCTCTAGCTGGCTGGGGAGGAGAAGGTTTACAAGCATCGGGCTTGTATGTGTCAGGCATTTAGCTGGGCACAGCACCCTTAGTTCCTCAGCTGGAGGTCCTGTTGTTACCCCTACTTTACAGATATGGAGACTGAAGAACAGACGGAAGTTACTTGCCCAAAATTATGCAGCCAGTAATAGGCTGCCACGCTCAGGTCCCCAGGGTGTCTGCCTAAGTGCTTGGGCCCTCCCACTTGGCATCTCACCCCTGCTCATCCAAGGGCCAGGAGAGGCCCCACCCACCTCTGGGCTCTTGTGAGGCTGCAGCGTGGAGCACAGTCCTGCTGTGCTCCCACCTCCCACCAAGGTCTTGGAGCAGCTTTCCTTTGTCTCCACGTCTGAGGCACAGGGCAGGGGCTGGCTCAATCAGGGCCAGGGGAAGGACCTGTGAGTGAATGTCATCTCACCCGGGGGTCCTGGGAGAGCCAGTGGCAAAGGCTTTTGTGTGTTGCCTCAGCCCTGCATGCCAGGATGTTGCTGGGAGCCGGAGGACCCTGGATTGCTACTTTTAAAGTAGTCGACCTTTTGTTCATTCACTCATTCATTTATGCATTTACTCACTTATCCAGCATCAATTTGACACACCTTACTGATGCCTGCAGGGGCAGACCCAGTGCTAGCCAAGGGTGACCCAGAAATGTGGGCAGCAGGGCGTCTGTGCCAGGAGCTCACAGTCCTGTGGCGTAGGCAGGTGGCTGATGTGGGCAGCTAAGGGAGCACAGGGTTGCGTGTGAGCCCAGAGCAGTGCCTCCCCACCCCCTGTCCTTCAGGTCTGGGTGCAGAGGACTGGCAGCATGGGGTGAGGGATAGCTGGGTGCATCCGCCAGTCCTTCTTCTTTCTGAGGACCAGGAGTACTTAGAGGCTCAGAGGTGTGGTTGGGGCCCTCGTGTTGATGACTCAAAAACTAGACCTAGGAAGGGAACGAACCTTCCCCAGGCACATAGTAAATCTGTAGTGGGCCAAGATTGGAGCCCAGTGACCACCCCCAACCCCGTGCACTCTGGAAGTGGCAGGAACCCAAGGCTGCTCTGGACGAGTCAGCAGCGGCCCAGCATCCCCCAGGTTTGCTGGTGGGCCGAGTGGTGGGCAGATTGTAGGGACATAACCCCTGCATGTGTCATGATCGATCTTCTGCTTTCCCCAAGACCATGTCCCTGCATCTCTACCAGGGGCCCGCAGTTGCCAGAAGAGTCTGAGTGAGACTCCCTTTTGGATCCAGCTCGTTAGGCTCGGGTAGCAGCGTCCCATGCCAGCTGTTGGTGTAATTAAGGTTGCCATAAAACCCACCAGCTAGACACACAAATGGCTCCTTTGCTCTTTCCTGGGGCATGAGCAGTTGTGAAGGCGAGTAAATCATGTTCGGTGGCGATCACTTCAAAGGCCAGCCTTCCACTTGCAGCCACATTATTGGCAGGGATCGCCCATAACACGGCTTGTTTCCCAGCCATTCACTTTTATGACACCCTAATGAATTGGGCCATTTCCATCCATTCTCAGAAAATGTACGGAACAACTGTTTTGGTTCTCCTCAAAAAGTTTGTCTTGGGAGGCAGGTGGTGTGTTGGCAGGGGCATGTAGGTAGTTCTTGGCTCCTGGGCAAGTTGCCTGTCTCTGAGACTTCATGCCCACCGAGAGAAGCTACCTATGGGGCTCTTGTCATGAGATAACTTATGTGAACCCCCCAGCCAAGGCCCAGCACCTAACGGGCACTCAGCGAGTGGCAGGGAGGGCCGTCATCTTCCTCATCCTTTCCCTGGGTCAGCCTCTTAGGGATCAAAGTGTTGAGGCTGGTGGGGGCTGTGATATCAAGGCCATGTGGGAGGATAGAGCAGGCACAGGCATGCAGAATCCAGTGCGTGGAGGAAGGCAGGCAGCCGTGCCGTGAGGGGCAGCTTGTCTCCCTGTTCTGCATTCAGAAGGCTTTTTTTTTCCACCCCTGGATCATTCTTTAGGCTTCAGGGGGCCCACTCTGAAATCTCCCTGGTTGAGGGTTGCTTTGGAAGAGGCTCAGAGAAGAGCGGTCATCTGTTGCCTACCCTCCCCCAGGAATTACAGAGGCAGGAATTGACCAGCAGGAGAATGAACCGTGGGTCCCAGGGAAGCCGTGGAGGTCGGAAGAGGCTCCACCATGCCCTGGCCCTGTGACCTTGAGCAAATCCGTACCTCTTCCTGGGCCTCAGTGAACCTCATCCAGAGAATGGGCCTCAACCTCCTCCTCCTCTAACCTAAACTGAAATTATGGAGTGACACATTTAATGTGAATTTGATGTATACATTTTAAGGAGGATGACAGAAAATATGTCTGCAAAATTTGAAAGGTATGAACTCCAATTAAAAAGTCAAGGTGGCTCATTTTGAGCTGGCGGGGCCCAGGGACTGAACTGTTTATGCTGCAGCCACATGGTGGCGGCCCAGGAACTGGTAAAGGGACCGGCCGGCCCCTGCGACCAACTTGAGACCTTGCTGCGCTTCCATGGCTGCGCGTGGGTGCCCAGCATGTTATTTCCATATTGTCATTAAAGTCCTGTCCTCTGTGAGTTTGTTAAGTGGAGCTACTTGCTGGTCCTGGTACTGGGACCCTTCTCCATCCCCTCACCAGAGCTGGATACTTGAGAGCAGAAGCTGAATGTGATAAAATCCTCTAAGAAAGCAAAACAACTGCTCAATACTTAATAAAGTCAGTTTATGAGACAGCAGACTGTGAAGTATCGGTGATGATGCTAAAACAATACAAAGTGTCGTTAAAGCTAAAATATGTCCTGTGATTCTGGCTTTATGGTCTGTCCCCAAGCACACTTGCTCCTGCATTACTGTGGCTCCTCTGGGACAACAATCTGGGACTTTGCAAGCTGTGAATTATGTGACGTCTTCAGAAGCAGGACCCACTCAAAGCATGACCCCAGTGTTGATGGATGTCAATATGCTCTCGAGGTGCCCTTGGCGAGTCAAGGCCCTTCCCTTTGCGCTTTCCCTGGGATCCTGCTGCTCTCAAGGGGTGATAGGGATGCCTCTCTGGACCCATGTGGCAATAGAGCAGGGGGGCTGAGAAGCTGACAGACACTGGACTGGGCATGGGGCAGGAGGGTCCATGATTCCATATATGGCTTGTGGGTGCTGCTCAGCCTGGGTGTGTGTGGCCCAGCATAAACTTCACTAAACCTGCCTGCCCCCTGGGTCCTTGGCCTTCCCTGCATAGGCGCCTGTCCGTGCTGCCAGGCCTGCCAGCATGACCGGTGTCCGCTCTTGCAGGTGATGAGAAGCTACAAGGCGACCATCCAGCAGACCTTGGACATCCTGTTCCTCCGGGAAGGCTCCGAGTTCCTGAGCAGCACAGACGCTTCCACCCGGGACTCAGCTGACCGCACCATTATTGCCTGGGATTTCCGGACCTCTGCCAAAATCTCCAACCAGATTTTCCACGTAAGAAATCCCATTTGGCATTGCTGTCAGTTTCAGCCACAGAGCGTATCCATGTAGTTCTGGTCTGTCTGAGGTCCCAGGTCCCTTCTGTGGGAGGAGGCTCACTGGACTGAAATCTCCAGGATGAGGGTAGTCAGGTCTCAGCCTGCCGCACACATGGAGAGCTTGCTGTGGGCTTCCAGATGCAACCTCCTTCTGCTCTTCTTGTGCCAGCACAGCAACCCCACAGGGTAAGGGTCTGGTGGGGGGCGGTTCAGTCCAGATCAATGGGGAACGTGGCAGTGCAACCTGAGAAACCCCACCCTCCCACTGCCACCACAACCAGCTACTCAGAAGGGGTTTCTGACCCTCAGTGGCATTGGCAGTTGATGTAGCCCAGGAGTTCAGAGCAGGGGCCCCACAGTTAGAACACCTGCATTAAGGTTTTGGATTCACTAGGACCTTATAAGGCGGAGAGCCTTGGGCCTGCTATTTAGCCTCTTTGATTCTCACTTTCTTCATTAGAAAATAGTTTTGAGAATTAAGAGAGAGAGAGAATGTTTGTAAAGGGTATAGCACAGTGTCAGGCACGGGGAATGCTTCTGTGCTTTAACTGTCATTACCACCACCACCATCAACATCACTACCACCACCAGTGTCATCACTGCCACCATCATCGTCACCATCAGTACCACCATCAGCATCACTGTGTCTATAGCCACCACAACCACTGTTGTCATTGTCACTACCACCACTACTATCATCACCACCATCATCACCAGCACCAGCACCATCAGCATCACTACCACCACCAGTGTCATCACCGCCACCATCACCAGTACCACCATCAGCATCACTATCTTTATACCCACCACCTCCACTGTCATCATTGTCACTACTACCACTCCTGTCATCACCACCACACCATCTCTATCACCACCACCATCACCATCATCACCACTGCCATCTCTGTCACCTTCACTGTCACCAGCATCTTTATTGCTGCACCACCACCATCACCACTCTATCACCACCACCATCTCCGTCACTACCACCAACTGTATCACCACCACGATCACTGCCGTCATTACACCACCCCATCTCTGTCACCACTACCATCTCTTATCAGTACCACCCCACCATCAGCACCACACTATCTCTATCACCACCACTGTCACCAGCATGTCTAGCACCACCACCACCATTACCACCATCATCACCACCGTCATCTCTGTCACACCACCATCACCACCGTGATTGTCACCACCACCATCTCTATTATATTGTTATCATCACCACCACCACCACCACTGCTACCGTCATCATTGTCACCACTACCACCGCCATCATCAGCATCATCTTTTGAGATTTCAACTAACCCAAGACTAATCTCTGAATTTAAAACTGTATGTCATGTGTATATGATATATGTGGGTGTACATGAAATATCTATCCTGTGTACACCTTCTTTTCCTCCCTGCCTTTTCCTTGTTCTCAGTGGGTTCTAAGTGGCTCTGAGCAAACCCACTTCTAGACCTCCACTGCAGGGTGTCCCAGGGCAACCCATTGGGCAGGACAGGCCCTTGTGGGGAGCTGGAGGGGCACGTCTGGCCTCTGAGGGTGTCCTGCCTCCAGGAGCCCAGGGGAAGTGAGGCAGATGAAGGTGCCTTGCGCCTGAACTATAGTTACACTCCACACTGTCTGTGTGGAGGGAGCAGGTGCTCAGCCTGGCACCATCACACTGGGAGCTTGTTATCTGGCCATGGCAGCCTCTGTGCCTCTGATGGCCACATCAGCCTGAAGCTGTGCTTCCTGCTGCTCCCCACTTTGCCCTCTGAGTTTGGGCTCACTTAGAGAGTGTGGCCTAGGGACAATAGTTAGAACAATGTAAAGCCAGCTTGAGGGGGTAGTTTTTAGGGGTGCTTCCTGTCAATGAAGCAGTGAGATCTCGCGCCCCCTGTGTTTTGAGGTTTGTGCCTGCATTTCTTTTCTCATTTGGCCACTTACCTCCTCACTTACTGTGCATTTTGGCTGTGTGGGTCCCTGGGCTGGGCTGGGCTGTCCCTGAGGGCTCATTGTGGAGGTGGGGAGATGGGCATGTAGATTCCTTTTCTATCCTTGTGTGATAAATTACACAAACTTGGTGGCTGGAAGAACACAAACTTATTCCCTCACAGTTCTGGAGGCCCGAAGTTCATAATCAATATTAAGTATGATTGGGCTGAAATCAAGATGTTGGCAGGGTGTGCTCCCTCTGGAGTGTCAAGGGGAGAATCCTTCCTGCCCTCTTCTGGCTTTTGGTGACAGCCAGCATTCCTGACTTGTGGCTGCATCTCTCCAGCCCTCCAAGCCAGCATCTTCACACCACCTTCACTGTTTGTCACATCTCTGCGCCTTCCCTTTGTTTCTTTCTTTCTTTTTTTTTTTTTTTTGTAGAGATGGGGTTTTGCCATGTTGCCCAGGCTGGTCTCGAACTCCTGGGCTCAAGAGATCCGCCCGCCTCAGCATCCCAGAGTGCTGGGATACAGGCGTGAGCCACCACACCCAGCCTTGGCTTTCTTTCTATGAGGCTGCACGTGACTGCATTTAGTGTAATATAGGATCATCTCCTTATCTCAGAATCCTTAGTTATGTCTGCAGAGACCCTTGGTTTTGACCCTGTAAGGTAACATTCACAGGTTTCAGGAATTAGAACATGGGTATATTTTGGGGGGCATTTTCCTGCCTGCCACAGGGACACAGGCAGGTTGTAGAAGCTGGGAAACATGGAGGAAACTGGATTCCCCTCCAGCCTCCAGAAAGAAGTGCGGCTCCGCCAACATCTTGACTTCAGCCCAGCGAGGCCTTTTTCAGACTTCCGACTCGCAGGACTGTGTGATGTGAAATGTGTGTGTCTTGAGCCACCAAGCTTGTGGTGATTTGTCACAGCAGTGATAGGAAACCAATGGAGACACCCAGCTAGGGTCTGGGAGCAGGCCCCAGGCCCCAGAGCAGAGTGCCAGGTTGGGGGTGTCTTCTCTGACCCATTTGTGGCTCTGCTGTTCTCAGGAGAGGTTCACCTGCCCCAGCCTCGCCTTGCACCCGAGAGAGCCCGTGTTCCTGGCACAGACCAATGGCAACTACCTGGCCCTTTTCTCCACTGTGTGGCCCTACCGGATGAGCAGACGGCGGCGCTATGAAGGGCACAAGGTACTTCTGTCCTTGTCCCCCAGGCGAATGCTGAGCCCCAGCCCCAAGCCTCCTGGCAGTCCTGGACATGGGCCCTGGGGTGCATGGAGCCTCTGTCTGGGTGGATCCTGCTTTCTGTTTCCTGGGTGAGCGCATGCCATGTGGCTCACTGTCTCTTCAAGTCCCTGAACCACATCTGGTCCTCACCCCAGGCCCCACGTACTGGGCAGGAAGCAGTAGTTGGCTCACACAGACAGGTCTCAGAAGTGGGGGGCAGGAACAGGACAAAATGGTCATGGGTGTCATTTCTGCATCCTTCCCTTTCCTCACTGAGGCCAAGCCTTGCTGGGGTGGAAGGGGCTGGGTGCTTAGTGACTGTCACTGAGGCCAGACCCCTCAGCTGGGCTGGAGCTGGTCCCGCTGGATCTGCTGAACTGGCCTTGGGATGTGGGCCCGCATCAGGGCTCTACAGCCTCATGGGCGGGACCTGGGCTTTGGCCTCAGGGACACGAGGTGCGAAGCCCAGCTCTGCTCCGTCAGCTCGGGGCTTCAGCCTGCTCCTCTGTAGAATGGGCATACTCACCCCGGCTTGACAGGTGCGGCTTGCTCACCCACTGTGTCCCTCTCTGCAGGTGGAGGGCTACTCAGTGGGCTGCGAGTGCTCCCCAGGCGGTGACTTGCTGGTGACGGGCAGCGCCGATGGCCGGGTCCTGATGTACAGCTTCCGCACAGCCAGCCGAGCATGCACACTGCAGGGGCACACACAGGCCTGTGTCGGCACCACCTATCACCCCGTGCTGCCCTCCGTCCTCGCCACCTGCTCCTGGGGAGGGGACATGAAGATCTGGCACTGAGCTTTTTGTCACTGAACCTTCCCGATGCCAGCTGGGCTCTTGGACTCCCCTCTTCCTCAAGGGTAGATGAGAGGAACGAGCACAGAGGTTGGCTGTGGGTCCTGGGTACCACCTTCTGAGCCTCAGTTTCCTCATCTGTAAAGTGGGGAGAAAAGTCTGTTTGCCTCAGGAGTGTGAGGACTACACTAGTGAAAGCGCCTGGCGGGCAGCCGGCGATGCCCAATAAATGTGTGTTTTGCTGTTTGTTAAGTGATTTCAGCAACAAGTGTGCATTAGCAGCTTCTTCTCGCCTCCCTCCTCCCAGGCCTGCTGGACCTCTGGAGACTGAGAGAACTGTGCGAGCTTGAGATGGGGTCAGCCCCGCTCTGCGGGTCCCAGCAAGGGAGTCCTGAAGTGGGGGTGGTCTGGGTCTTTGGTCTGCCCTCAGGGATTCTGTTGGAGCTCAGCGCCCCACCAGCCTCACAGGCCCCAGCCGCTTGCACTCCCCAGGACTGTGGCCAGCTGGGCCCCTGGTTGGCCCAAGCCTTGGGCCCCTTGGGCAGCCCTTGCCCCGCCAGTGTGCATGCTGCCCATGCAGGTGTGCCCGCCTGGTGAGGGAGCCGCGTGGAGAAGTGAGGGACCCTTGAGGAGCCTGGAGGAGCTGGGCTGGGAGGAGGCCTGGCTCCTCAGGTGCCTGTACAGGCTGATTAGATGGAACCCCCACCAGAATTGTAACTGAGGGGCTACTCCAGGAGCCCAGGGATCTGCTGACAGGCGAGGGTGGGGCCCACTGGTACCTTGGAAGGCTTCCTGGAGGAGGCAGACCTCAACTTGGTGAAGACAGTGTCCCTGGCAGGGGAGTCAGTGGAGAAGGGCAGAGAATGTGAGGAGGCTGCCCATGGGCCAAAGCAGTGGGGGACGCAGGAGGAGGTGGGCACTTGGCTCCCCCTCCCCACTATTCTGTCCCTGCTCCACTGTCACTGTAGCTGAGGCGAGGCAAGGCACCACTCCTCTCCCAGGTTCATCTCTGCATCTATAAAGCCAGGCATTGGAAGAGCCAGCCTGTAGGCTCACAGCTAGGGTCAGAGAAGGTCAAGTCTGTGGGGGTGTCCTGGAGGGGGCTGGAGCTGGCCTGGGGCTGGTGGGTGAAGACCTGTGTATCAGTGTGTCCAGGGGGTCACTGGGATCCCTGGGCTCCGTGGGAGGGGTATCCCAGACAGAGGGAGGAGCTGTGCAAAGGCCCCAAGGTGGGGCTTCTGAGGGCTGAGTCTTCCTGCCCCACAGTCACTGCAGAGCCTGACACATGGCAGGCATCTGGTCTACAGCACCTACTGTGTGCCTGTCTGTGGGTGGGGAAGCTGGAGTTGAGCACTGAGGGTGCTGAGTGCACGGCCCCAGTGTCCCCCTACTGTGTCCTGAGGACAGGGTGAGTGGGATCCCCTGGCCCATGTGGGGGCAGGGTCCTCATGACCCACAGTGGGAGCACCTTCTATGTATTTCTTTTAGGCTCAAGAATGGCTGTTTTGGTGAAAAGAGTTGCACCCCGTGCTCGGCGAGCTTGGTCACTGTCGAAAGTGAAGATTGCCACTGGCCTGAGCAAGGCGGTTGGGGGTGGTGGTACTGAGGCTGGTGCGGGAGATGGGCAGCCCCCACCCTCTGCCCCATGTGGCTGCTGGGGCCTCCCTCTCGTCACGCCTCTGGCCTTTGCCCTTTCTCCTCCTGTTCTGACAGGGGAGCTCCTATGACCTCTGGGGCCCACCCCATCACCCCCACCCAGCAGGCTGATGGTGCCTCAGGGCCTTTGCGCCCACCATCCCCCTCCTGCAGCCTCCTTCCCTCAGGGCTTGCTTGGATAGTATCTTCGTGGAAGCTCCTGTCACCCTCAGCCCCCTTTCCCCACAGATCCCCCGGCCCCACCGATGCCCCACACCTGCATTTGTGGTGGAGCACATGCCCCAGGCTGGGGTTCCTGCTCCCTGCTGGTGCCTGGCCCCGGCACAGAGTGGGCCTTCCACAAGTGACTGCAGGCGTGGCCTGGTGACCAGATGTGGGCCTGTCTGTGTCCTTCATTGCTGTGTGACTTTGGGCAAGCTGCCTAGCTCCCAGTTCCTCAGTTTCTCCTTCTGTGAAACAAGAACACATAATGCCCATCTCGTGGGGATCATGAGGCTGGGTGTGTGTGTCTCCCGGTAGGGCCCGTGTGTCATAGGCACTCAGGAAGTGGTGCTGGGACTTAGTGTCAGGCTGACCACTTGATGCAGGAGCTGAGCCAGTTTAGAGCAGAGTGCGAATGTGGCTCCCTTCTCAGACCTCGCCTCAGTGGGCCATGGGATGGTGGGCCTTGCTCCTACCCTTGCTGTCCCTGTCACTCTCTGGGCATTGGCCTTTTCCAGGTTCAATCTCACGGCAGAAGCCACCAGCTGGGGCTGCCGCCCTCATTCATTCCCACTGGACAAGTCCAGAACTCAGATTGACTGACTTCTGTCACACACATGCTCCACACCCAGGCTCCTTGGGCAGGTGTGGTGGGAACTGTGATTTGTAGCAGGGAAAGTAATCTCCTCCCCAAGTGCAGGACCCTCCTACAAGTATTTTCACGAGGGTGTGTCTCCCCAGCTCCAGGCCTGAGCAGGCCTCAGCACATGTTTGTGGAATGAATGGATGCTGTGCGAATGAACCCAGACACATGGGGGAGGGAAAGCTGCAGTGGTCGGGGTGGAGGGAGGCCCGGGCTTCTCAGGCCGTTTCTTATTTGCCTTTCCCATCCCCACACCTCACTGCCAGCCCCAGACCTTGGAGTCCAGATGCTCTGCTTCCTGACCCAGTACAAACCCCAGTGGTTTTCCACCTTCCTGATGGTGATTTTGTGATGGAGAATTTCATTGCAGCGTTTGCTGATTGTTCCCTACCGTGTGATATGTTCGTGTTACCACTGATTTAACATGACCATCAGTCACAGATGACACTGTGTCAGGCTTCTGAGGGCTGGGATATAGCTGTTGAAAGGCTTCCTGTCTGCCTGGGCTCCTGGCCCCACTCCTGTGCTGGGCACACATCACTGCCTGCCACCTGTGGGACTCGGAGCCAGGAGACCAGCTCATGTCCCAGGGCCATTTCCTGCTGGTCTGAGGCCTTTGCAGGGGCCTTGCTTCTCTGAGCTTTGTTTTCTCATCTGTAAAGTGGGCCTGTGGGGATAAGGAGAGACGAGGCAAAGGAAAGGACTTTGCAGATTGTCACCCAACTTCACTTGGGACAAACGCCATCCACTTCTGTGCGCCTGAAGTCCATTTATTTTCAAGTTGGTGGCCTTGAACCAACCCAAAGCTCTGACCCTTCTGGGGCGGGGGGGCCACCCAGGGCTCCACAGAAAACCCACTGTGGCGGTTACTTAGCTCCACCCTCTGTGGGTTTGATTTCTCAACACAGGCGCCTGTGGGAGCCAGCTGGCTGGCAGCCCCTTCCCTTTTTAGGTCATTTTATTGGGAAGAATGGCAGGTGTGCACCATGCTTTTATCTATTTCTTTTTCCAAACACTTTCTTCCAAAGAACATTCTTAAAGACTGACTTTGATCCTTGGCAAGGTGTCAGGGAGTTCACCGTTTGCAGTTTTAAAATAAGAAAGCTAAATTTAGAAAATGTGGAGCAGGAATGAAAAAGGAGTATGGTCTCTTCCCTCCACCCACCTTCCTGGGGCTGAGTGTTCACCTTCATCCTCTCCTAGAAAATCTGGGATGCCAGATCCGAAGCCATCGTGGAGAAAAACGGCTTCACCTCCAGATGCTGTGCAGGCTGTGTGTGCTGGCTGCAGTGCTGTGTGCCGGGCGTGGCCGTGGCTTTTTTCTGAGTGCAGCTGATGCTCGCAGCTTCTGACAGGGTGTCCATGATCCCCACTGTCCAGCAGAGGAAACTGCTGCCCTGAGGGCAGGGAGCCATGCCCAAGGCCCTCTGACCCCAAGCCTGAGCTCTTTTTGCACCTGGGATCCCTTCCCAAATGGCCTCCCGTAGGCGCCACCTCCACCTCACTTTGGCTGTCTGTACAGTGGGAGACCCAGCTGCCTAGAGGGTCCCTGGAAATTGCATTGATGAATGTCCTCAGGCTCCAGCAAGGGAAGCTGGCCAGGGGGCCTGGGTCTTGCCCAAGGTGACACTGTCAACTGGTGGCAGAGCCCAACCCTGCGCTGCCCTGCCGAGAGCTGAGGAGAAACATACATGGATGTGTGGGCGGGTGGCGGATGTGCAGACAGGGCCTCCCTGACGGCAAGGCAGGATCTCAGTGCAGGGAGAGGGCAGGGGTGGAGCAGGGAACCCTGTGCCAAGGCCGGCTGCCTGGGTAGATGGGGACTGTCCAGGACTTCCCGTTCAGCTGTGGGGACAGTCCAAGTGCAGAAGGTCGAAGGGCAGATCCAGAGGGAAACTGCCAGCTCCAGAGCTCAGCCCCTTGGGAGCCCCACAGGAGCACTGAACAGTTTCTAGAACTCTCCAGCTGTCACAGATCTGTGCCTTTTCATGGCTGTGTTCCATTTGCCTAAAATACCTGTTGAACTCCTATTCATCCTTCAACACCCATTGTGATCCTCTCCTCTGACCCCTTTCATTCGTCCTCCTGGAGCAGTGAGGGCCCTCCCCTCTGAGAGGCCCACAGGCCCTGTGTTCTGGAAGCCCTGAGCTGAGTGTTACACTGTCTGCCTTCCTCCCCCACCTCTGAGTTCCTTGTGGGCAGGGCCAGGTCCCCGAGGCCAGCATGAGGCTGCCAGCTGACAACAGCACCAGGGAAAGGAGGGGGGCACCGAGACCCAGCCCAAGGGATCCCGCGAGAGAAGAGTCACTGGTCAGAGCCACAGGTGCTCCTAAGTCTCAGGGCCCTGCTGAGCCAGCTTTGAGCCATGAGAATTGGGGATAGTGAACCAAGGTTCCCCAGCCTCAGCACCACAAGGAGCAGTGTCCTGACTGCCGTGCACAGCAGGCAGGCCCCCACCCCGGGGGTGTCAGCCTGACCCTGCCGCTGCAAGCCATGTGGACCCTCTCCTTCCTCTTCTCTCCTGCGCCTGAAGGCTGCCTGGCTCTGCAGCCAAAGTCACCGTCCCTACCCAGTCCTAGGCAGGGACCTAATGGTCCTGGCTGCTCCGGGAACAAGACACCTTGGAGGCCCGGCTGTGGCAGGCATTGCAGCCCAGGCAGGAGAGCCCTGTGAGGTGTGGAGGCCATCTTGGGGGCCGCAGGCTCTGAGGTGGCAATTTGGGGCCAACACCCTGGGTCTGGCCCCCCCAGATCTGGGCCAAGGCTGCCGCCCAGGGCAGGTATGTCTGATTCAGTAGCCCCCAGGAGTGAGACCTGGGTGGGGCCTTTGTCACCTAGAAGTGGCAGAGCCAGGGCGCCCCTCTTTTTGGCCTCAGCTTTCCCACGTCTGGGTGACAGAAATCTCACAGTTGACACTGGGGTAGCTGAAGCTTGGGTTCCCCTCTGGGAATGCCTCTGCCCACCGGGTGCCAGTTATTTCTCTCTCCCACCCTCTTGGCTGCCCCCAGCTCAGTGAGGGCTGTAGCCCCTGTTCTGCCCACAGGCCCCAGAGAGGAGAACAGAATCCCAAACCTCTCCAAGCTTCCCCCGGCTCAGGGAGGCTGCTTCCTGGGACGGCAGCTATGGCTGGAGAAGACACAGCCTGGCTGGCTCTGGCTTCTTCTGCAGAGGAAGGGGGAGGGCAGGGATGCAGGGAGCCACGGCTGATGCCCACTCTCCTTGGAGTGGTCTGACCATAGGCAGAGCCACGCTAGAGCTACACACAAAGCCAGGCGTGCCAGGGAACCTCCAGACACGAACCTGGGTGAGGTGCTCCCCACTGGGACATGCCCCAGGCACCTACAGGGACAGCTATAAAGGCCCTCTTAGGGAGGGGCCTCCATCCTCAGCCTTGAACCCACACATGCACCTCTTCAAGGGCAGGGATGAGCATGTGTCCAAGATGAGCAGGCGTCCAGAGAAACAGGGCCGCCGGAGCGGGAACCACGAGGAGGCCTGCACAGACCACATGGTCCGGTCCCAGACCAGCTTGTGAAATGGTTGTGCCCACTGTTTTGATAGAAATAAGAGATGAGCTGGAAAATATCTCCAGGGAATGGGAAGCTAAGAAAGTGGCACTGTGGATTTGTAAAACAACCAAGTAGAACCTCCAGAAATGAAAAACATGAATAACTGAAATGAAAACCTCAGCGGCTGTGTGTGGCGGCTGAATAGACATAGGAGGGAATTAGTGAGTTGGAAGACAGATGATGTGCAGTGTAGCAGGGAGAGCGCAGCAACCACGGAGGGTGTGGGGAGGGGCGGCAGGGCCCGCTGCAGGCCTGGGATGGCACAGGGTGTGGGGAGGGGTGACAGGGACCGTTGCAGGCCTGGAGTGGCACAGGGCATGGTGGGGGGTGACAGGGCCACTGCAGGCCTGAGGTAGCACAGGTCTGGGAAACAAACCCGGAGGGAGAAAACAGAGAGAATGGGCAGAGAAATGTTTTTAAAAAAATAATAGTTGAGAATTTTTCAGAACTGATGAAGTCCACCAATCCACAGATGTGACTCCCTGAGGATCCTCAGAAGGATTCCTAAGAAGGAACTCCACACCCAGACACACCTCAGGGAAACTGCAGAAAGCCAAAGTCAAAGAGAAAATCTTAAAGAGCCGGGGAAAAGAAAGCAATTTTTTTTTTCTAACCAATGGAGCGGCTCCGGGACTGACAGCCAGTTCCCAATACCAACAGGAAGACAGAGCAGAGCGGCAGCATCCCGTGTGCCCGGGAAAAGGCCACCTGCCGACATTCCATCCGTGGCCCCAGTACATCTCAAGGAGCAGAAGCCAAGTCTGAGACACGAGGATTAGGGGCCAGGAAATCGGTGGGGCAGCGCGCAGGAGAATGGGATGAAAGAGCTGTTGTCTCCAGTGGGTTGGGAGAAGCAGGAGAATCCACACCCTAGATAGGAACTTGGATGGCGGGGTGGGGACGGGGTGTTATGGGGATGGGGTGTGAAGTGGGGTTAAGGGGCCCAACTCGGCTGCAGAGAGCAAGGCTGGGGAGGGACACCAGGGACCCCAGGTTCCCGAGACCAAAAGGCAGGAGGAGGAGAAACAGCCCAACCCAGATTCTTTCCACCGGTGTCTTTTATTAATGAATGCAAAATACAGTACTAACTGGCAGGGCATGCATCAGAGACAACAAGAATGCAAGCTACAGAAACCAGGAATGGAGGGCCTCCTCATGTCTGAGGTAGAGTAAGACGGTGTCAGGGGGCGGACCCGGGGGCGGAGATGAGCACCGGCCGCACTGGGGCATCATCCCGGCCCACCCGGGACGATGGGCCGTGGGAGGGCTCAGGGCGGTGTGGTGGCCACACTGCGAAGAATGGATTTTTAAAACACTTCATAGCCCCGAATTTGTTTCAGCTCCCTCTTCGTGGACACAACTTCAGGGCTCCCTTGTCACTGGCTTGCGGGGGTGGTCTCCCCACTTGCAGAGTCTGGTCTCCACAGGACACCGTCCTTCCCTTCCCTTCCAAGGGGCAGGCCCCACGCACCCTCGCCCAAAAAATAAAGGAGCTTTGTGTTGAAAACGCCAAGGCAGCCGTCCAGGGAGCTGGAGGCCAAGTGCGTTAAGAAAGACCCTTTTTCTCTATAAAAATAGTTTCGCTTTATAAAAGGGGGGATGCTCCTCTCACATGGGGGAAGGACGCGTGAAAAACGCTCTAAGTGGAGTTCCACGGGCCGGGGCCGGGTGGACACCGTGGTGTGGGGGACCCTCCCCTCAGGCCTACAGGGCTGGGGAGGAGAGGAGGTGCGGGGAGGAACAGACTCCTCGTTGTTGGCCGGGGCAGGGGAACAGCGGGGGCTGGGGAGAGGTGAGGCCGGCCCTTCTGGGGCACGTGGGCTGGCGGGGAGCGAACCACGGCCAGGCCTGCACGCAGGCGCTCAGTTGAGCAAGGTTCCGTAGAGCTGGGCCTTGGTGAGGCTGTCCTTGCGGCTCAGCCCCGAGCCACCAGTCCGCGGAAAGGCCTGCTGGGGGCTGAGGCGGGCGGCAGGATGCATTTCCGGGGAGGCCTCCATGGAGCTCGGCTCCAAGGAGTCCCTGGAACCCTGCTCGGGCTCAGGGCTGCTGGCGGTCCCACACAGCTGCACCCCGAGCCTGTCCCCGTCCCCCCCCTCGCTGGGTGCATAGCCGGGCAGTGGGTCAGCCGAGCGGCCGGGACTGAGGCTCAGGTCGCCGCCCGCCCGCAGGAAGCAGGGCTCTGCCAGGTGGCCCTGGGAGAGGTCGTCCCCCTCGGAGAAGCTGTCGGCCTTGTAGCTGGCGTAGAGCGGGCTGGCGCGGCCGTCGGCCTTCTTGCCCGGGCTGCCCCCGGCCCCGCCGTAGTAGCGTTCAGAGAAGCTGCAGGGTGAGGCGCGGCCGGCAGCGCTCACGGGGTAGGAGTAGGCGCCGATGTCCTCCACGCTCAGGGGACGCCACTGGCCCCTCATGTCCTCCCCGGGGAGCCGGGCGGTCCCCGGCTTGGCCCGCAGGCTCCACAGGTTTGGGGGCATCAGGGCCTGCTGGGGACCCGGAGAGGCCGGGAAGCGGAAGGTCTCGGCCGGGTACGGTGACATGGTCCGCCCGAAGCCTGGGGCCACTTCGGCCTCCAGCGGGGCCGCCACCGCGGCCGTGGCCTTGGCAAAGCGAGGGCTGCCCTCGTAGGTGGTGGCGGGTGGCTTGCGGTCGAAGAGCTCGTCGCGGCTGTTCAGGTAGATGGCCTGCTGCGACGCGGTCAGCGTGCTGGCCTGCGCGTGCTCCTTCTCCTCCGACGTGGCGCTGAAGCTGGAGTAGGAGCTGGACGTGGGCAGTGAGCCTGCGTAGCTGGGGAAGGCCTCATGCTGGAAGCCCGCCGGGAAGGCCGCCGCCTCGGCCTCCTCCTCCTCCTCGGCCGCGCTGTCAGTGGAGTTCTGGGCCCGCAGGAAGCCCACGTCGGTCACGGGCGCGTCCACGCTAGGCCGCCGGTCTCGCCGCCGCTCCTCCGGGCAGTAGAGGGCTGTGTCACTGCAGTAGATGTCTCCCTTGTAGGGGGGCCGCGGGCCTGGTTTCTCCACCCCGTCGCAGAAGGCCAGGTCGCGGGCGGAGGCATCGGACAGGCGGGAGGACAGGCTGGCGGGGTCCGGCTTCTCCAGCACCTTGGCAATGACGCAGGTGGGGACGCTGTCGGCGTAGGCCGGGTGGCAGAGCGGGGATGGCAGGCTGCAGCCGTGCTTCTCCATGTGCAGGCTCACGCGCTCCTGGAAATCCGAGGGCAGCTGGAACGGGTGCGAGGAGGGGGACGGCGGGTACAGGGTCACTGTTAGCATGGCAGCCCAGCCCTGGCCCTGAAGCTGAGGACTGATGTTAGCCATGACCGACAGGCAGACAGACGAACGGGGGCCTCCCGGCTTCTCAAATCACACCAGGGGGAGCCTGGATCCAGGACGCTGTACTGAACAAGCTCCCAGGGGTGTGGGTGCTGTGACTGCCTGGGGATCCTGGGTCACCTCTCCCCACCCCACTCTGATTGGGCCCAGGAGAGCCCAGAAGCTGCAGTCGCCTGGAGAAGCCGGAACCCAGGTCTGATTCAGGCCCCACTCAAGGCTCCACCCCCCGCCACCCCCACCCCACCCATTTTGTGCCCAGCGAGGGGTTGACTTGCTCTCCCAGGCCCGTGGGTTCTGTGGGTTCTACTGGGGGCATGACCCACTCCCCAGCCCCCCAGTCATGCTGCTGGAGCGCTCCTGAAGAAGACAGACTCAGATGCAACAAAGATTGAGGGCCAGGGCTGAGAGCGCCTGGTGCCATGTGGGGGTGTCCCGCTACTGTTTGATCTATTTTGTGAGTGTCTCAGGCATGGCCCAGGACCAGGGGAAAGGAACGCACAGGCCTGGCTGGGAGATTGCATGTGAGGGGAGGGTCGGGGGACGGGGTGCGCAGGGTGCGGCGACCATAGGCGGGCAGGGGTGGGCCTCTGGCCCATCTGCCCTTGGCATCAGACAGGCCTGGTTCTGGGTCCTGGCTCTGCTACCTGCCTGCCACGTGGCCTCAGCCACGCCCTCTTTCCTGAATGTTTTCTTTCTGAAATAGGCACTGCCGGTCATCGTGCCCAGCCACAGGCTCCTGCGAAGCTCCACAAAGGTCACTCTGCCGTGTCAGCGCTCAGTGGAAGCAAGGACCTGGAGCAGCCCCCCAAAGGAAACCGAGGGCAACCAGCAGCCGGGGTGGGCCAAAGGGACTCTGGTGAGGGCCAGGGGCTGCCCGGCTGCGTGAGGTGGGGTGCCTTTGGCGGCCCCTCCAATGTCATGACCCCACAGGAGCGAGGGGGACAGAGGAGGCTCAGGCTCAGCTGGCATCTTCCTCCTCAAAGATGGGAAATGGCTTTGGGGTAGCACTGGCACAAAAGGAGCCCGGTGGTCCCGGGGCGGGGTGGGCCTGGCTGCGGGGCCACGTTACCTCAGACACCTTGTGGACCCTGCCGTAGGTCTGGCTGCACTGCAGCAGCTGGGCCGCTAGATTGCAGTCCTTCCTATAGAGCTCCTAAAAGACAAGAGAAGGCGTTTGGCGCCATTCACCCCAGCCAAGGCCCCGCCGCCCTGACCAGCGCCAAGTGGCCAGCGGGGGCAGTGGTGTGCACAGGGCCTGCTGTGCGCTCAGCAGGACAAGGACCCACTGCTGGCTCCGGCCCTCTCTGGCCTCCACACTCTTGCCTGCAAAATGAGAGCCTCTTTCTGACCTGGGGCTGCCGGAGCATGGAGGGCCCTGCCGCTGCCCTAGCTGGTGCCCTTGAGCACTGCCAAGATGGGAACCTCCCACAAGGTGGGGGGCAGTGGTAGAAGAAGGAGCCCCAATGGCCCTGAGCTCCCCCAGGCTCGTAGAGCAGGCCTGGTCTCCCTGTCCCTGTCCCTCAGGCTCTCGGCGTCCTTCCAAAGATGACGGGGTGGGAGTGCCAGGCAGGAATGGGAGGCAGGATGAACCCCCAGCACCTTCCACCCCGCACTTCAGACTTGCTGCTCACAACCCTCTTCCCAGAGTGTGGTTTGGAAACAGTGTGGCTGCAGGGCTGGGCAGGGACTGGGCAGGTGTGTGACCTCAGGCCCAGGCGGGCGCTGGCTCAGCCTCCTGAGCTGAAAACAGATGCAAACAGTAGGACTCAAGGGGTGTGGCTTCGCCACTGAAAATCTCTGTTGCATGTGCCTGTGTTTGGGGCTTGCATTCCCGCCCCTCCGGGGTCCCCACTGCGAGGGCTCTGACAGCTAGCCCTGGGGTGGCCCGGAGGCCCAGTGACCCACCTGAGCTGCCCCATGGCTGCTCCTGGCAAGGGCTGGCCACAGTCCCAACCCAGCCAGCACCAGGCATCCTGCTGTCCAGGCAAGGCTGTCTCTGACACAGGCACCTTTCTGTCCCCCCACCACGGCCCTGGAGCCTCCCTCACTGAAGGCTGGTGCCCCCAACTTGGCCTACACGGTGGAGGGCGTCGGAGTCGCCAAACCCCTCTCAGTGCCTCCCTGGGCCTCCTAGGAACAGAACAGCACGGCTGCCTGAGAGCTGAGAACTGACCCCTTGTATGACCCCAGTCGACCGGCTGCCCCTGGCACCAGAGGGCTGCAGGCACTGCCCAGCCAGCCCAGGTCTGCCACTGAGCCCCACCAGCCACAGCCAGGAGTGGCTGCCACTGGGAAGCCGGTGCCATGCCCATAGCCCCTGGGGCACCTGGCTGAGTACCCAAGCCCCTGGGCTGTCCATGTCTGAGGTGGCCAGCTCTGGGACAGCTGGGAGCCTTTCCTGAGCAGCCGCAGCTGCTGGCTCGGGGAGGAAATGCTCACGGGACACTCTGGCAGAGCGAACAGGTGGAGGCAAGCACTCTGGCCACCCAGGGCCCGGGGCTGCTGGAGTCGGAGTCCCGAGGTTGAGTTCTGGCTCCGTCTGCGAGACACCACCTGGGTCACCTGGGAAACCACTCAAGCTGGCCATGCCTTAGTTTCCTCATGTGCACCAACCCTGCAGAGAGGGCCCCAGGACTAGTGTCCACTTAGGTAAGGGGCCTGGCCTTGTCACGTTAAGAAGCACCTCCTGTCCCGAGCCCATGTCCTCCTGTCCTCCTGTTAGAGCCACACTCCTTAGAAGGGTGGCCTGTGTCTGGAACCACCGCTCCACTCCACCACCGACCTCCAGTTCCCCAAATCCCAATGCCTCTCCTTGGCCCTCTGACCTGGTCTCTCAGCAGCTGGCAAGCCAGCCGGCCAGGGCATTGACTGCAGCCCCCTTCTCAAGTGGTTGTTGGGCCACCATACTCGCCTGGTGTCCCCCAGCCTACTGGCCACTCCCTCCCAGGCATCCTTGCTGGTCCCTACTCCGTCCTGGGGCCTCCCTGCTTCTCATCTGCATGCTGCCTGGGCAGTCTCCGCCGGCATGCCGGCCTTCACGCTCAACTCCAGACCCGGGCCTCCTGCTGCCCTGGTGACATCTCCGCTCCAAGGGGTCCTGTGCATCTCCCACCCAGCTCCTGTCCCTCCCCAGCTGTCCCCAGCCAGGAAATGGCAGGCAACTCCTTTTGTTTGGGCTCTGAATCCTGTAGCTGGGTTGGACTCAGCTCTTCTTCTAACAACCCACATCCTAAATCTTGGTTAGTCCTGTTGATTCTATTTTCAAAACACAACCAGAATCCCAGCCCTCTGCCCAGTTCCACCGTCATCTGAGCCACCATCATCTTTTGGACTATGGTCCTGGCCTCCTCCTGATCTTCCTGCTCCTGTCCTCGTCCCTACAGCCTGTTTCCAGCATGGCAGCCACGTGAGCCCTGGGAAGCTGCACGTGCAATCACGTTGCTCCTCTGTTTTCAGAACCCTCCATGGCTCCCCACTGCACTCAGAATAAAGCCCAGGTTTCTGGGAGGAGCCTCTACAACATTGCCTCCTATGGTCTTTCTGACCTCAGACCCTGGCTCCCCCTCCCGCTGGGCGCTCCTTGGCCCCTTTGGGATCCTCCGAGTTAACCAGGTACAGCTGCACACCACGGTTGCTTCTGCCTGGAAGCAATGCTTCTCCCACGGATGTCTGCATGGCTGGCTCCTTCACTCCCTCAGGTCCTGGCACAGCAGCCCCTTCCAGAAGCACCCTCTTGAAATCTGCAGGCCCTGCAGCTGGCGACTCCCTGGTACCGTTCTTCGCTTTCTGTTTCTCTATAGCATTTCACACTTCTAACATACCCCAGAGTTTGCCCCACTCAGATGTGAACTCCACGTGGCCAGAGGTGTTTTTTTTTTTGTTTTTTTTTTTGCCTGTGTTGTTCACACCATCATCTTGGAGCCTAGTAGGGTCTGGCAAGGTAGAAGCTAATTCGTGAATGCAGAGGCAGCTGTCCAGGGTCTGTGGAGGGCAACTGGGCCCATCTCACAGGGTCCCTGAAATTAGGCCCCATGGGCAGCCACACGGCTGTGATGCAACACTGGGACTGGCCAAGGGCAGGAGTCCTGAGTGGCCATGACCCCACCTTGGGATCAGGAAGCCTTGCCTTGAATGGGATAATATGGCCCCGCATCCCCTAGCTCAAGTCCTTACAGCAGAGGGTCTGTTTAAGGACACCCTTGGCGTCCTCAATGAGACAGCACCATCTTTCCCCAACTGCAGCAGGTCCTTCTCAAAGCCCTGACCAGCCTGTCCATCCACCTGTACCCTGCACCAGCCCCTTGAGGCTGGGGCCAAAGCAGCTGAGCTCAGGACCCTTCAGAGTCAGAATGTGACTCCCAGTGCATCCTGGGAAGCCCTCGCCTAGGCCCACCGGCAGTCTTCCATGGGCCAAGTGTGTGCGGCACTCACGTTGTCCTCTGACAGCTTGTCGATGGTCACCTTGGCTTCTAGCAGATGGCTGTTGAGGGCAACAATCTCGTGGCTCAGCGCACGCTTCTCCTCCTCATAGTGCTGGCCCTGGGGGTGGGACAGTGGGAGGAGGAGGCCCGTGGTTGGCTCCTGGTGAGCCAACCCAGTCGCTCGATTGCACCCCCTGGTTTGTCCCTTGTAGCCATGAGTGACAAGACACTTAGAGGGCCAAGGGTGTGGGGTTTATGAGCACAGACAGACCCTGGTTCAATTCCTGGGTCCAACACTGCCAAGCCACACAGCCTTGGGGACGTCACTGCCTCTGAGCCTCAGTTTCTCATGTGCAACACAGAGGTGACAGCGTCCTGCCTCAGGAGCTGGGAGTGGGGACGGAGGACAGATGACTTGTGCCTGGCATAGAGCCCAGCCCACCTCACTGGACAGATTGGGAAACTGAGGCTCAGGAAAGGGCCGGTGTCCAGGCACCCAGGCAGAGCCAGGCCCAGCCCCCAGGCCTGCCACCCCCCGTCTCTGATAGCACCACAAAGGTGGGCAGGTTGTTGCTTTCAAAACCAAAATGAGCTGGTCACCAAAGTAGAAAGAAAGGAAACCTCTTCATCCTAGTGAGGGAGTGGCACCAGAAACCCACACCCTGCCCCTCTTCGACATGTCCCAGCAGTGTGTTCACAGAGAAAATGGCGACCCCACTGAGGTCACCTGCAGGTGGTGTGAGGGTCCCCACAGAGGGGTCCCCATGAGAGGCGGAGCTGGGGCTCAAACCTGCCTCTGGCTCACCCAGGGCCTGAATTCGGGCCTCCCTATCCTCCTGGGCCCAGGTCCTTGGACTGGCAGGCTGAGCTGGGGGGCCCGTTCCCAGTGTATGTCCTCCGTCCACAGCCCCTCTTACACACCCCCAGGCTGGAGTGCTCGCACCCGCCACTCAGGCAGCACAGGGCAGCCCTGGACCCAAGTACTTCCTTAGCCTGAGAGCACACACCCTGCTCCACATGTTCCATGGAGAAAGGGGTGGGACCAGCAAGACCTGTGTCCCAGCTCCTGAGTGGCCCAGGGGTGTCAGCTGGGTGGCTCCCCCCGGGAAGGAGGTGTGGGGTGGGGGAGTGGGCGCTGCGTGGCGGCCTCACCATGCGGTACAGCTTGTCCTCCAGCTCCTGGTTGATCCTCTGCAGTGCCATGTAGTTGCTCTGAATCCTGGTGCAGGAGGCAAGGGGGTCACTGCCATGCAAGGCCTGTCCCTCCCACGACCCTTATGGCCGCACAGCCTGCTGAGCAGGGTGGGGCTGAATTTGGACCTCCTGAGCTCACCCCACCAGCTTCACCCTGGTGGAATGTGTGCCCCTCTGCACACAGCAGAGAACATCCCATTAAAGCAAACTTTTGTAGAAGCCTTTCCTAGGCCAGGGCCCAGGACTGTATTTCCCCCTCCACCCCGGGACCCCCTGAAGATGGGAAGGGAAGGCTTGTTATTCACAAGAGACTCTGTCCCATCCACACGCGGAGCCAGTTTACTCACATTTGACCCACAATTCTTACAAACCTGTTATGGGGTTGACAGTTCAAATGCAAATGAGCAGGGAAGAAACTTAACACTAACTATGTGATGGGCCCCAGGGTGAGGCTGGAGACATCACAGTGAACAAGACTCGGTTCTGCCGGGTAGGAGGAGTGGAGCTGAGTGTCAGGTGGGAATCAGGTGCTTGGAGATTCCATTGCTGGTGGGAGGGGGCTTGGGGATGGTGTCCAGCCTCAGACAACCTATGTGTCGTGTTATGGCCCCTGTCTTGCCAATAGGGAAACTGAGGTGAAACTTTAATTACTTAAAGCAGTAACTGGCAGGGCCCAGATTTTAACTGAGGTCTGACTGCACTGCCCAAGCTTGGTTTCCACATGAATGGAGGGTGACATTCAAAACACTCAGGAGCTGGGGCTGTTCGGAGAGGGACAAACCCTCTCCCTATGGCAAGTCCTCCCTAGGGGCAACACCAGCCGATTCTCTACAAATACCTAAAACAAATCAAGCCAACAGCAAAGGTTGCATGCTTCTTGCATTTTCTGTTTAAGAAGATGAGAAAGTGCATATTACATTTCAGAAAAACATCCATTTTAAATGTGCACAAGAAAACTGCTTTTAGAAAAGTTTGGTGTTTGAGGGAGTCCAGCACAACTGGATCGACACTTCATTAGCCCGTACGCGCTCAAGGGAAGGGTCCCTAAACTGGTTCATCTCCGGGCTAGACACAGCTTTTCCCATCAGGACCCAGGGAACCATGGCTGGGCCCCGGGTGGACCAGTCTGGGTCTGGAGATCTGCTGGGTTCAAATCCTGGCTCAGCTGCTCCATAGTGTGACTTTGGAGGAAGAGCTTCCCCTACCAGAACCTCTGGACTCCCCATCTGAGTGGAGTCAACAGCCAGGGTGAGAGGGGAGCACCGCGTGCGGCTTTCCGGGCCTCGGGCCCTGCCCCACCCCGGCCCTCGCCCCGCCCCGGCCCTCGCCCCGCCCCGGCCCTCGCCCCGCCCCGGCCCTCGCCCCGCCCCGGCCCTCGCCCCGCCCCGGCCCTCGCCCCGCCCCGGCCCTCGCCCCGCCCCGGCCCTCGCCCCGCCCCGGCCCTCGCCCCGCCCCTCACCTGCGCAGCTTCTCCGTGACCTTCTCCAGTTCCTCCTGCGCGCGCCGCAGCTCGATCTCCAGGTAGTGGCGCGTGGAGTCGAACTCGGTCTCGAGCTTCTCGAGCTTGTGTGTGGTGTAGGACAGCCGCTTGCGCAGCTCGCCCTTCTGCTCCTGCAGCGCGCTGCAACGACATGGCGGCGGCGGGCCGGGCCGCGGCGCTGAGCGGGGGAAACTAAGGCCCGCAGGCCAGCCGGGGCGTGCCGCACTAACACGCGAGTACCGGCGCGCGCGCGCGCGCGCACACACACACACACACACACACACACACACACTCACACACACCCAGCCTCCCGGGCGTCACTGAAGACCATGGCGCCCCAGAGTCAGGGACTCTGACCCTGAGCCAGTCTGGCCTGGGCGGTTCCTCAGACTCCACCAGTGTCCCTCACACAGGTAAATCCCAGGTGGTGGCTGGAGGAGTCTTTGACCCCAGAACCTGGCCAGTGTGTTGGGGGCGGTTTAAAGGACCCAGGTACAAAGAGCACCCATCAGCACCCAGGCTATCACAGAGCTGGCCCTGGGTGGCACAGGTGACTGGGGCCCTCACTCCTGCTCCTCCACAGTGCTAGGTTGGGATGGCTGAGGCCCAGAGTCAGCAGTGCCATGCCCAAGACCAGACCTGCTTTCCCCAAAATGGCTGTGTGGCCCTGGGACCCTGGGTCACTTCTCTGGGCCAGAGAGATGTTTGGTGGCAATGTCCCATGCCCGGGCAGTGTCTGCCACCATGGCCAATGAGGCTGCATGCAGCACGGGAAACCTGGCAAGGTCCTGGCCTGCTCAAGTTCCCCTTCCTCCAGGAAGCCTTCCAGAAACCCAGACAATTCTTGAGGCTCTATTTTCTTCCCCCAGAATGGGGTCTCCTGGAGGGTAGGACCCCAGGATGCAGAGCCCCACATGCTCAGGAAACAGAGACCCACTATGACCCACTCTTCCGAGCCACCTGCCAACAATTCACCTGAACTAAAGCTGTGCAAAGGCAGGAGGGTAGTGTGGGGGCCTCCAACAGGGATGGCTCGGAGCTCCCCAAGGCAGGGGCTGCACTTCCGGTTGTCTGGGTCAGAGTGGGGTCAGCAGCCAGCAGTTCTTTCCTTGCAATGGGTGCACAGCCCAGGGGCTATCTGGGACCAACATCTTTTGGATTGTGTTGCTGTGAGATGGGGACGGGACAGGCAGAAGTCCCGGGTGTCATGAAGGAAACTTGAGGTGTGGGAGAGGGCCTGGAACCCTGACTCTGCCCAGATGTGCTGTGGGACCTTGGGCAAAAGCCCGCGTTCTTGTGATATTCCCGACCCAAACCCAAGCGAGGGGAGTAGAGGGCAGGCAGGAGGCTCCCAGTCCCCCTGGGGCCACCACTGTCCCCCAGCCCCGAGCAGAGGCATCTTCTGTCTGGGCCCCGTGAGTAAACCGCATGTGGCACTGCGGGCACACACCCAGCAAGCCTCCAGGAAGCACTCTTGGATTCCTGCCCAGGGCTATATTTTTAAAAACAAATAAAAATAAAGCGTCGCTTACGTTTTTGAGAACCTCAGAGAAGGGCAGGGCGGGTCTTCCCAAGAGTCAGTCACCACAAGAGGAAGTAGAGTAACAAGCAAAGAGGGAAGCCCTGAGGCAAAGTGCCACAGCTGCCCACGTGGGTCTGCCTCCGGGAGCGCTCTCTGGGACAGTGCTCAGGCCTCCTTCCACCTCCTCCAGGCAGCCTTCCGTGGCTGCCCCACTTCTAGCACTCTATAGCTACAGGTCCCAGGCTGCTTCCCACACAGACCTGTCCTCCCCAGGGAGGTGGTGAACTTCCTGGGGACTCCTATGCCATCCTGGGCTCCTAGGGCAGGCACAATGGGCTGCACAGCAGCCCCTGAAGTCGACTGTTCCCTGCAGGGGCTCCTGGTGTACCCACAGCCCTCGGGAAGAGGTGAGGGCGTCATCCATCCACCCACGTGGCCACCTCAGCCCCGAGTCCTCACCCCTTCTCCAGCCACACCCCAGGCCTCACTGAGCAGCCTTAGGTCCTTGCTATTCTGAGACCTGCACCCCTAGCTCACTGTGCCCCCTCACCCAGCCCTGCCCCTTCTGGGCACCCTGAGGTCCCTACCCTCACCTCTCAGAGCAAGCAACCTGTCTGAGACCTCACAGCCAGGAGTAAGACAAACCCTGCCCCTGCCCCGGGAGCCTGCGGTCCAGAGGGGAGGCAGACAATGAGCTAGGCAGGGATTCTCCACGGGGCAGGTGTGGGAGGGGAGGACGAAGGGGCTATGGGGTGGGCTCGGGGCAGACATCTCACAAGTCAGGCAGCTTCACAGAGCCTCAGTTTACCCCTGGCCTTTGGATGGCCTTCCAGATACAGCAGTCAACTCCCTGTTCCACCAGCCCTTAAATACTGCTCCCCCTCCCCAAGTCCTTCACACCCAACCACCTGCTACACCCAACCAATCTTTGGGCTAGCAGTGCCCCCAGCCCCTGACTCTCACACCCCTCTCTGCCTCAGTGTCCGCTTGCTGCAGGCATCGGGCCATGGACACGCACCCCGTCCCCAGGCATAGCTGATGCCCCGCACTTGGCCGCCCCAGGGTTCCTGCCACGTCTTTCCCCACCTCTGCTGGTCCGGCGATCACACCACAGGCCCCTCCCGACCTCGCCCGGGCTGTTCCCTGGGGCCCCGGTTTGCACCTGCACCCCTGCCCTGCATGCTCAGACCAAATCCCCTCCAAGCCAGCTGCACAGGGACCCCTCCCAGGTTTCCATCTGACTCCAGCGGGGTGTCTGTCAGGCTCCATACCCTCACCACGTCCAGCCACCCACCTATGGCCCTCAGGCATCTCCACACCCAACCCGTCCAATGCAGCCACATCCACCACACCTTCACTGCCCTCCACGTTCCCCACCCGGGGGGTGGGCATGGTGACCCCTCTTTACCCCTCACAGCCCTGTCACTAAGTCCTGGGGGTTCAGCTTCTCACACCTCTGAACGTGTCCCCTCTGCCCAGTCCAGGCTGTGTACCTAGGGTCTGCGGTCACCCGGGTAGTACCTCCTTCCCTGTCCAGTGTTCCCCACACCGGGCAATAACCCGAGCCCTGCCACGGCAGCCTGTCTCCACATCTGCAGAACTGGATGGTGCACCCAGACACGGGGGCAGGGCTGTTGCTGGTCCACATTCTACATAGTAGCACCCTCCACACAGTGGACAATGTCAAGAGGTGGCACTGTGTGGGGTGGGGCCACCAGGCCACTGGGAATCTGGGGGAAACTGCTGGAGGCCTGTGGCTCAGAGGCCTCTGTCCCCTGCCCTGGGTGAAAAGGTGTCCTGGCAAGGGCCGAGATGGGTCAGGGAGTCCCCAGCGTCTGGAAACAGCTCCTTAGCAGACATACAGGGAGGGCTGTGGTGCTCCGAGCGCCAGGGCCACGCCCTCCAGGCTGGGGCCACCCTTCCAGGCCTGGGGGCCTGGGGGGCCCTGCTGGGCTTGCTGCCTGGTGAGTTACACCAGAATCTGGGGCTAACCGGCAGTGTGTGTGCACGTGTGCGTGTGTGTGGTGTGCGTGTGCGTGCGCACGTGATTCTTGGCTCCCTCCTTGCCTGTGGGAATTCCCTGGACTGGGGTGAGTGCCCAGCTCCCCTGGCACATGGTGGGGCCTCGAGGGATCTCCCTTCTGCCTTCCACCGAGAGCCCCTTCTGGCCACTTGCAGGGGGTCCAAGCCCAAGGAAGGAGCCCTTGGCTGGGATGCTGGGCTGAGGGCTGTGAGGCTGTGCCGCCGGCCCACGCCTTCACCTTCACCTTCTGGGCCTCTGCATCTGTCTCGGGGAGTTGGACACAGACACGGGACAGATGTCTGGGGACAGACGCAGAGACACCAGGGAGCCGGGGGAGACAACAGGTATGTTACCTGTCCCAGATGGAGGGCGAGGACCTGGCCAGCCGGCCCTGCAGTACTCGGGGCTGCCCGAGGCACAAGGGCACCCAGGGGCTGCGCAGCCTGTGGGCAAAGAGGACAGAGCTGCTCAGAACAGGCCGGGGTGGGCAGGGCTGGGGGCCATGCGTGGCCCACCATCAGGGGCACAGCCACAGCCCCTTGGCTGAGACCGAGAGAGATGGGGAGTTGGTCCCCACCCCCTGCCAGGAAAACTTGT
Source organism: Homo sapiens (assembly GCF_000001405.40). Lineage (NCBI taxonomy): Eukaryota > Metazoa > Chordata > Mammalia > Primates > Hominidae > Homo > Homo sapiens. The sequence goes on from NC_000014.9 coordinate 100,550,664, forward strand.
CATCTGCAAAGTAGCAGGGGTTGGGGATGTGGGTACCAGAGAAGGGGGCCCAGCCTTGCACCTGCCAGCCCTCACTCCTCACTCTGAAGGGTCCCAGCTCAGCGGTGGCACTGAGTCCCACCATGGCAGGGTCACTGGTCACTCGCTCAGTGCCTCTTTTGAGCATCCTGTCCCATCACTGGGCGGGGGGCGCAGCAGCAGCCCCTGAAGTCAGTTGTTCCCTGCAGAGCGGCAGGTCTACCCTCAGCCCTGCCTCACAGGACACAGGTGGGGTCTGGTCCATTGTCTCAACCTCAGAGGGGAGTGATGGGTGCAAGCTCCCCCTCCCTACTAGCTCTGCATCTGTCGGGTGCCTGCCTGTTGCAGGGCTGGGTTCCTGGCGTGCAGGATTGGCGGGTCAGGAGGAGGCCCTGATGGCTGCTGTATGGTCTCCTGTAGGCTGTGGGACCTGGCAGATGTTAGGGATCCGGGGTCCACTTCACCCTGCCCCGGGGCCCCTGCTCCCCTGCCCCTGCCTGTGGCCTATGTGGGCTGGACAGATGGGTGTGAGGAAGGACATGGGCCCGGCCCGGCCCTGCTAGGGTGTTGGCCTGCTGGAGGACACAGCGCCCAGACGAGTGCCCTCTTGGTTGTCCCCCTCCTGGGTTCTCTCTGGGGATCAGCTGGAGGGCTCGCAGAGACGCCCGGGCAGCCCTGCTCACCCTGCGCCAAAGCAGGAGATCCAACCTCTGCCTAGAGGGGCTGGTTCCATCAATAAGGCTCTGATGCTGCCCCAGAAATCTGGCTTTCAAACAGTGCTTCAAGATTCAGGCAGATGGGCGTGCTCAGAAAAAGAGCCGTATAATCCCATTGAAAAAATAACTGCATACGGACAGCCACGGACAATAAGGCAAGCAAAGAAATGTTAATGTAGTTATACCTGGGTGGTGAAATGCTGGATAATTTAACATTTTTCTTTTATACTTTTCTGAATGTGTCATATTTTCTACAGTGAGGATGAAAAATCAGAGAAAAAAATTGCTAAAGATCAAATTTTGGTACCCCCACCCCAAAAGTCACCATTAGCACCCATGGGTCAGGCCGAGGGGGCAGCAGAGGTCAGGAAAAGCTCTTGGCACTGGCCACGAGTCGCACATTGATCACTGGATTCCTGAGCTGCTCTGCAGAAGTGGGCGGGGGTCTGATGCCCCAGCGCATGGTGGGGAAGGGGAAGTGGGTCGGGGCGGTGGGCTTGGCCTCTGGCTGGACAGGACTTTGGAATTCCGGTCCCAGGTCTACCCTCAGCAAATGACCCCGGTGCTGCTGAGCGAACAGAAAACAGGATGGGATGAGTGCGTTCGCTCGAGGCTGCCAGAAACAACTGCCCTCATGGCCCGACCAAGGCCAGCGATTCCCATGGGCCTCCTCCTCCCAGCCCTTGCCAAGGAGACCCCACCCCAACAGGTCCCATCTGTAGGGGGCCTTATGGTAGGTGGGATTACTGAAGAATGAAGGCGCTCAGAGTAGAAAGGCTAGGACCCAGGGGAAACTGGGACCCAGGGGAAACTGAGGCCCAGGGAAGGGGTGGGGCTGGCCTGCAGGTGCAGTGAGTGGGGGGCATGGTTGTGACTTGACCCAGGCTCTGACTCTGGTCTCTCACAGGACATTTACTGAGCATCACTGGTGACCCGCTCTGGTTCTGAGCCAGGTAACAACACTTGGATGGAAATTCTCATTCTCAGCCTGTGGCGTGGAGGGCATCCCATCCTAGAGATGAGAAAACTGGGACCCAGAGAAGTTAAGCAACAGGCCCAAGATCACAAAGCAAGCCTCGGTGAGGACCAGGCAAGAACCAGGGCTGTTGGGCCCTGCCGGGGCTGCCGCCCTCCCCTTTCTTGGACTCCCCTTCGAAGGAAAGGTGGGCAGGGGCATGTTGCTGAGAGCCTGGCACAGGAGGGCTGCCCTGCTGAGAGGCCTGCCGAAGTGTTTTGAGAGCAGGGGAGCCGTGACCTGTGGGACCGTGGAAGGGGGAATGAGCCACCTCCCACTGGTTTCCTGGCCCGGCTGTCAGCAGAGCCAGCGATGGCCCCAGCGGGAGCCAGTAGAGCACGTGGTCCCTAGGGACGACCTGTCTCAGTGTCACTTCCAGCTGGGTGCATGGAACCACGTTCCTGCTCCTACCAGCAGAAGGACCTGGTGACTGCTGGGCAGACGGATGGACTGGGGGTTGGCCTGGGCCACCAAGGCTGACCTGCCAAGAGACCTTGCCTTGGTGCTCCTTGGCAACCTTTGTGGACATGGGTGTAGTCACGTGGGGAGCAGCTGCCACCTGGGCCCTGTGTGTCTCAGGATGAGATGACTCCAGGAGGCCTGGAGCCCTACAGGAGACTGGGCAGGTTTTGTCCGTGCCTCCAGGGCACATCTCCTCTCAGGACTTGGACCCTGGGGGCGGCACTGTCAACAGACGCCTGTTTTCCTCCCCCAGGGAAGGGCTTGAAGGGGCTGCACAACCAGCTGCAGGTCCTTGACGGGTGGGGAAGGAGAACGGGATGCTCAGGATGCACCAGGCATGGACCACAAGGTGCACCTGTGTCCCGTTCTCACTGGTGAGATGCCCCTCCCGCCGCCTCTCAGCCCTGAGAGGGATGCCACAATTGCCGCCATCCTACAGATGCAGAAAAGCCTGTGGCCACCTGTGGGACGCTGTGACTGCTCCCACCCCATTCCAGGGCAGAAAGAGGGGAGGAAGACGGTGACAGCCAGGTCTGGCCACACCCCAACACCATACTCCTGGCCCCCAGGAAAAATGACAGGACATTTTGCCTCAAGCCAGATAGGCCTGATGCCTCTTCTCGCCCCTGCTAAGAGGGACAACTGTCCCATACAGGCCTTCAGATTTCCCCCAAATGTGGCTGCCCCCACACCCATCCAGACCCTTATCCATGCTGTCCTCTCCCCTGGACATGTCCTCGTCTCCCTTCTCTGTGTGTCCCCAGGTCCTCTCCTCTGTTGTGAGGCTTTGCTCAGATGCCACCTCTTCCAGGAAGTCTTTCTCGGTTCCCCCTGCTGAAGGTCCCTCTCTTCCTCTCCAGGTGCCTCCCCTCACCTTGGACTGCCTGTGCTGGACAACCCTCCTGCTGGGATACTGCTTCCCTTCTCTGCTGGGCTCTCTGCTGGCCCTGCCTCCAGCAAGCCCACTCCACAAGACAGCCAGAGGGCGCGTCCAAACAGGTGGGATGCTCCCTGGCTCCCCACTGCCCTACAAGTCTTGGTGCAGCTGATGGAGTTCAGACAGGGTGACTTCAGTGGAGCAGGTAAGCGTCCACTTAGGGTCAGGGCTGGAGCCCCAGGGCCCTGCCTCTGTCATCCTGCTGTCCTTCCTCCGTCACGGGGGGCCACCGGGCCCATGCCCTTCCTGCTCCCCTGAAGCCCATGGGGCCCTGCCGGGCTGGGGGAGGACGGTCACATGAGCTCCAGGGCCCCTGGTGTCAGGAGGAAACCCTTTCTAGCTCCATGGTGTGCTGAGGACATGGGAGCCCGGAGCTCAGAGGGCGCTGAGCAGGTTCCTGGAGGCTGCGGGGGAGGCCTGGCTCCCATCCTCCCACTTGACGTCACGACAGTGGGGTGGGGCTGGGCTGCGGCTGTCACTGTTGCACAGTCAGCCGAGGGCCCGAGAGCCGCTCCCACCCTGTGCCCCTGGCGTGTTGTGGGATCCCGCCACGCCCTGGGCACAGCCTCTGTCTTCCCTCTTCGGTCGTGGCTCTCAGCCTGGCCCCACAGTGTCATGCTCCGGCAACACTAAATTGCTCCTCCTCCCTTCCAGGCTGTAGGCAGCCAGGCTCTCATCTCTGTGACTTTGTCCCCGTGTCCCCTCTGCCAGGATCTCACTCCTCCCTGCTGCTCCAGGTTAACTCCTCTCCACGTAGCACCTGAGGGGGCCTGAAACCCCAGCTCACCCCACCCTGCCCTGGATGAGGTCAATTGCTGCCCCTCACTCCCCACCAGCCCACTCCCCACCAGCCCTGTCCTTGAGTGTTGCAGTGCCAGGTCTCCTGTTCTCACCCTGGCCCCCAAAACTGTAGTTCCCCCCAGATGGCTCATTTCTAGACCCAGACTATGTTCTACCCTGGCTCAGAGCTGCCCCAACTCCTCTCTGTACCAAGACTAAAAGGCCAGTTCCTCACCCCAAATTCCTGTCCCCAGGGACCCGCCACAGCCCCAGCCTCGCCATTCCTGGCCCCCCCCACCTTCCCGCCAGGCACGCTGGCCTTCGGGCTGTGCACATGCCCCTGAGAGCCTGCCTTTGCACCCCTCAGTGCCTAGAGCAGGACCAGGCTGAGCAGGGGGGTCACACGCTCACCCTCTCAGCCTCCAGTGAATTGATATCAGCCCTGGGAGAAGGTCTTTGTCCCCAAAGCTGCTCGGACCTCGCCTGGTCTTTCCCAGCAGAACCTACAGTTGGCCCCTGGAGGAAGCCCACATCAGACCCTTGGGATGCCTCTGACGGGCCCAGGGCCGAGTCCTCGCAGAGCTGCTTCTGCCCCCCGCCAGGGCCGTCTGGGGTCTCCCTGCAGAAGGCCTTGTGCCCCAAGCCTTCCATCAAAGGAGCAGCAACAAGCCCTGTGGAAACCCGGGCTGGGTGGGCAGAATCGCCTCGCCTGGCGGAGCCTCTCCTGTGCCGGTGGCCTGTGTTCCCTGTGCCCGTGGCCACCCTCGTTCCTCATGGCTCAGAAGAGCCTCTCTGTCCCCTCCAACTTGCTCCTGCTGCGCTGACTCTGTCCTTTGTGTGGCCTGGAAGCCGACAGCAGACCACTTCCAACAGAAGGTGGGGGGCACCCCAGCCCCTGCCCACCGTGTGCACCCATTCATTTAGTCCTCAGACCCCCGAAAGGGAGGTGTGTACCCCACCCCGTTTTCCAGATGAGGAAACAGGTTCACAGCGCTCAAGGAACAGGGCCTGTCTGAGGTCACACAGCCCGGCTGGGGTTCCATTCTAGGCCAGCCTCACACTGAGATGCCAGATTTTAATGTAAATAGTAGCGCTTTAGCCATCCTGGTGCGTGTCTCCCGCACAGCGAGACAACTATGACGAGCTGCCCTCTGCCTCCGTGTGGCTAGAGGGTCGACCACGGTGGCCCCGGAGTCCAACAGGACAACTGGTCACTGCTGGCACTGCTCTGGGTTTAGCCGTGCCCGCCCAGGCCTGGGCAATCCCGTGGCTGACCTCTGCAGTGATACTGGGACTCCACCCGCACAGAGAGGACTCTGAATGTCATCACCATGGCCGCTGGCTGTTGTGCAGCTGCCCCTGGGGGAAAGACACATGCATGCATGTGCGTGTGTGTGTGTGTACGTGGTGTGTAGGCCTATGTGTATGTAGTGAGGGAGGGGACTGTCACGGTGCTGAGCTAGGTCCCTCAGCCAGGAGGGGTGGCCTGGAGAGGAGTGAGCTTTGGTCATCACCAGCTCAATTGGGGCCACCCTGACGGTGTGGATTTGGGCTCAAGGCCTCCCGTCTTGCTCCCCTGCCCTCCCCTCCCCCTCCTTCACTGGCCACACCTCTCCATTTGGATCCTCGACTCCGGGATGACCTGGCTGGCCGCGCCACTGCTCCCTCCTGCCTGGAGACTGGAGTCAGGATGCAGCAGGTAATGTTTCATCTCACCTCATCTTATCAGGCAGCCGCAGCCCTGCCCCGCTGCCCCCCTCTTTCTGCAGAACCACGTGCTGGGAGCTGGTACACCATGTCCTGGGGAGCCCTCGGAGGGTGGGCAGACCCAGCGCGTGCCCAGGGCCAGGGCAAAGCGGGCCAACCCAGGCAGGGAGATGGGACGGCTGTAGTCACTCCTGGACCTTGGCACAGGCTGCCCCCTGCTCAGAGCGTGCCCTTCCCTGAACTTTGGTTCACTCTGTTCACCCCCTCCAGGAAGGGCTCCCTGACATCCCCCCTGGGTCAGGAGCCCTCTTCTCCATCCTCACCCCAGCCCTACAGTGCAAGGGCACAAGGGCTGTCTCCTCATCAGGGCACAGGGGCTGTCTCCTCCCAGTCAGGGACCCAGTGCCTGCTGCAGGACTGGAGGTGCCCGAGGAGAGCCCAGCCAGCTCTGAGCTCCCAGCTGCGATTTCAGGAAAGGCCTGCAGGGTGAAGGCCTGGGGACTCTGTCCCCTAGTGAGGGGACAGCTGGGTTTCTGACGAGGGTGGGTGGGGCAGAGCCGCCCGGGGCAGCAGGCTATGTCCCTGGGCATCCCTCCATGCCCCCTCTCTGCAGGTCACAGGCCGCTGCTGTCCCCACTGATCTCCATCCAACCTGGATTGTAGAGGAAGAGCCCAGGCCCTGGGTAGCTGCATGGCTGAAAGCACCACACACGAGTCAGGGCAGGCCAAAGCCAGGCCCCCAGTCCCAGCGCCGGCTCTGCCGGCCTCTTCCAGCCACACCCGAGTCAGGGCGGGCCAAAGCCAGGCCCCCAGTCCCAGCGCGGGCCCTGCCGGCCTCTTCCAGCCACACCCGAGTCAGGGCGGGCCAAACCCAGGCCCCCAATCCCAGCGCGGGCTCTGCCAGCCTCTTCCAGCCACAGAACCTACAGAGAGGAGATGGTCAGGGAGCGCATTGGCCTCCAGAGCCCAGGACTGGAAGGAGGCATCGGGGCAGGGAATGTGAGACTCTGGCTCTGAGCCTAGTGGGCAGACGCACACAAGCCATGCTTGCTGAGAGATGACCGCCATGGCGGCGGCTGCCCTGCTAGAGGCAGGAGGGGAGTCAGGTCCAGATCCCAGACCCTCTGTGATGCCCGATGTGCTCCATCCATGGGGACCCCGTGCGGTCCCATTTCTGACACCCACTCTCTTTCCAGCTCAGGCCTGAGGATGCCCCTCACTCCATCACTGCCACCGGGGGTTCTCACAGCCCCTCACTGGCCTTGCCCTCACTTGGCAGCCAGTGACGGCATTATGGCCTCCTCCCCATCACTCTCCTCATTGTACTAAGGGTACAATCTCTCCATCCACTGGGCTCCTGCACCCACATGGATGGCAGGAGACAGCAGCGGGCAGATGGCCTCGCTCTCTGTTCATCCACAGACTGACTCAGGGATCCTAGGCGTGCCTGTGCCATTCCCCTCGACTTTCCTGGAAAGTGACTTCATGCCTTCCCCTCCTGCCTCCCAACTCCCAACACCTCCTCCCCATCCCCACTCAGGCAGATGACCTCGCTTCCTTTTCTTCCCTTTCTGCTGAGAAGTGAAACCATCCAAAGGGCACTTTCGCAGATGTCATCTCCACATGCCCCACCTACCAGCATCTGCCCCGACACCCGGTGCCGCCCACCGTTACTTACAGACCAACCAGGCAGCCCTCAGCTGGGCTGGACCGTGGCCACTGGCTTCCCCCAGCTGCAGGTGGGGCTCCAGCTAGTCTCCCTCGCTCCTGAACCATCCATTTTTCCCTCGCTTCCTGGTCATTCTCTGGCAGGCAAACTCGTGGTTGCTCTTCCCATATTGAGAACAACCCTCTCTTCACCCTCCAGGTACAGTCCCTGTTCCCTGATCAATGAAAGTGTCTGACCTTTCTGCCTCTGCCTCCTTACTCCTAGCCTGCCGGGATGGGACCAATGCCCACCAGGATCTTGTCCCCTCCATGTCACCGAACTGGTCCTGTCTCAGCCTTCACCTGACCTGCGCCCTCAGCAGCCAGGCACATGCTGCCTCTCCCTGCTCCCGCACCTCCCACCCTCACTGCGCTCTCCGGCTGCCCCTTCTCAGGCTCCTCTGTGGGGTGCTCCTCATCTCCTGGCCTCCTGGCACCAGCGTGTCCCGGGGATCTGGCCTCCGGCATCTCCTTCCCTGGGTGCACTCACCAGTGGCAACCCTAGCCAGCAAATACCATCTCTCTGCTGAGGCCCCCACATTGGCTGCTCCCCAACTCCATTGCCTCACCTTTGTCTCATGGGCAGCACAGATCTGCTGGGCGCAGCTGAGCTCCCATCGCCCCTACAAATCCACAGCCTACCCCCACACCCTGCAGCAAGACAAGTCCTCTCCTGTGCCTCGATGCATCCTTGACTCCTCTCTTTCTCTCCCCATCCTTCCCAGGGTATACCAGGAGCCTCACCTTCTAGGACCACCCACCACACCAGGCCCACTCCTTTCAAGTGACTGCCGCACAGCCCCATGGCAGTCTCAGCTACTCTCATCTGCTCTCAGCCCGAGACCTCCTTGAAACCAACGTCAGACCCATCCTTGGGGAGGTGGGCCATCGTGTGCAGGACACACAGCTGGGAGCATGCCGGTGGGGCCAGGGCGCGTCCTGGAGATTGGTGTGGCCGGAGCCTGGGGCCTGGGGGTTGTTGGGGGGAGCAGACAAGGGGTGGGCCTGGGGTCAGCTGGCAGAAGGCCCTGAGCATGTGCTGAAGTATCTGATCCTCTTCCTGGGGGCCCCAGAGATGCTCACACCAAGGAGCTCGGGAAGTTGGCTTGGGCTTGGGGCCGTCCCTCTGCTGGGAGAGCAGGGCTAGAGCAGGGAGCCTCAGTGGGGCTGTCTCCGAGAGCCAAGGGGAGCTGCGCGGTGGGCCCAGGAGGCTCCTGGGCACCCCTGCCTGGGCTCCTCTTTCCCAGCACCAGCCTGTCACCACTGATCGCTACTCCCTCCTCTCTCCCTCTGGAGAAGATGGGGTTGGCAAGAGGGTGGGGCCGTGCACACCTTGGCCCCGGATCCCCTGCCTCACCCTTCCACACACAGTCAATGTGCAGGGGCAGGACTGGCAGACAGATGGCCATGGGCCGGCCCCATAGCCAGGAACGAGCTCCTCGTGGGACTCCCAAATTAACCTTTCAGCGCCTGCCACCTGCCCTGGTGCCCAGGAGAGAAGAGGTCGCAATTCAGCACTTCGATTGCTGGCTTCATTACTGGCCACCAAGGAACCCACGCTGGCTTTGCTAATTTGACCACCCCACCAGGCTGCTCACCACTGCAAACAGATGTGGGCAAACTTATTAATTGGATCAGCAGGAGGCCTGTTTTCTGGAATTCCAGGGATCACAGCTGATCAGAGCGGTGGACACTTATCAGTAATCGTGGACTGCAGGACCTGGGCCCCCTCCACGCCCTGGGTCTCTCTGGGATGCTCTTGGTCCCTGGCTGGTCCCACTCCACGTTCACCTCTGCATAGATGCGCACACAGACACTCACACTCAAGAGGCAAGACCCAGTCTCCAAGAAAAGCCTGCAGCTACGGGGAGGGTTGTCAGCAGCAGCAATGTTTGGAGGGAGGCGCCGGGGCCGAGGAGAGAGCTGGGGTCACTGGTGGCATCTGCCCTCCCTCCCAAAGCCAGGCCCGGGGCTCCCTAAGCCTCCCTTTAGTGGTGTCTAGGATCCCCCAATCTCTGCACCAGCCGCGGGGGGCTGAGAGGGTCATGTGGACTATTTACTCTGCTGAATGGTGTGGGCAGGAGAGGGTGGGTGGCTGAGCAGGCCCCAACCTCAGCAGTCTCTGCTCTGCCACAGGCCACTGGGGCCACTGAGCTTGGCACTCAAGCTCTCAGAGCCTCAGTTTCCTCAAGGAGGAATGGGGGCAGAAGCCCCAGCCAGCCCCCAGATGCTCCTGAGATCCGGGGATCATCCCGGCGGCCCTACCGCACTCTGAGCTGACAACCTCAGAGCTGCTCCAGATGAAGGGTGATTTGGGCCCAGCTCTGTGTCTTGGGTCCTCCTGTGTCCCCAGCAGCACCACCTGCCCCTGCCTCTCTTTTCCTTCTCTCTTGCTCAGCAAAGCCCTGCCCAGGGAAGCCCAGCCATGTGCCTCTTCTGGCCCTCACCGGGGATCCCCCAGACACATGGCTGGGGCCTGTGGGGTGTCCAACCTCAGCAGCCTGGGGTGGTGTGTGGCCAGGGCAGCCTCCCCTCCCTGGGACGGCCATTCCAAATGCCACCACCAGCCCCTCACACTCCAGCCAGACCCCCAGGACACAGAGAACCAGCAGTGGCTGCTTCCCCGGTCCGGCCAGACCCCCAGGACACAGAGACATGGCACTGGCCACTTCCTGGCAAACCCGGACCATCACCCATGCTTAGTGGCCACGAGGGCAGAGGAAGTGGGGCTGAGAGGCCCAGAAGACCTGGTCCCAGGCCCTGCTGCGTTCACCTGACAAGCATCCCCTGTCCCATCTCCTGCTTCCCGTCTCACGTCCTGCAACTCTGTCCTGCTGCTGCTCAGGACAGACACGAGCTGCCCTCGACACGAGCCCCAGAGCCTCGGTGGGTCCATCAGGGGATGGAGCATGAGGCCTCTCTCAGGTTGCTTTGCAGACACGGGGGACCTTTAAGAGACAGGCAGTCCCCACTGCAGAGCTCGGGCCCAGAGGCCTCCAGCCCTCGGAAGGATTTTCTGCCTGTGGTAGTTGGGGGGTGGGGAGGGGGAGCCCCATGCGGGCCTGACATGGAGCCCTGAGAAACAGGCACGTGGCATCGCCTCCTCTGAAACACCCAGCCACTGCCCCAACCATCGACGGCCCCTGGGGAAAAGTGCAGACAGCCTAGGGTGCGGAAGAGCTGGCCCCGCCCCCAGCTCAGAGACCCTCAGAGGGCCCCACGCTGCCAGGCCCTCTCCTTCACGGGAATGATGTCACCGCCCAAGGGGTGGGCAGCAAGGCCCAAGCAGGGCAGAGCCACCCGAGACGGGCAGGCCACAACAGCAAGGCCCAGCTCACAAGCCAGGTGCATGACCCCAGCGTGCACTGAGTCTCCTGAGCCGCCTTCTCAAGTAGGTGCTATTACTACCCCCATTTACAGATGTGGCACTGAGAGTCAGAAAGCTTCCGAAATCTGCCCAAGGCCAGGTGTGGTGGCTCATGTCTGTAATCCCAGCACTTTGGGAGGCCGAGGCAGGAGGATCACTTGAGCCCAGGAGTTGGAGACCAGCCTGGGCGACATGGTGACACCCTGTCTCTACCAAAAATACAAAATTAGCCTGGTGTGGTGGCACATGACTGTCTGTAGTCCAGGCTATTTGGGAGGCTGAGGTGAGAGGATTGCTTGAGCCCTGGACTGCACTCCAGCCTGGCGGACAGAGCAAGACTGTCGAAAAAAAAAAAAATTTGCTGAAGGCCACATAGCCAGTAAGTGATGACAGACTTGGGATTGAAACCTAGGTGCGTCTACCTTCTTAACCACATACCCCATCAGGGAGGCAGGCCTTGCAGAGGAGTGGGAACTCAACTGGGCTGTGGGGACAAAGGCACCCTGGCCCCACCTGTAACCCCAACCCCCCAAGTTGATACCATCAGAGCTGCTCCAGATTAGGAGTGACTCCCAGACTCATACCCCAGCTGTCAGTGTCTTGGTTCCTCACCCCCTGAGCCCCTAGCTGCAAAGGGAGAAATCAAAGTGAGGCAGTCATTCACACCTTAGTGAGAATTAGTCCATAAGACTTCCTCTAGTAGGATCAAGTTTAGAAGTGGGGTAGAGAGCCTTGAAGGATCACACTCCGGGAGGGGTGTGGCCTGCTGGGGTAGTGGGTGGGTTGGAGGAGACAAGAGATGGAGAGCAGGGGGCCTGGGGGAAAGGGACAAGGAAATTCAACAGCCATCCTGAAGGTGGGTGCCGCCAGGTGGCCAGCCCCATCCCCAGGACATCTCTTCCTGAGTTGTCGGGGCCCAGACCACAATGCAATTAGTTCCCCACCCTCAATGAGCACCTACTGCATGCCCAGAGAACCCAACCTGGATGCTGTCTAGGACAGGGGCCTGCCCGAAGCAGGTGTGCAGCGGGGCTTTGCTAAATAAAAGGGGACACCTCAAGCCTGTGTGCCCTCAAACCCGCTCCTCCCCCACAGCTGTCCCCACCTCGGGGGAAGAAAGTCCATCCTTTTAGCTGCTCGTGCCCAATGCCCTGGAGTTGTCTTTGACACCCCCTTTTCCCCCACACCCCATGTCACCCCCATCAGCAGACCCCGTCGCTCGAGCCTCCAACACATCCAGAACGCAGCACCTCTGCCCTCCTCCATGGCCACCAGCCCTTGCTGTTTCCTGCAGGCCACCGGTACACCTGCTGCTCCCTCTGCCTGGACCTCCTGGTGCCTTGACCCGGTGGCACCCGCTCAGGGCCTTCCCTGAGCCACGCTGTACAGGTCACCTGCTCCCCGCCCCCCACTCACTGCCTTCCTTTCTTTTTGTCCCCGCAGCACTTGTCACCGTGATATTTATTTAACTTAAAAAGTTTTCTGTTCCCGCCGACTAGAAGATTCGCCTGTGCAGTCATTGCGGCGTCCTCAGCGCCGACAGCAGCCTCTGGTGCTCAGTGAATGCGTGTGGAATCCATGATCAGTGAACAATGAGAGCAGCAGGGCCGGCTCACGGGGCCCACGCGGGAGACTTGGGTGGGAGAGGGTGCCCTTTGAGGGGGGGCGTGGAGGGGCAGGGCAGGACAGGGTCAGGACCTTCGAGGCCACCTGCTCTCCATCTGTCTCCATCCCTGGGACATCAGCCTGGCACTTCTGCAGAGTGTCTCAGCCTGGACAAGTGTCCGACATGGACAGGACCACAAGCACCGGTCATAGGAGTGAAGGAGAGAGTGTGGCCCGAACACCTGGGTGTCCTTGTGCAAAACCAAAACCAGAACCAAAAAGGAGCTCAACCTTGACCTCTAACCACATGCAAACCCAAGTTCAAGTGGATGAAAAGCCAATAGCCTCAGTTCTTCAGGAGGGTTCCTTAAACAAGACACAAACGCTTTAATCAGAAAGTGAAAAAACCTGACACATTCAACAAAATTAAAATTAAGAACTTTTGTTCATAGAAGGACCGTGTGAACAGCGAGACGCGGCGTCCCCCAGGAGGTGTGGCTGCTGCATGTGTAACTGACAGTGTGAAGAGCTCCCACAAATCAATGGGAAAAACACCTTGGTAGAAAATGCGCACGGCCTTCGCCGGTGAGGAAACCCAGCGGGCAGCAAACCAGGGCAGCCCACCCCAACAACGCTGGAGGGACAGTGATGGGGAGAAGCGGTTTCAAGAGTCTGTTCCGATCTTCCAGAGCTGACCCTATGCGCACCCTGTGCCCCGGAGGTTCCACTGAGGGTGCACACCCAGAATCGCAGCCCACATCCCCAGACACCCGCACAGGAGTTTCCTAAGGTGGCCCAGGCTGCACAGTGCCCGGCAGTCTGCCAGGGAACAAACGGATTTCAGGGAAGCCACCATGACAACAGCAACTGGTAGCTCCACCTACCACCACAAGGGACCCTCACAAACAGAATAGTTTTGGTGAAAAAAAGCCACCCCCAAAACACAGGCTGAAGGAATCCAGGTATGAGGTCCCAAAGCAGGCAACATACAACCATCTCTGCTGGGGATGCCCTCTCAGGTGGCAGAACCACGAGGACAGCAAGGAACCACTGAGCACAAGGTCGGTGTCCCGGTGACTGCTTGGAGTAGGATGGGGCTGTCTGTGGGGAAGGGTCTCGGGGGATCTTAGGGGCTGGCCGGGAGCAGGATGGGGCTGTCTGTGGGGAAGGGTCTCGGGGGATCTCGGGGGTTGGCCATGTTGAACTCCTTGACACAGGTGGTGGTCGCCAGGTGGTCGTTCTAAACTTAACCACTGAACTGTGCGGATATTTATTAATGTCTCTGCAGGCCTATCACAGTTCACGACTTTGAAAAATTCTATTTTGGGGGGAAAACGTGGACACCAAACAGGAGTAGCTCTGGGCACCCCAGGAGCCATGAGAGGCGACTGACCCACTTCTCTGTTTGACAGAGGAGGGAACCGAAGCTCAAATAGAAAAAGGGGCTGCCCAGCAGCACGCTGCAGGAGGCAGGCAGGAGGGACCCTGTTTGGAGGGAGAGGAGGGGATTAATTTGAGGGATTAGAGGCACAGAGGCTCTGAGCACACGGAGAGCCAGCCGGGACTTGGTAATATCTATAAATATTTGAGAGTCACAAGAATAGTTTTTCCAAGCAGTCGAAGACAAGATAGCTGAGTGTGGCTGAGCAAGGGTCAAAGGACAAGAGCCAAGGTGGCCAGGCCATCAAATGGTGTGGCTGCATATCTACCATGTGGCCCCCCGGCCTGTGGGAGCCCTACTGTGCGCCAGCCTCTGCCAGGCACTGTGGCTGTCAGAACACCAGGGGCCAGACCCCGGCTCTGTTCTCTGGGGTGCCCATCTGGGGCCCTGGGGAAGACAGAAGACACCCCAGATGTCAGTGGGAGCCCCACTGACCTCCACTCCCCACCCCTTACCTGTCTTCCCTAAACACATCTGCTCTGGGCAGCCCCCAGGCCTTTGCACCTCTTGGAGGGTGGCCTGTCTGTCCTTGGAAACTCCTACCCATTCTTCATGCCTTGGCTCAAGTGTCCCTGCTTCCCGGAAGCTCTTCCCAATACCCCAGGCCAGGGTTCACAACCTGGGACCCCAGAGCATTGTGGGCAAACCCCTTCTGTATTCTGTCCGCTGGCCTAGGAGGATCTGTTGTGGGCCTCTGTCCCCGGCACTGGAGGGCCAACCGGGTCTTTTCACAGAGCTGGTACCCAGAGGGGGCTGGAGTCCACTTGGGAGGGAGGGGCAAGAGCGTCATGAAAACCCCAGGGAAAAGGCGACAGGGAAGACACAGAGTTTGTCATGTGGACAAGAAGGCAGGGAAGGGCATTCTCTACAGCAGGGACTGCGTGGGCAAAGGCAGGGGCATGAAGGTGGCAGCTTGTGGGGAACTCGGAAGCAGGGCGACAGCATGGGGGGGCAGCCAGTGGGAGGGACCAGGGAAGAGAGACCCCTCAATGTACACCTGCCCACCAAAGGGAGCCATTGAGGGCCACAGTGCCACCAGGTGACATGGTCCTTTTGCTCTTCAGCAAATATTTACAGGACTGTCCCATAAGTCAGTCCTGGCTCCAGGCCCTGGGGGGTGTGGGAGAGGAGGGGGCCAGGACCAGCACTCTCAGAGCTCAATCCAGACCCACAGACCCAGCCTGTGATGTGCAGACTCCACAGTCCAGGGGCCAGGAGGCAGGACCGACCATAGGGTCATCCCTGTGGACACTTCAGGACCCCTTCACTGTGACCACCGTGTGGTCTGAGGTTCCCCAGAGACCCTCTACCTGGGCCTGCTCTGGGCCAGGTCCCAGGAGAGATGCTTCCACCACAGGGGCTCACGGCACCCAACATCCCTGCAACCTGGTTGTGGTTAGGACACCCACTTTACAGATGAGAAAACTGAGGCCCAACCAGGGCCAGGACTTTGTCAGTGACTGGGTCTGTGGGACCCCAAACCCTGTGCCCTTCTGTGCAGGAAGCCATGCTGACCAACTTCCCTTCCACTCCCCTGGGCTTTTGGTTCTGAATCCCAGGCACCAAATGCAGGACAGAAACCCACTGGGGCAGCCCCGACACTGGCCAGAAGGGAAGATTCTGGAAAAGCCCTTCAGGCAACTCTGAGAACACTAATTGGGTGAGAGGGAGAGGAGGGCAGGACCCCTCCCCAGTTCTAGGAGTCCTTGCCCCACGCCACCCCTGGCAACTCCAGAAAGGCCACATGGCCCGATGCAGCCCAGGAGCCCAGGCCCTGGCCACTGCCTCCAGCCTTTATGGCTTAGCCCAGGGAAGCCTCAGCCCGCCTGGGACAGCAACGCTGACGCCATCAGCAGCTCAGGCAGCAGATCCGCCCACCTGGCACACCTGCCTACCTGTGCACCCAGCCGGGCGGGGTCATGCCTCTGTCCTCAGTGCCTGGCACACAGGAATAGGTGCCGGAGAGCCTTGGCCGGGCACAGGGAAGGAGGGAAAGAGAAAGAGAACCACCGCAGGGAACCCCCAGGCTGGCCTCAGGGCACCCCATGAATGCTAAGTTTTTCCTCAAGTCTCAGCTGAGTTAAGCAGTGTTTCCTCCCCCCCACAGGCGGTACAACCCAGGTGGTGAAATGACAGCCAATGTGGGGCACCAGGGAAGGGCCCTGGCCTGGGCCAGAGCCTGAGTTTGGGCCTGAGGTCATCTGTGTGACCACAGCCAGGGCTGTCGCTCTTTGGGCCTCACCGCCCCCACCTGGACCTTGGCCACGACAAGGTGGGCCTGGCTGATGGGTATCAGGTATTTGGGGTCTGAGATTGAACCACCTCAGAGACTGGACCCCTCCTCCCAGCACAAGACATGTTGGTCCTGTCCCTGTGGGACCCACAGTGGGGGCTGCACATCAGCTCCATGGCCCAGGAGATGGCCCTGCTCTGAGAGTCCACCCTGGGTCTCTGTGTGAGCCCACCTGCCCCCAGGCTCCCACCTGGGTGTTTCCAAGCCACTCACCCACGGCACTAAGGGTCAGCTGGCAGAGCCCAGGGCCCCTCTGCCCTAGACCTGGGCCCAGGCTGGGCTCTGCTCCTTGGGGGAGGGATGCTCCTCTACCCGGCCTCCTCCCCAGGATGCCAATTCTGGCCTCGGGAGGGAGTGGCGAGGACGGAGACCCTGTGGGCCAGGGGAGACAGTGCTGAAACCCAGCAGCCAGAGCTGGGCCTGCCGCCCACACAACGCCTCGGCTCAGGCTCCGGAAGGAAAACACGGGAGGGGTGTTCCCAAAGTAGGGGTCAGGGTGCCAGGGGAAGTCGTGGAGGAAGTGGCAAATATTCAAACTGGCTGATCCCAGGCCTGCCGCGCAGGTGGTCCCGTGAAGTCTACCAAGGCTTAAAGTTTGGCACCGGGAGGGAGGCCGCGGGGGACACTCCCCAGAAGCTGTCGCGGGATTCCCCCAAAATGGCTCCAAGACGCGGCTGCCTGGTCCAGCCGCGAGGACTCCATCCCCCACCCCCGCCCCCCAGAGGCGGACACTTAAAAGCTCAGAGCCAGGCAACTGGCAGCCCGGGGGCTGGGGCGGGTGGTGGTTGGGGGTGGGGTGGGGTCGGGGGAGAGAGCGCCGGGGCAGTGCGGAACGGCACGAACGGAACCCGGAGGGTCCCCGGGGACCAGCGAGAGTCCAGGGCAGGGAGCCAGAGGGGCGCTGAGGACCGCACAGGACCAGGCGGCCCCGGGTAGGGGGCAGCCCGGCCCTCAGTGGCGCTAGCCCCAGCCCCCGCCGCAGCGGCCCGGGCCGGCGGAGGAGCCCCGCGCGAGGCTCCCCAGCGCCTCGCGGCGCGCACACACGCACCACACACACGCACCTGGCCCGCAGCCCCGCCGAGGCCGCCCGCGGGCCCTGGGGGATGCGCTCGGGTGGAGCCCCCTTCCCCCGCCTTCCCCAGCGCCCTCACCCCCGACCCGGCCCCCGCGAGCCGCGGCACGGGAGACGCTCCACTCACCTGAGTTTCTCCATGTCTGCGGCAGAGGCCTGCGAGAAACCAAACGAGAGGGTCAGCAGGCAGGAGGCGTGCGCTCCGCGGCCGCGCCGGGCAGAGCCGGGCACAGCGGGCACGGCCGGGCAACCCCGCGGGGCCCCGTCCGTGGGAAGCCCGGCGCCGCGCGTCCCCAGCTTCCAGTCCCGGCCGCGGCCCCCGTGACTCAGTGGGCGCGCCGGGCCGCGGCCGAGTAACAGGTGAGCCCGCCCGGGCCGCCGCGCTCCCCGCACCGAGTTACGCCCCCCGGGGCGAAGAAGGGGCCGGCCCGGGATGGCCCGGCCAGGGGCGATCTCGGCCTCGCCCGGAGGAGGGGGACTCGGCCTGTCCCCGTTAACTCTCCGGCGGCCGCGGCCCCGCTGCTCCCCCCGCCCCGCCCGTTAACCCTTCCTGCCCCGCGCTCCCTCCCGGAGGAAGCCGAACCCCGGAATCGCAGAACCTCCGAGTCGGAGAATGTTGGGGAATTCGGGGCCGTGCAGGATTGCAGAACCTGACACTCACACAATCCGAGGGCGATGGCATTTGGAGCCTCGACTCCTCAATCAGGGACCCGCTGCCCTCAGATTCTGGGGTTTTGGGCCTGGCTTGCCCCTCCCGGGCCCCAGGGATTAACCCGTGAGCGCCCGGCTCGCCGGCGGGGCTCCCTGCCTTGCTTGCGCAGACCCGCCCGCGCGCGGCTTGGAGACCCTCCCTGCCCAGCCCCGCTCAGCCGGGCAGCCCCTCCGCGCGCCGGGCAGGGGGACCCACCCGCCGCCGTTAACCTTGTGGGCGCGGGCGAGCGACGGGGACCGCGAGCGGCCCGGGCGGGATCGCACTTCCTGCGTGGAGCTGGGGGCGCCGGGCGGGCTCTCTATCACCCGGGAGAGGCCGCTCCCCGGGGCTTTGCCCGTCTTTCTGTGCCGTGACTGGCACTCAAGGGGGACAGGGGTCCGAGCTCAGGGACCACGCGACAGACCTGGGAAGACTGATGACTGCCCATCCCGGCCCCTCGCGCCGGGCGCCGCCGCCGCGTCCGCCGGGAGCGCGCTCCGCTCGGGTCCGGGCCCCACGCCGCCTCCCCCACCGCCCCGCCGGGCGAGGGCGCAGCCCGGCCGCAGCGCCAAGCTAGAAGGCCCGGCCCCGGGGCCTCGGCCAGGCTCGGCCACCAACTTCCCGGGTGCTCGGGCCGGCCTTCCGGCGCTCTCCCGGCCTCAGTTTCCTCACCTGAAAGCTGGGGGGAAGGGGGAGGCAGCTGGACGAGGCGCTCCACTGCCCTTCCGCACCCGCGGGCTGCGGATCGGCTGGGGTGGGGGAAGGAATTTCAGGGGAAGGGATCCCTAAGGCGCCCGGATGGCGGTTCCCCTCCCCAGACGCTCTAAAAGTTGTCCAAGACCACAAGCCTGGACCCCTCCATAAACCCTCCTCCTGCAAGACAAGGAGTTTGCCGGGAAGACTTTGCCGCCGGCCAGCGCGACCCCCACACCGCTCTCTTCCCCAGGCCCACCTTTCCGGGTCCCCATGACAGCGCTTCTCATGCTAGGTCCCAGCATACAGCAGGCGCTCAATAAACACGGACAGTGCATGCCTGGATCCTACGGCACTGGAGCCTGTCTTTCCTGGCCCTTTCCCCTCCTGGCTGTGAGCTCCCGGGCAGGAGCCCTGTGTTCTCACCAGGACACCCCCAGCACCCAGCAGGCTTGGCCTGCGCTGAGCCAGCGCAGGGTGGGAGGAGCCGTCCACTCAGAGGGTCAGACCTGAACCAGGATCAAACCAAACCCAAGAAATCCAAGTGTTCCTCCATCCACGGACACCCACTCGTTCACTAGCTCTGGGCTAAGTTCTCCAGCAGAGAGGGGACAGCAGACAAAGCAGAGAGGGGACAGCAGAGGAAGCAAGCTCTGCTCTCCAGGGGCTAATGAGGAAAACCCCCTCCGCCCCCCTCCGGTCCTGGGAGGCCACCCTCAGCAGAATGGCCACGGTAGTCATAACAATAACGTCCACCGCCCCTTACACATCATAGCGCTTCCCACGGCTCCTCACCACAGCTCTGCCATGGAAGCCCCGGACCCCCTATGCGGGAGCAAAGCTCCAACAGAGAAGAGGCTTGCTGGAGATCCCGCAGCTGAAGGGGCCCAGCTGCGCCTGGACCCCACTGCTCAGGAGCCTTTCCCACCCAAAGGCTGTCTCTGGTTGCCAACCTCAATCACTCACGGCGAATGACCTGCCAGGGAGTTTGTCTAAAATTAATAAGAATGTATTAAAATTTAATTTTAAAAATCTAGCATTAATTATTTACATTGAATGTTTCAGCCCTTCTAAAAGGCCTGGATGGGAATTCCCCCCACCCCCAGAAGGGAACTGGGGGGAAAGGCAGGGGAGGTTGCTGAGCTGCCCTGGTGGAGCAGTGGGGGCTGGGCAGGGCAAGAGACAGGCAGGGAACAGGCAGCCCCTGCCCTTCAAGCCTATTCTAGAGCCTGAAGCCTGGCTTTGATGCTGCTGTAGCTCAAATCCTCCTCTGACCCATTGCCTTCGGGGCAACCACTGCCCTCCCCCTTGGAGGCTGTATCCTCCATGCGGCCCTCTGTGGGAACTCTGGGGAGTCACTGAGTTTACCCCCACACCAGATGGGACAGGACTCTGTGTCCCAGCTCTGTGTCCCTGGACCAGCCCAGCACCTGGCAGGGGCGGGGGGACTAAAAGATGGGTTGTGCCTGATGCTCTCCATGCAGGAGTGACACAGGCATCTTTATGGGTGGCTAGGGAGAAGATAGCAGGGAAGCTCCCCTGGCCGAGGTGCTACGCCCTCGGGGACAGTCTCCCATGAGGCTCCTGCACGGGCCCAGCACCCCGGGTGCAAGTTTTGATTCAGCCATTCATTGACCACAAGACTCGGTGATTTTCGTGAGACCCTTACTACGGGTGAGGAAACGGAGGCCAGCGCATGAAGTGGCTTGCTCAAGTCCCCTGAGGTTAGCCGAGGCCTGCCTGATGGGCTGGAGAACCGCGGCGCTGCCTGGGTCTTGGGCCAGTGGGTGGGGGCCATGAGGATGAGGAGTCTGTGGGGTGCCCCAGGGTTCCCACTGTGAAGTGAGGGGGCGGGATCTCCCTTAGGGAGGCTGGGACCCCAGGGTGCACACTGGGTGCCCTCGGGGGACAGTCCTCATGGCACAGTCCTTCCCCGCCTCTGGGCGCTGTCCAGCCCCATTCACACCCGCTGCCTCTTCCTCCAACACACCTCTCCCCACCGTCTGCCTTAAGTCCCTACCTCTTTCTGGTGGTCCAGCCCAGCAGCCACCTTTATCTTCTGACCCCTCACAGGAGCCCTGCCTGTTGGCCACTAGCCCCTGCTCTCTCCTCACTCCCACCTGTGGCCATCTGGGTCCTGATGACGTGCCCATCCCTGCATGGGCTGAGGCCTGTGGAGCTCCCAGCTGCCTCCCTCCCACCTACTACTTCCTTTTCTTACTAGCGATGGGAGGGCCGCCCGGGTCAGAAACATGCCCGTCCACCCTTTCCTCTGCTGCTGTGTCCCCAGGGTGGCCTTGGGCCCGGTCACAGAAATCAGTTCCATTGAAGTGTCACAGCAGCTTTGCTGGGTGGGTCTCATCAGCTGTGCATTTGCAGTTTATAGGCAAGAGCTTGGAGATTTGGGGCCAGGGACCTTGCTATCTTCCCTGTGGCACCCGGGCACAGAGACTGGCACACAGTAGGGCCTCCCCAGACAAGGTGGAGGGGGTGACTCTGTGCCACCTGTCAGGCCTCCATGAGGGGTTGGTAAATACTGACCTGGCCCTGCCAAATCATCCGACCCCCATGCCCAGCAGCCTCCCCTCGCTAGGCACACACTGGCCACACTGGCTGCCTTGCTGGCTCCAGGCTCACCTGGCCCATCCCTGTCTTAGGGCCTTTGCACTGGTTCCTTGCACCTGGAATGTTCTGCCCTGACTCTGCACGGCCGGGGCCTCCCTTCCCTGACTACCCATCTAAAGCATCGGTGAGGCCCGACAGCAGAGCTCCTCCATTCTGCCGCTGCATCTCCCTGTGTCCAGGGCCTGGCATGGAAGCCCTGCGGTGAGCAGGTGGTGTTGGCCTGAACGAATGCAGTGCGTCTTAATCCCCAGCCAGAGGCACCTGCTCCTCAGCCCTGGGCAGCATCCTTCCTGCTCTCACAGCAGGGTCCTCGTCATTCTAACACCATCCGCGTCCCTTCTTCAAGCCTGCCCCTGCGCGGGAGGGCACAGAGCCCCTTGGTACCGGGCATCGTATCTTCGCAGAGCTCTGCCCTGGGAAACCCCTCTTCAGATGTGGGTCAGTCCTGCTGTGGCCCCCATAATGGAGCACATAAATCCTCTGCCGGACCATCTGACCCCATTGCACGGCTGCCCACTGCCCCCTAAATCCGGCTGATTTCTGACACTGTGAAGAGGAGAGTGAGCCCACCTCTGCAGGGGGCCTGCCAGGTGAGGAGTGCCATGCCAAGGACAGAGGCCTGGGTTCCTGTCCCAGCTCTGCCTCCGACTCAGGCCAGCCCCACCCTCCCTCAGGGCATGGGGCTGGCCTCTCCGACCCCAACCCCAGTGCTTGGCCCCCCAGGACTCCTTACACCCATGCTGGGCTCTAGCTTCCTCAGTTTCCCTGAATCTTGTTGCCCTTACCCCTCCTGGAGGGGAGGAAATGAGCCTAACATGTGGAGGGCAGAGATGAGCCCTGGGGGGTTGGGCCTTCTCCGCAGCTGTGGGACCTTGGGCAGGGCTCTCAACCTCTCTGACCCTCAGTTACTCATCTAGGAAGGAAAGATGGAAAATCCTTCACTGGGAGCAACAAGGCGGCTGTGTGTAAGGGACTGTCCTGGGGACGGGGTGTGGCTGTTCTGGAGAGCCAGCCTTCTAACTGATCACTTGGAGTGGACAGCTTTCTAAGATGTTTTACATGGTACCCTGCCTTGTGACATTCATTTGGCAAACACTGACTGTGTGCAGAGCCCTGTTCTGGGGGATTCAGCACTGGTCAGACTGGATGAAATTCTCTGCTCTCACTGTGCTGATATTCTCATGCAGGAAGACAGACCCCAAGAGATGAATCAGTACACCACCCCTCCCACCCTGTATGTCCGACGGGGATATGTGTACAGAGAAGGATGGGAGGCAGGGTGGGGCAGGAAAGGGGTGCAGTGATGAACACAGAGGCCCGGATGAAGTGAGCTGAGCCCAGTAGCAGATGAATCCCAAGGGGCCACTGGAGGAGGGAGCAGGTGAGTCTGGGGGGAGGGGCTTCCGGAGGAGGGGGCTGGTGAGTCTGGGGGGAGGGGCTTCCGGAGGAGGGGGCTGGTGAGTCTGGGGGGAGGGGCTTCCGGAGGACGGGGCGGGTGAGTCCCGAAGGGGCCGCCAGAGGAGGGGCGGGTGAGTCCTGGGAGGTCGCTAGAGGAGCAGCCCTGCGGCTGTGCCTGGTGAGTTGGGAAGCATCCCGGTCACCAGTGGGAAGGAGCAGCTGGGGTGCGGGGCCTCGTGCACCCTCATCAGGACCTTGGCTTCTGCCATGAGGTGGATGGGAGCCCCTGGAGGGATGAATGGGGGCGTCTCTGGCACACCACTGTGTGGAGAGGGGCAAGTGCAGGACCCCAGGGCATCCAGCCAGGCCCACGGGGCCTGGGGTGGAGGTGGGAGGGATTCTCAGATTCCCAGGCAGTCTAGAAGCAGACATGGAAGGAAGAGAACCCCTGAGGTGACAGAAGCATTGTGACCTCATGTTGAGCAGGGGAACATGGGGAATTCAGGGCTGGTGGTGCCCCTTGGCCATCCCAGGGGAGACACCAAGGGCTGGGAAATGGGCTTGGAGTTCAGGGGAGGCTCCAGGAGATGTGAACCTGGAAATGGCCAGATCAGAGGTGACACAGCCGCAGCACTGGGGAGGCCGCCAGGGCAGCCACGGTGGGAGGCGACAGGGGCTGGGACAGAGCCCGGGACTCTGCCACTGTTGGGGATCAGGAGGTGAGCAGGACCGGCCAAGGAGACTGGGAAAGGGTGGGTGGGAGGTGGGAGGAGAGTCTGCATTAAGGGTGGAGGTGGTCCTTCGGGGGCTGTCTCAAGGAGGAGAGCGGGATCATCGGTGTCATGCGCTGACCCACAGGTAGGACAAGGACGGAGAGCCGCCTGGGCCTCGTGAACCCCAGGCATCCCCAAGGGCCTCGCTGGTGCTGGGCACGTGGTGGGGTTCCCCAGAGCCTCCGCTGCAGTCCCAAATGAGCCGCGGGCTTTCCTGGCCTTATCTGATCAATGGGAGAGGGAAGAGTGCTTGCCCTGGGTTACCCGGCAAGTTGAGGATCTGAACCCAGGCCCTGGCTTGGGGCTGTCCCCAGATGGGGCCAAGAATGTCCTTCCCCTGGGGAATTTGGGCACCTGGCCTCGGCTGCAGAGGTGACCCTGTCCCACCTGTGACCTGAGCCCTGGGTCTTGTCTAGGCTCTGTGTGACTTCATACAGGGCCTCCCTTTTCCCAGCTGTGCCCCGGTGCCGCCAGGCTAGGCTGGTGACTGCGAACTGGCCTCCCGGAGCTAAATCTGGCCCACCACCAGCATGTTGTATTTGGCCTGCACAAAGGTTTTTTTTTTTTTTTTTTTTTAAACATTTGAGCCAACATTTAAAAATTGGGAGTTTACATTTTAAAATCCGTATTTTTGGCTTCTACTGAAAATTTTGGAAGATCTGGCAACGTCGGCCCACATTCCCACGTGGCAACAGTCAGCGGGGCTGGGAAGCAGCTGCCCCCTCTCCAGGCACCTTGGGGGTCCCCCATTCAGGAAGGGGACCATCCACATCTGAGCTTTCCCTATTATCGGGAGGCTGAGGCCAGTAGGGCAGAGTGACTTATTCAAGGTCACTCAGCCGGAAAGCCTCTCAGACAGGATCCAACTGCAGCCTTGGGGACTTGCATTGGGGGTGCTGTCATGACCCCACCCAGGGCCATGCCCCTGGCCCTGTGCTTCCTGCTCCTTCTTGACTTTTGTTCTCAGATAAACATTGGATCGAGTCATTCACACTAGTATAAATGAGGCTCAGTCCCAAGTCTGTGATAACCGGCGGTCCTAGAGACCTTCTACAGTAGCCTCTTGTTTGCTGACCAGTGAAGAGGAGGACCAGAGACTCACCCATGGCCACTCAGCCAGGCAGGACAGCACAGGACAGGACTGAAACCCAGGGTCCTCCTGGGGCAGCAGCTTCCTCCCAGAAGTGGTTCATGGTGGAGCCCCAGGCATTGTCTCTCAAGAAACGGTCTGCAGGTTGGTGACTGGAAGCCAGGGATCTGCCTTGCTTCCCCAGAGCCACCCCCTCCAGAAAGCATTCTGGGGACACAGGCTTGTCCAGGCCAGGAAGGTACGAGGCACACAGTGGGTGCTCAAATCAACAGACAAGCCCCTGTGAAGGGCTGGCATCGCTATCTTTATCACCACTATCATCCCGGCGGCTGAATCCCTACCTTGGGCCAGGGTCCTTCCCCAGTTATCTCTAATGTCCCCATGGAGACACTGGGGGGAGTGTGACTTGAGCCAGGGCACAGCCCAACCAGGACTCTGCTGGACTCAGTCTTCCGGGCCTCAGTGCCTGGTTTATAGAATGAGACTGACCCTAGGATCACTTTCTCAGGCTTGCTGTATTTGATCTGAGGCTGGAGCTGAGGGGCTCAGAGTTGGTGCCCATCATGAGATACGATCCTGGGGGGCTGGTGGGGGAAGGTGGGGTGCAGCAGGAGTTAGGCCTGGAGACCAGGGCCTCCAAGGCCAGGTATGGTCCAGCCCCTCCTGCTGGGGCTGATGCCACCTCCCGCTTCAAGGAGTCAAGCTGGGTTCCCGGGTGGGGCCACTCTGGCCAGGCCCCAGGGTGCAGCCTCGCCCCCTGAACACACTGTTGGGCCCCAACAGGCCCTGAGGCCCCAAGAGATATGTGCAAGAAGCCCTGGGATGGAATCCTCCAGGGCCTGGGTGGCACCAGGACTCCCCCAGGGCCCAGCAGCCCCCAGAGGACGGTCTGCGTGGTAAGTGGAGCCAAGAGCAGCAGAGAAGTGGGGCTCCCAGCTCACCACCCCTGGAGGAGCAGGCGGGGAAACAATGCTTATTAGGTGCCTGTGGTCATGACTGACTTTTCACTGCTGGGGAAACTGAGGCATGATGAGGATGGGTGACCTGTCCAGAGTCACACAGAAGGCCACTGACCCTCGAGATGCACTTCCACCCAGAGCTGCCTGGCCCCAGCTGGCCATGCAGACCTACAGGGAAAGGGCTGGCAGGGCTTCAAATCACCAGAACTTCCCACCCACCGGCCTGTCCCTGGCCATCCCTGGACAGAGCAGGCCACCTGAGGGCCAGCAGCACACAGGTGGCAGAGGTGCAGAGGTGGAGGGCAAAGTGCCTGGGCCCAACCCGGCTCCTCCACCTCCCTCCTCCTCCATGCACTGGGGACATAATGATGGCGCCGACCTCCTGGGGTTGCGCCCAAGCTGGGGGTCAGAAGCTGAGAACACTAGTCAATGCTCGGCGAGTATCACTCGGCGAGAGTCACCGTGCTCACCCGGAATTCATCCTCAGAACAGACCCCCTCCCGGCAGGAAAGCCTTCCTGGGTGGCTACAGGTTGATATCCCACAAACCCATCCCACGGCCTCCGTCTCCATCCTGTGTTGGGAGAAGGTGGAACTGGGGCACGAGCAACATCCGGGCAGCCCACGAGGACCCTCCCTGGCCCAGGGGACACAGATGGTACAGGGCAGGAAAGGTCAGCACCAAGGTGGGGGTGCCAGCCCCTGGATGAGGTCCCATTTGCCCGACGCTCTGCACAGCTCCATCACCAGGACAGCCAAGGAAATCTCACCACATCTTTTGCCCATCCACCTGTCCATCTGTCTGAGGCCAGAGTGCATGTGTGGACGGGGTACGAGGAAAGAGCTCTACAGCCCAAGCCCGGACTACCTGTGTCACCCGGGACAAGTGGCAGCCCCTCACAACCTCAGTTTCCAACTCCATATAATTGGGGCAGCTATGAAAGCTGCCTGACAGGCCTATGGGACAGTCTGCCTCATGTGGGGTTGTGTCAGGTTCAAAAATGTAAAAGGATAATCACGGGAAAGCCCAAGGTAAACCACCAAGGCTCTGCCGCAGTGGGGAGGGGATTATTATAATTGTTATCATTACTGTTCATGCATATGCCTTCCGTACAGAAATAGTCTGCCTGCCCCAAAGCCAGAAATTTCACCTTAGAGATTCATTCTTTTGGCAATTAAGGTCTTTCCCGTTACAAATATTATAAATGGGGTGTGGGGAGGGAACTCGGAGCAGGTCAGCCAGGGCCTGTGGGGAAGCGGCACATGGGGAGGGAAGAGACCTCTGGGGTTGAGACTCACCCGACCTGGAGACCTCCAAGGGGAGGCAGTCCGGCCTCCACGCTTGCCACTGCCCAAGCAAGGCCCACTAGTTCCCACGGCCTGGCCTGGCCCCACTCTGCTTGCAGCCTCAGTGGCCGCCTCCGAAGAAAGCTGGGAGCTCAGGGCTGGGTCCTTCTCCCCTGGGGCTGCAGCTCTTGTAAGGGCCTCCTGGGCTAGACCTTGGCCTCGATCCACTGCAGAGGGCTCTGGGCTGCGGCCTCTGGGCACCCTGAAGGCCTCCAGGGTCCCAGGGTCCAGAACCCGCACAGTGACCTCATCCAGGAACCTGGAGAAGGGCAGTCTGGCCTCCCGCCAGCGGCCCAGGCGTGCGAGGGAGCCAGTGACAGCCCGGCTGCCTGTGTTCAGGGACTCTGGGGAGGAAGGCTGGGCTGGCGACACCCGGGCCATCTCCTGGCTGGACCGAGCTGCCCAGCGGTGGCAAGATGCTTTGCCCTTGGGGTTCCGACCTTGGCTGGGGCTTGGCATGTGGCTTCGAAGGTCCTGTCTGTGAGCTTCCTTGATGGGGGCTTCTGTCCCGGGCTCCAGGAGGGAGCTGTAGCCGTCCTGCCTGGGACAGGTAGGGTTAGAGCCCCGTGCCTGGGAGCTGGCCCCTGAGAGCATCCTCCTGAGTCAGTCCAAGGTCCGGGCTCCCCAAGAGCGCCGTCACCCACTCCTCTCCTCCCATGGGGCTGGGATCCCTGTGCCCTCTTGGGGGCTGTGCCTCCCGTCCTCACAGGCCAGGGCTGCCTGCCAGATGCCCGCCTGCCCATTGATCCAGTGGCAGGGCCTCTTGGCCTCCCACCCCCAAATCGATTCTCACTAAATGAGAGCTGAGCTTCAGGGCTTAGAAAGTGCTAGAGAGGGGAAGGTCGTGTCCTGGGCTCTGCCTGGGGAGGAGCCCTCCCTGAGTGAGCTCCCATGGTGCACAGGGCCCTAGGCTGGGCCTCCCCCTCTCCTACTCTCACATCTCCTCTGCCAGGTGCGGTGCAGGGTGCAGGGGCACAGAGGACAGGCAGTGGACAGATGGCCACGGTGGCCACCATGATGGCTTGAGTGCTGGGCCTGAAGCAGGGCAAACTGGAACTGCAGCAAACCAGCAAATGGAAGGGGGTGGCAGAGGCTGCGGGCAGCCCACAGTCCTCCCATGCATCCTTATTACAGAGCCTTCATTTTCTTTTGAGATACAGGGTAGTCGGCTAAAAGACCACCTTTCCCAGGCTCCTATAAGCCAGGCCAGGAGGTAGCCAATGAACTATAAACAGAAGTTGGGTGTGACTGCTGGCAGAACTCTGCAGAAAAGATCAGACAGCCAGCCTGTGTCTTTTTCCCATTCACCAACCTCCTGCTTCTTCTCTAGAACATGGAAGTGATGGCTGGAGCTGTGGCAGCCATTTTGCACCATGAGACAAACTTGTGGCAGCAGCCATATATAAAAGATGGAGGAGCAGAAAGACAAAAGGAATCCGGATATCTCATGACCACTGAATCATCATCACACCAGCCTTGCATCATCTGCCTCTGGTACTTTTTTTTTTTTTTTTTTTTCTGAGATGGAGTTTCGCTCTTGTTGCCCAGGCTGGATTACAATGGCATGATCTCGGCTCACTGCAACTTCCGCTCCCAGATTCAAGCAATTCTCCTGCCTCAGCTTCCAAAGTAGTTGAGACTACAGGCGCCTGCTACCATGCCTGGCTAATTTTTGTATTTTTTGTAGACACAGAGTTTCACCATGTTGGTCAGGCTAGTCTCGAACTCCTGACCTCAGGTGATCCGCCTGCCTTGGCCTCCCAAAGTGCTGGGATTATAGGCGTGAGCCACTGTGCCTGGCCTGCTTCTGGTACTTCTTTAACTTGAAAGAAAAATAACCTCTTGTCTTTAAGCTATGGTTATTTCATCTCTGTTGGTAGCAGCTATGTGCAATTCTCCAATGATATACAGGGTTAGGGTGAGAAAAAGCAGTTGTTAACGCTATGAGCAAGAGCCTTTGGCACATGGAGGCCTCGGGTGTAGTTAGGTGGGAGTGGGGCCAGGGAGATAAACTTAGAGAAGGGTTAGAGCCAGACCTGGACCCTCCATCATTTGTGTGAAGGGAGACACGCCTGCCCACTGCACCCCACACAGAGATCCTTCCTAGGATGCGGCTTTAGGCTGCTAGACTGAAGGAAGGCTTTCCAGGGGTGGCAGCCCAGGCCCTTGGCCTGGTGGGCATTACCACCATCGCTGGCCTGGCCTCTGGTGCTGCTTGGAGCGAGGCTGAGGCCCTGTGTGGCATGCTCATAGCTGTACATCTGGGCTCTGTCTGGATGCCTCCATCAGGTGCTGAGGACCCCTGCTTTTCTGAGCTCTGCCGGACACCTCTCTGAATGCCCAAAGCGCCCCTGACTGAGTCTGCAAAACTCAGTGCGTGGCCTCACCATGGCCTCAGCCACCCAAGACAGGAACAGGGGCCGCTTCAACTCTTTCCTTCCCTCTTCCCTGTCCCCGCCCCTGGCTGCCAGGCCCTGGAGATTCAGCCTTTCTCAGGCCTGGCCACCTCCCTGCATCCTCACCATCACTTTGCTGGTACCAGACACTACCATGTCTCACTTGGACATCTGCGATCATCCCTTCCTGTGCCTCCTGAGTCGATGCGGATCCAGCCCGGCCTATCCCACAAACACGGCGAGTGTGACCTTTTAAAATCACAGACCAGGCCGGGTGCGGTGGCTCACGCCTGGAATCCCAGCACTTTGGGAGGCCGAGGCAGGCGGATCACCTGAGGTCAGGAGTTCGAGACTAGCCTAACCAACATGGTGAAACCCCATCTCTACTAAAAATACAAAAATTAGCTGGGTGTGGTGGCGCCTGCCTGTAGTCCCAGCCTTGGGAGGCTGAAGCAGAAGAATCACTTGAACCCGGGAGGCAGAGGTTGCAGTGAGCTGAGATCACACCACTGCACTCCAGCCTGGGTGACAGGGCAAGACTCTATCTAAAAAATAAACACATAAATAAAGAAAAAATAAATAAAATCACAGGCCAGGTGACTAGACAACGTCACACCTTCATATACACTGCAAGGCCCTGACAATTGCTGGTGTCTTCTCTCTCTCTCTGCTACCCTCCCGCCCCGTGCTCCCCGCTGCCAAGGAACGTCTCTCAGGTCCTGAATGTGCTAAGCTCTATCTGACCTCAGGGCCTTTGCACTTGCTTTCCCTCTGCCAGAAACACTCTCACTCTCTCCCTTCCCCTCCTTCCCATCATCTAATTCCCAGCTGACCTTCAGGGTCCCAGTTTCACAGCCTGTCCCCCTCTGTCCCTCAGATTAGATCAAGTACCCCTGCGGCAGCCCCTTATAGCCCTGGCCCCCAGCTGTAACTAATGTTTGCAATTATTTATTATCTGTGTGTGTGTCCCCCCGTAGAATGTAACTTCCACTGTATCCCAGCTCTTTGCATAGGGCCTGGCACATAGCAGGTGCTCAATGCGTAGTTCTTGAATGACTGACTGAATGAATGGCATAGCAGGTTCAGGCTGTCAGTTCACAAACATCCCCAGCCTGGTGTGGGCCTACTGTGACTGGAAACAGGATGAGAATATAGGGGAGGGATCTCAGGCTCTCGGGAGGCCACAGTGTCCTCCTCCCACCCTATGGTCCCCGACAGTCGCCCCTCTACACCCGGACAGCCCTTCCCCAGCAGCAGCCGTTCAGCCCCTGCCCTATTACCAGTGGGAAAGAGACTTGGAGGCTGGCAGATCCAAGTTCAAATCCCTTCTCCAACACTCCAACAGGCCTGCGGGCAAGCCACATCCCCTCCTCATCTGTCAGGTGGGCATGGGGCAGTACTCAGCCCATGGCAGTGCTGGGAAGTGGCATGAGCAAGGGACTTCAGGACTCATTAGCACTGGGGCTCTGATGTGGCCGTTTCACTAGCACGCATGGTTGCAGGAGTGTTCTGGGGGCTCTGGCCAACCAGTCCTCTGAGCTGCTTCCAGAGTTTCAGGCTGCATCAGGCAAGTTTCCGTTGTCATAACAACCTGCTGGCTCTCAGGCGCCTGGGCCTGAGGCTCTAAGGATGCTGCCGGCTACCGTGGGCTCACGGCCTGGACCTGCTCACCTACCAGCAGCCTGGACAACCTCTCCTGGAGGGGCTTCCGGCTCCTGGCACCGCAGCCCCTGCCTCTTGACTCATCTGATTCAGTCCTGCTTCCCAAGCCCATCCTGCGTGCCAAGCTCCGTGCTGTGCATGCGTCATCACCCCAAATCCCCACCCGCCTCTGTGCATCAGGACAGC
The DNA here is from genome assembly GCF_000001405.40 of Homo sapiens. NCBI lineage: Eukaryota > Metazoa > Chordata > Mammalia > Primates > Hominidae > Homo > Homo sapiens. The sequence goes on from NC_000014.9 coordinate 100,581,603, forward strand.
CAAAGGCTCTATTTTCTGCTAAAAGAAGCAGGGTCTCAGAAAGGTGCAGTGACCCGTCGGAGGTCACATGGCTTGGGCATGTCAGGCCCAGGACAGAACCCCAAAGGTCAGGCACTCACACCCGTTTCCTCTCCAGATGCCCAAGCCCCTCTCCTGCTGCCTGGCACACACTGCCCCTGTGGTTGGAAAGCTGGCCCCTGCCAGCTCGGACAGAAGGGGCATGAGGCTGCCCACTGTCTGCTGGGATTGGAGCAGGAAGACCAGGCCACAGGATGTTGGGAGGACCCTGCCGAGTGGGCAGGCATGCCGGGCTTCTGCTGACAGTGCCAAACGTCACCTCGCTTCATTCTTACAGCAGGCCTGAAAGCTAGGAGCAGCTACCCCGCTTCACGGAGGAGGAAACTGGGCTCTGAGGGGTCTCGGGTAAACCCCCATGGTGCGGGCATGCGCCAGGGGCCGCAGCATAGGCCAGCAGAGGTGTGGTCACCTTCACCAACCTTCCCCTCGTCCCAGCACAGAAGTTTATTTTTTTTCCTTTCTTTCTTTTTTCTCTTTTGTTTTTGAGACAGGTCTCGCTCTGCTGCCAGGCTAGAGTGCAGTGGCGCGATCTCGGCTCACTGCAACCTCTGACTCCCCGGTTTAAGCGATTCTCCTGCCTCAGCCTCCCAAGTAGCTGGGATTACAGGCACGCACCACCATGCCCAGCTAATTTTTGTATTTTTAGTAGAGATGGGGTTTCTCCATGTTGGCCGGGATGGTCTTGATCTCCTGACCTCGTGATCGGCCCACCTCGGCCTCCCAAAGTGCTGGGATTACAGGCGTGAGCCACCGCGCCCAGTCAGAAGTGTCTATTATTATTCCCCTTTTGCAGTTGAGGACACTGAGGCTCTGGGAATCCGCACACTTGTGCTCCTAATCACCTGCCCCGCTGTCCCTGGATTTTCCACGCTGGCCTCAGAATCTCCAAGGGCAGCCATGGTCTTGATGTCTCCCAGTCCCCAGCACCCAACACAGGTGCCCCAGTTCTCTTCCTCAGATAGGACATGTACACAGCTGTCCAGGTCTTCCAGGGAGATCCCTGGGCAAGGACGCCCCTGTAGGAACCCCGGCTGGCCGCTGACCTTTCGAAGAGGTCTCACTGCTTCTTCCTTATTTCCTGAGTGGGTCTTCCAGGGCAAAGCGGGCCTGGAAAGGCCAAATAGCTGTTAGTTTGGGTTGGCTTTTCTCCCACCAAAGTCAAGGTGGGGTTAAGTCTCCCTGTCTGATCAGCCCCCTCCTGACCCTGCGCCTGCGTAGTATATGTCTCTGAAGCAGAGGGACATGGGGGTCTGTGAGCAAAACACTGGCATCTGGGAAATCAAGGCATGAGTGACCTGAAGCTTCACCCATTCAACCAACCGTCCTTCACCATCCACCCCTGTGACCGCTCACCCATTTACAGGTGCCATCCACGCACCAACACATCCTTCTGTCTCTGTGTCCCTCACCCGCTGATGGGCACTCATCTGTTCACTGGTCCTCTCACTCCCGTCTCCATCTGTCCGCCTGCCCATCCCTCCATGTCTGTCCATTCCTCTGTTACTTGTGTCTCGTATCCATGCATCCATTGCTTTGTATCCATTTGTGCACTGAGCTGCCTTCTCAGGCCTCTATCCACACATCCGTCAATATACACTCATCACCTATCCATGCACTCACTCTTCCAGTGTCCATTCATTCCTCTGTCCATCATTCATGGACATGTATTCAAGTATTCATCCACCCATCCCAACATCCAGGCACTACCTGTATCCATTTATGTATCCATTCCTTCATCCATCCATCCAAAGATCCTTCCATCCATTCATCTACCAATCTTGCCTTGTGTATCAGAAGTCTCCCTCCCTCCACCCATGTATCATCCATTGATATTTTGTTCTATCAATCCAGTCCTGTATCCATATCAACTTTTCCATCTGTCCACCCACCCATCCCTATCTTGCTACTTACATCCATCAACCTCTCCTCCCGTCCATCTATCCCTCTTTCTCTCTTTCTTTCTTTCTTTTCTTTTTTTCTTTCTTTCTCTCTCTCTCTTTCGTTTTTCTTCCTTTTTTTTTTTTTTTTTGATGGAGTCTCACTCTGTTGCCCAGGGGCTGGAGTGTAGTGGCACGATCTCGGCTCACTGCAACCTCACCTCTGCCTCCTGGGTTCAAGCAATTCTCCTGTCTCAGCCTCCCAAATGGCTGGAACTACAGGTGCACACCACCACACCCACCTAATTTTTTTTGTATTTTTATAGAGACGGGGTTTCACCATATTGGTCAGGCTGGTCTTGAACTCCTGACCTCAGGTGGTCCACTCACCTTGGCCTCCCAAAGTGCTGGGATTACAGGCGTGAGCCGCTGCGCCCAGCCTATCCCTCTAGGTTTCTACCCATCCATCCGCTGCTCTATCCTGCTAGTGCTTCCCTTCCATACAGTATCATCCACCCATGCATCCCCTTCAGCATGCCTGCGTTGCTTCTCCACCTCATGCACCTCTTAATCCCAGCATGCACCCACTGTGGGATGACCAGGCTTCCATGTCTGGCTTCCCCAGGCAAAGCCCAGGCCTGACCCATCTCCATCCCTGACTTGGGCTCAGGGCTTGCTGATTGAACCAATGACTGCAATTCCCCTGCTTGGCTCAGAGCTGGGCCCTGGCTGATCCCCACCCCAGGCAGACCACAGAGGCTGCTGTACTGTCCTCCAGACTCAAGGCCTGCTGAGGCAAGGGCCACTTTTGAGTTCCCTTCCTGGCTAGAGGGGAGAGAAGAGCCCCAGCAGCTCCTGACTCCTGCCGTACTGGCCAAGGTCCATGTCTCCCAGCAAACTGTGGACTCGTGGAGGGCAAGGTCTGTGTCAGACTCACCTAAGTGACCCCAATGAGCAGTGCAGAGTGGGTGCTTAGGTACAGCATGTTAGGTGAGTGTAGAATTCACACACTTAGTCATTCATCATTCATTCATTCATTCATTCCTATAATGATTAAAGCAATAGAGACACCTCTGGCCAGCTTCTCCCACCACAGGCTACAATCTGATGCCTGCTCTCAGGCCACAGAAGTCACTCCCCTGACTGTAATGGGTGTTAAGCTTCTGATACGGAGCCCTAGAGAGGAGACAGTGAGTCAGCGGCAGAGGAGGAACCAGAACCCAGGGCTGCAGACCTCCGTCCAGGCCTCTCCACTAAGGCTAGCGACCAGCTCTGCGGCAGGAAGGGGAGTCAGAAGAGAACCATGCGGGGTGATTCTAGACCAACACGGCGAGTCCTAGGGTCACCCACCCATCTGTCCCAGGGATCCTTACCTCCCTTAGGGGGAGGAGCCACACCTCCCCACCGCCATGGCTTCCACACTCCAGCAGGACACAGCCTCTCTAAGTCTTGAGACTTGAACACTCTACACTCTCCCCATCACCTTCAGGCCTTGGGCCAGGCTCCTGTAACACACCTTGACCCCTTCATCTGTTCAGCAACTACTCAGCCCTTGGACCCCACCTCCTGGGACCCTGGGTAATGATTTGTGGACTGTGTCCAATAGCCATGGACTCATGGGCTTCAGTCAATCCCTCCCATCCATCCATCCATCCATCCATCCATCCATCCATCCCTCCCTCCCTCCCTCCCTCCCATCCATCCATCCATCCATCCCATCCATCCATCCCTCCCATCCCTCCCATCCATCCCTCCTTCCCTCCCTCCCATCCATCCCTCCCTCCCTCCCTCCCATCCATCCATCCCTCCCTCCCTCCCTCCCATCCATCCATCCCTCCCATCCATCCCTCCCTCCCTCCCATCCATCCATCCATCCATCCATCCATCCATCCATCCATCCATTCATCCATCCATCCACTCTTCAGCATCAGGAGTGCCTGCAGGAGTAGGGAAGCTCCTTCAAAGTGTTGCCGTGGAGATGATGCGTGGAAATGCTGATCCAGGGCCCAGTACATAGCAGGCGTTCCATAAATGGCAGCTATGTGGGCCAGACCCTGCGCCCAAGTCTTGGGAGAGTGGATGGAAGATCTTCCAGATTGCTTAGGGCTCATTTCCTCTCTCCAGGCCTGGGCTCTGACAGGTGTCCCCCTACTCCACCCCAGCGCATGGAAAACTCATCCTCCAGGCTGAGGTTCTAGGCAGCCCTCCCCTCCCCACTCAGCTCCCAGGTGCGAACAGCTCCAGGTTTTGACGACAAACGGAACGCGGAGCCTTGGAATCTATAAATATGAGACAAAAGCTGGGGAGGGCCCTTGGCGGCAGCGCAGCCGCCCATCGCCCAGAGCCCGTGTGCTGAGCCCGGGCAGAGCCGCATCTGCCACAGTGCTTGCTTTTCCAAGCTGCCCTGATTATAGTGAGAGTCGGGAAAATTAAGGGTTTGCAGGATGCTGCTGGGGCCCTCTCTGCCGTCTCCCCGCCCTGCGTGTCACAGATGCCAGGCAGAGCCACCCCCAACGGCCAGTTGCCCCTGCTGGCAAGACCAAGGCCAGCCTGGCAGGGCTGCACACCGCAGTTTGTTAGGGGCTTCTGCCCACAGTCCTCGTGGGAGCCTGGCCCTGGGAGTAGTGGGGGTCTCTGCTGCTCTTGGCAGGCAGAGGAACTAGGGTCCAGAGAAGGAAAAGAACCTGTCCATGGCCTCCAGAGAGCCAGAGCACTGGGGCCTCCGACGGAGCCTGGCTGTGGAGACCCCGCCCCACCCATACCCCCAGGGCCTGGACCCCCAGTCTGCACTGGCGGCCGACCTTGGCCATGCGGACTTTGCACGTGCAGTGCTCCCTATCCATCCGGCCCCGCTCCCGGGTGCCCACTCTGCTCCCATTCTGCCGGCTCAGGAGACTCCAGCGCGTCGCCCACGCTGTTCCTGCCCTGAGGAAACCACATTGGGGATGGGGTGGGGCACAGACGAGGAAGGAAACACCTCTAAACCAAGCAGGAAGCGGAAACGCTGGGGCAGAAATTCCCATCCAACGTGCTGGGGCTCAGGGAGGGTGAGCGCGCCGGCTGAGCCGCTCTGGGCGAGGCCCTGGCCTCCCTGAGCCTCAGTTTCCTCGCCTGTAAAGGGGCAGGAGGATAGTACCTGCCGCGAGGTACTGAATGGGATGGTGGTGTCCGAGGTTCGTGCGCGCCCACGCGCTGCAAACGCTCAATGAGGCGGCCCCGGGTCCAGCCTCCTTCCGGCTCCCGGGCCTTTCTCCGGCCTCCCAAGCAGGGGCTGGCCCTGCCCCCAGACGCAGGCGGGTCCAGGCCTGCCCGCACCCTCGCCACCCGCCCGGGACAGCGGCGGGTCCCCAGTCCTCCGGCCGCGCCCTTGGTCACCCGTCCCTCCTTTCCTTCCGCCGCAGGGGCGCGCGTGTCAGGGCGCAAGGACCCCGCGATAGGACCCGGGCGCTCCCGGCGGCGCGCGGAGGCTGGGCATCCCCGCCCCACCCGAGAGTGCCCAGTTCCCAGGAGACCCGGCCCGGCTCCTCCCGGGCCAGTGAAGCCTCCACGGCGGGGGCGCAGCGCGGAGGGGAGCGGGGCGGGGGGCCGGCCACCTCCCGCGCTGAGCAGGGACCGCCCCAGGCGTGGGTGGCGCCCGCCCCGCCTCCGCGCCCGCGCCCGCGCCCTGCCCTCCCGGCTCGCAGGTACTCACCGCCCGGCGCAGCCGGCCCGGCCGGCGACCGCCAGTCCACATGGCCCCAGGGCAGCCGCGCCGCTCACCGCCGCCGCCGCTACCGCCGCCCCCTCCCCTCCGAGGCCGAGCGCGCCGGGAGCCGGCGCGGCCGGGGCTCCCCCACCCCGCCCGGCTTCCCGCAGGGAGCGCCCGCCCCCCGCCCCCAGCCCGGCTCCCCGCCAGCCCCGGCCCCGCGCAGCCGCGGCTGAGCCCGCGCGTCCTCCCGGCAGCGCCCGGCCGGGGCGCAAGTGGTGGGCGCAGGGCCGGGCAGGGGCGCGGGGGTGCGGCGTGCGCGGGGGCCAGGCGAGGAATGGCAGAGGGGCAGGGAATGAATGAACCCGCGCCAGCTTGAATGGCTGAGCGCGTGAATGAATGAGTGCGGTAGAGCATGCGGGGCTGGGGGGGCGGGGGGAATGAATAAATGAGAGAACTAATGCACGGGCGCGAAGGTGAGTGACAGAGTGAATGGGCCCTTGAAACCCAGAGGCTGTCAGTAATGACCTGCCCAACCTTTTCATCGGTCCATCCATTCAATCCCTCAACATTTATTAGACACCTAGTGTGTACCAACCAGCCCTGCTGTAGGCCCCAGGGGGTACAGTAGCGAGTGAAACCAAGCTCCTGCCCTCGCAGAGTCACATTTTACAGATGAGGAAACCCTGGCTCCCAAGGGTGCCTCCTGGCCAAGCTGCCCCTTACCCTGCCCTTGCTCTGCCCGAGCCCCCAGTCGGTGGCTTCCAGGGCTTGCCTTCTCCCCAAGGAGCTCTCAGGAAGGGAAGGTGGCTTCAGGAGGACCAGTGTTGCCCCCTGCCTATCCCTCCAGTCTGAAGCATCCCACCGACCTGCCCGGTAGAGCCCAGGCTGGCCAGTCCTACCCTGGTAAAGGTGCAGCGTGAACCCTCCTCTCTCCTCCCAGAGCGGGCAAGGGGCAGCCCTGAGGGTGCCAGCTACATGAGGGTCTTCCATCCCAGCCAGCCCAGCAGCAGCCAGCGTGGGAACCCGGGGAGGAGCACTGGCAGCCAGGGAGGGTCCTGCGTGGTGGAAACAGAGCTGGCAAAGCCCGTGTGCTTCGCTCATATCCTCCCTCGGGACCTATGGGCTCATGGTTCACACATGCTTATATCATTTCCAAGTACATGGCAGATTAGAAGATGCTGCGAATGAGTACCTTGTATATTTTTGTTTTTTAATTGTGGAAAACATGGAAAACATAAAATTTACCATTTTAACCACTTTTAAAGTGTACAGTTTGGGGACACTGAGTTCCCACTGTTGAGCTGCCATCACCACCATCCTTATATGCTGTATGTTGTATGCTTTGCAGTTTCTACGCTCTCTCATTTAATCTGGGGAGTAGGTTGCTACATTCAGGCAGTGTCAGTGCTGAGAAAAGGCACTGATAGCAAGGCAAGAGGGGAAACCCAGAAAAAAAGGAGACAAGCAAAAGAACCAGCAGCTGACTGGAGCCACTTCGTGTCAAGCAAAGTCCTGTCTCTGCTCCCTCTCAGGTCCCAGGGACATGATTGGGTAACCAATGGACAGAGGGAGGCGCCTCCAAGTGCACCCCACCACAGTCAAGACAAAATGAGAGGCGGCAGCTCAGGGCGGGGCTCTCCCAGTTTGGGCGAAGCGTGGACAGACTTCGCCCAAACCGTCGCTGGTGTGCACCACGGGACCAGCCTCTTTGCTCAAGGGGGCCTTAGTCTCCCCAGCAGGAGTAGGGACAGGCTCCCTGACCTCCACTCTGGCCTCTCAGGTTCAGACACCATTCAGGCAGCACACAGCAGTGGAGGCATCCTGTGAGAGGTAGTGAGGCCCAGCCTGCCAGCTCCAGTGTCCCTTCCCTCCCCAGTCCCTAAGGGGACAAACACCAATGGGGGATGTGGAACCTGGGGTACAGGCAGGGCTCTGCCCACATTGCCTCCTCCTGGGCTGCGGCCCTTCCCCAGAGGCTGGTCCTGCTCAGATGGTGCCAGAATGTTCACCGCCCGCCCTGGCACTGCTGCTGCCAACGCCACAGATGGCTGGGGAGGCGGGGGAGGGGCGGGTGGGGTGGGGGCGGCTCCTGCTTCAGCTCCAGCAGCTTGCAGGCTTCAGCTCAGGCCTGCCTGGGAAGGCCCCAGGAGAGCCCCTCCCCCATGCTGCACGCACCTCCCGTCCCCACCCTCCCTGCCCTCTCTTCTATCCTTCCCACTCCAGCCCCCTTAAGCTAGGAAGGCGGAGAGAAAGCAGGCATTGGTTGTGGGTCTGGGAGCATCCCTGCAATGCCCCTGTAGGGGAAGTGGTACTAGCCCCTTTTTGCAGATGGGGAAACTACAGTCAGTGCAGCAGAGCCTGGGGCATCAGGCAGGCTTCCTGGAGGAGGCAAGGTTTCAGCCGGGTTGGGAAGAAGGGATGAAAGTGGCAGGACTTCGAGGTGATGCCCTGGGGCCATGGAGGACCCTCTCCTCAGGCCCCTGCCCTCATTCAGACCTCTACGGACCACTCTGTTTGACATCACCATCCCCATGGCTCAATCTCGTTGCCCTATTTTGTTTTTTGCGTGTCTCTTACTGCGTTCCAGAGCTATCTGATCTGTCTGTTGATGTGGACATCAATCTCCCCGCTGGGATGCGTGGTCCTCTACTGTGGTCAGGGAGCAGGGCAGGAAGTGGCACCACACTGGGGCTCATGGTTAAATGTGCCAAAGAATGCATGGATGGATGGAGGTGGGGGAGATAGGAATAGCCTGGTGTGATGCCAGGCTTCTGGCCCTGGTGGCTGAGTATAAAAGAAAGGACAGCACGTCAGGGAAGTCATTGACAGTGAGGCACCCGCAGACAGCCACATACAGGGGCTCCAGCATCAGCTAGCCATGCTGACCAGTTCCCTGCCTCATCTTCCAATCCCCACCCACAAGAACAGATTGAGCAAGGGTTCTGACTATGAGCCCTAGAGAATGGGAAGGTGAGAGGTATCTTCCCACTCTCCCACAAACAACAGGTGCTCCAACTGAAACTCTGGAGTCCCCTGCAGAATCGGGCTACAGCTGCCCTCCACAGGTGGTGAGAAGGCCCTGAATTGGCCCAAGTGTGTATCTAACAATGACCCCAACTGCAATATTAACCCAAATTCCAACCTATATCAAATGCTAAACCTAACTCTAATGGGACCCAAAACCAAAGCAAACTTTAACCCTACCCCAATGCTAGCCTGAACAGTAACATGAACCCTAAACCCGACTCTAACCCCAACACTGTCCTGCCAGAAAGCAATAACCTCAACCCACACCACACGCTAAAGTTAACCCAGACGCCAACCCAAAACCAAATCCCAAAAGGAACATTAAACCAAACCCCAACCCAGCCCTAACCCTAACACTAAACACTGCCAAAAACACCCCAAGCACTAGCCCAAATCCTAACCATAATCCCAACCCCAAACCTAAGCCTAATCCCAACCTGACCCTAACCCTAATCCCAAACCAAATCCTAACCCTAATCCTAACCCCAGCCCTAACCCTAACCGTACCCCGCTGCCCTGTTCCTTCACCTGCTTGTCCTGGGAGCAACGATGAGGGGGGCCTGGGACCGTAGGAAGCGGGCACAGGCAGCTGGGAGCCTCGTAGGTGCTCTGTCCGAGGCAGGTCCCAGGCCCAGGGGTCTGGCCCACTGCTCCTCCTGGGGTGGTGCTGTGAGCCCCTTGGCCTCCACCCCACTGCCTGCCCTGCTCTGTCTCCATGGGAAGCAGCAGTGGCCTCCTCCCTGGGCCTCTGCCCCTGTCAGGCCTTTCCAGCAGGTGGAGGTGGTTTGGATGCTGTGGCTTGGGCTTCAAAACTGTAAATAGGGGAAACCATTTTCAAACAAATATTTGTCAAGCAAAATCCCATCTCATCTCAGTGTGACTGGGCTTATCTCTTTATGCCCTGGGCCTGGGTACGGAGGGCACCATCCTGGGCCTCCCATGCTTGAGCCTGGGCAAGGGGAGCGGACACAGAGCAGGGGATGGCACCGAGGTGGCCTCACTAAGACAGAAACTGCCACTGGGTGTGCGTGCTGCTGCGAACAGTCAGCAGGGGTTCACCAAGGCCACCTGGGGGTCTGGGCTCCTTCAGGGGCCCACCTGCTAGGTCCTGGGCCAGGCTCGGCCCTGCTGCTGCTGTGGTGCCCTCCCCAGCCAGGCTGAGCTCCGGCTACATCATCCCTGTCCATACCTTCTGTTTCCGGGTCCTTGCACAGGGAGTTCCCTCATCCTGAGATGCCCTTCTGTGGAGTGTCCATGTGGAAACCTCCTCATCTCAGCTCCCAAAGTTGCTTCTTCTTGCAAGCTTTCCCAGATTGCTCCCAGCTAGGCCCCTCCCACCTATCCCACTGCTGATGCCCGGCAAGGCTCATAGTCAAAACCATACATCAGGCTAAAAGAGGCATCTAGCCCCTCCTTGCACACCTCAGGTGATGAGAAATTCCCCCCAAGAAGTCTCTACCGTTTAACAATGGCCCAGAAAGTTCTGAGCTACAACTGTGGCCCCACAGGGGCAGGGCTAACCCCCTCTGCCGAGGCAGGACAGTGTTTCAGGGGGTTGGAAACCACCAGCGCCCTCCCGTCTTCTCCCAGCCATTTCTCCTAGTCCCTTCTCCAGGACACGCATCAGCTCCTCCAGAGGCCCAGACTGGGGCCCCAACCCAGGTACTGTTCAATCCCAACAGCCCTGGCCGGGAGGCAGAACATGGACCCCTTCCTCGGCAGGATCTTCGCCAAGCTTGCAAGCGACAGCTACAGCAAAGGACCCCCAGGGGACATTGGCACACAATGTTCCTCAGCATGGAGCAGCCTGCCTTGCCCTTTCATCTCCTGCATTGCAGCTAGGCTTTCTGGTCTCCATTCAGGCAACCTCTCCTCCAGGAAGCCCTCCCCGATCCCTAGTTGGTGTGTTTCTCTGTGTGCCCTTGAGCTTGGTTCTGACCTCAGTGACTGTCCCTGCCCAGGGATGTCCTTCTCTGCCCCACCATGGGCCCTCCAGGCGGGACTGGCCCTCGTTCCCGGTGCCTCCCCAAACCTGCAGAGGCTTGTCGCCCAAAGCTAAGACCACTGAAGGTGCAGGCAGAGATGAGCTGAATGAATGAATGAATGAGCGAGGGATGAAGTGATCGTGGGAACACCAGAGGGCTGAACCCCAATGTGAGGGGGAGTCAGCAGGCAGGGCTGAAGAAGGTTCCCCAAGAGCCTTGGCACATGGGCTGGCCATACCAGAGCGTGGAGCCGGAGGCTGGCACCGATCAGCTCCTCTGTGGTTAATGCAGTAGGACTGCAAGGAGAACACACCTGCCTCTGCACTCTGCCCCACAGGTGTATGTGGCATCCGGACAGCGGCAGTGTGGCCAGTGCCCCTGGGCAGGACTCCGGGCCTGGGGGAGCCTTGCCAAGCTGGTGGAAGGAGGAGTGTCCTGCAGGGGCCTGGACTCCAGGGCAGCGAGACGGAGCCCAGACCTCTGAGAGCCTTAGGTGGCAGGAACACGGCAAGAAGCAGTGCCTGAGGTCAGGGATGGCCACAAGCCAGGCTGCCTGGAGGCTGGGCACCAACTCCTGCTGTGCTCGCCTGACACTGCCCTGAGTGGTATGGATTGGAGGTGGAGACCAAGGCAATGTGGAGTTGGGATGCTGGCCTGAAAGATGGAAGCCGAGGGTGCCCAGAGCCCGGCAGGCCCCCACATCCCCCGTTCCCAGCCAAGAAACTCCCTCCTCCTTCTGGGGAGTCCCTGTAGTCTCCTGCCTGGCCCTGTCTCTGAAACCTGCCTTGTGTCTGTTCCAGTATCCTCTCACCCTGCCCCTCCTCTGCTCAAGAACCTGCCATGATTCTCACCTGCCTGCCTGCCGCATCCCATCCAGGCACTCAAGGCCTTCCATGGGCTCACTGGTGTCTCTGATGTGACTCATCCTCTTGGCAGATGCTGAGGCTCTCCTGCTCCCTCACTCCCCTTGCAGGCTGCCCTCCACCCCGACCACCCACAGGCACACACACTCAGCCTCCTTTCCCCTTGTCCCTGCTCAAAACAGGAGGCAACATTCCCATAAAAAAAGAGGCTCCATCGGGTCTGGTGCCTCACGCCTGTAATCCTAGCACTTTGGGTAGCCGAGGTGGGAGGATCACTTGAACCCAGGAGTTCGAGACCAGCCTGATCAACATAGGGAGGCGCCATCTCTACAAAAAGTAAAAATTAAAAAATTAGCCTGGCATGGTAGCGGGTGCCTGTGGGCCCAGCTACTGAGGAGGCTGAGGTGGGAGGATCACTTGAGCCTGGGAGGTCAAGACTTCAGAGAATTGTGATTACACACTGCGCTCCAGGCTGGGTGACAGAGAAAGACCCTGTCTCTTATGCACTCCAGGCTGGGTGACAGCGCACGACCCTGTCTCTTAAAAAAAGGAAGAAAAAAAGAGACTCATGTGATCCAGGGCCCCTGGAATGGTGGGGGGAGGAGCTCGTTCTGTGCAACCCCACCTCTGTCCAGACCACCATTTCTTGGCCCAGAAGACGCACCTGTCTTCGCTACTCCATCCTTTAATGGGCCCACATGCGCTCCTCCCAGCCTCACGGTGGCTCCTCGAGGGTATTCCCGCATCTGCTGCTCTTCTAGCTCCTACACAGGACAGTGCCAGTCAAGGCATGGGTGACCCGTACGTCCCCCAGATGTCCACATGGCCACTGGTCAGGCCTCCTGCCCGGGCCCCAGGAAACCTCGGGCCTGGTCCTGCCTGCCCACGACTGCCCTGGGCAAGACATTCTCCTCTCTGAGCTCAGTTTCCTTGTCTCTCCTTCTGTGGACTGGAAACGCACCCCCAGCCCCGGTCCACTTCTCACATGACTATTCAGAAGATCTTCCCTGTGAGCAGGGGATAAGGCGGCAAACAAGAGGCTTGTCCAGGAGGCATTTGCAGTTTCGGTCCTGGGGGCAAATAACTGGGAGACTCTGATGCTGGGGCACCCTCTGTGCCAGGCACTGAGCTCCTTGTAAAGGGACGCGAGGTGGCGGGAGGGCTGCGGCTGCGGGATGCCCCATGCTGCCCTTGTTGGAAATGGGGCCACAGAGGCGGCCACAAATTTGCCTCACTCCACTGGGCAGGAAAATTGTTTCCGCCATTCTTCTGTGTTCCAGCCGCTTCTAGTGCCTGCAAGGGATCTAGGGGCTGCTCAGCTCATGGAACAGTGGCTGCGGCCAGCCTCAAAGGCACGGTGTGGACAGGGACATCCCGCTCTAGCCAGGATTGGGGGGCAGGAGGCAGGAGCCATCCTGGCCCAGGGCTGTGGACCGAGTCTTCTTCCACCAACATCTCTGGCCACCTCTGGCCTTCTCAGGTGACAGGGCTCTTCCCAGCAGCCCCCCATCCCATGATCACCTTGCTCTGGGCTTTGTGCTGGTGACCCCCAAACCAGGCCGGTGTGTTCCCTCTGGGCTCCACACATGGAAAGTGAGGGGCAGGAAGGAAAAGTTCATGGAGCAGCTTCACGTGGCCCCCAGAGCCCTTTATGCATCACCATGGGTCCAGCTCCCCTGGGATCTCAACCCCACCTTATAGGTGGCGAACCAAGGTATGGGACCACAGGGTAAGTGTGCTCCACGGCAGTCAGGGGCTGGGGTTTGAACTGGGATCTGCTGTCACAACAGGAAGGCAGAGGCCGGACAGGCCCCCATTGTGCCTCTGATCTCAGAGCCTGGGGAGTGTCAGGTGCCTCCCCATCCATCTGGGCTCCTTCCTCACCAATGGAACCCCTGTAAGCCCAGTGGAGGAATGCGGCCAGCCAGAGGGTGCATTTCCCAGCCTCCCTTGCAGCCAGGCACAACCAGGATCCTGTGGAAGAAGGTCGTTGAAAGAGGTTCTTTTTGTTGTTTTTTTACAGCTTTATGGAGGCATAATTGACTTACAGTAAACTGCTCGTAGTTAAAGCGCATCACTGGATAAGTTTTGGCATGTGCACACTCTTGAAGCCATCACCACCATCAAGATAATGGATATTTCCATCAAATGCAAACGTTTCCTGGTGTCTCTTGGTAAACCATCCCTCCCTCCACCCCTGTTCCTAGGTAATCACTGATCTGCCGTCTGTCATTAGAGATTAGTTTGCATTTTTCTGGATTTTATATGAGTGGTATCCTACGGTACGTATTTTTTTTTTTTTGGCGGGGGGGTGTTCTGCCTCCTTCCACTCCGAAGAATGATTTTTGAGTTTCACCCACGTTGCTGTGTGTATCAATAGCTCATTCCTTTCTATTGTTGAGTAATTCTCCACCAAATGAATATGCTATAATTTGTTTAACCATTATTCTACTAATGGATATCAGGGATTTTCCAGTTTTGGGTTGTTATAAACAGATTCTCTGAACATTTGTTTACAAGTCTTTGTGTTAAGACATAGTGCTTTAATTTCTCTTGGGTAAATACCTCAGAGTGGAATGGTTGAGTTGTACGGGAGATGGTGGGTCTAACTTGATAAGAAACCGCCAGACTGTTTGCAAAGTGATCGCACCATTTTATATTCCACCAGCAGAGTATGAGAGATTCAGTCACTCCACATCTTTGCTGACACTTGGTATGGTGCATCTTGTTAATTTTAGCCATTCTAATAGGTGTGTAGTGACAGCTTGCTGTGGTTTTAATTCTAATTTTCTTAATGACAGATGATGCTAAAAACCTACTTTAGTGAACTGTCTGTTCAAATCTTTTGCCTGTTTCTTCCTTTTTTTTTTCTGAGACAGAGGAAAAAAAAAAGAAAAGAAAAAAGAAACGTTCTCAACCTGATAAAGGACATCTAAGAGAAGTTTAACAGTTTAGTAGTACATTACACTTCATAGTAATGGACCCAGAGCTTGCTTTCTAAGATAGGGAATAAGGCAAGGATGTCTGTTTTCACTGCTGCTTGCCGTTCAATATCGCACTGGAGGTCTCAGATACGCAGTAAGGCAAGAAAATAAAACAAAATAAGATGAAAATCTGTCGCCTAGGCTGGAGTACAGTGGTGCGATCTCGGCTCACTGCAACCTCCGCCTCCCGGGTTCAAGCTATTCTCCCTGCCTCAGCCTCCTGAGTAGCTGAGATTACAGGCGCCCACCACCACACCCGTCTAATTTTTGTACTTTTATTAGAGATGGGTTTCACCATGTTGGCAAGGCTGGTCTCAAACTCCTGACCTCAGGTGATCCACCCACCTGGGCCTCCCAAACTGCTGAGATTACAGGCCTGAGCCACCACACCCAGCCTGCCCATTTCTTAATTGGATTGTTTGTGTTACTGTTATCCAGTTGTAAGTGTTCTTCGTCTATTCTGGATATAAGTTATTTGTCAGATAAATGTTTGATAACCTACAGGTCACATTTGGCAGGCTTCTAAATTAACTGCCAGGGAAGTTCTTAACGATTCACCGCTTACACTCTGTTCCTGAGTGAAGAATTTTAACTTGAGTCCTTCCAACTGTTGACGTACCAATTAATACGTAAGCCACTGGCACTAATAAGGACACTGATTTGTTTCTGAATCATGAAGTTTTACTGATTGTCTTGTACATAGAACATGTTAGTCTATATGTTGTCACCTGTAGCCAATGATTGTAACCTCTGTATTAATATACCCACCAACGGAAAAGGACAACTCCGGCCAGGCACGATGGCTCACAACTGTAATCCCAGCACTTTGGAAAGCCAAGGCAGGCAGATCGCTTGAGCCCAGGAGTTCAAGACCAGTCTGAGCAATATGGCGAAACCCTGTCTCTAAAAAAAAAAAAAAAATACAAAAATTAGCTAAGCGTGATGGCGCACGCCTATAGTCCCAGCTACTCAGAAGGCTGAGGTGGGAGGATCCCTTGAGCCTGGGAGGCGAAGGTTGCAATGAGCTGAGATCGCGCCACTGCACTCCAGCCTGAGCAACAGAGTGAGACTCTGTCTCAGAAAAAACAAAAAAGAGCATCTCCAATATGAGGAGCCCGTCTTCCTGCTGCTACATTTCTTATAAAAGCATTCCAACTAGTAACAGACTTTGGAATATGCCCAACTTTGTTGGTGAGTCTTCCCGGGTTGAGCCTTACATTTGGATTCCAATAAACCTTGATCAAATTATTTCTGCCTCAACAGCCTTAATTTCAGTTGATGTGTTTTATAAATATTTTCTCCCAGCCTTTTACTTGCCTTTTAATTTTCTTAAAAGTGACTTTCAAAGAGAAAAAAAGGTCTTAATTTTGTTAAAGTCCACTTCATTGATTTTTCTTTCATAGTTCGTGTTTATTGTGTGAAGACATCTTTCCTCACCAGTTACTTGTTACTAGTATACAGAAATCAATGGACCCTGTATCTGGCAATCTTGTGAGTCCTGATGTATTAGTACCAGTAGATTTTTTTGCAAATTCCTTAGAAATCTTCACACAGATGACCATGTCATCTTCATGTGAGGACAGCTGTGCTTCTTGGGTTACAATCTGAATGACCTTTATCTTGTTTTGTTTTGTTTTCTTGCCTTACTGCATGTCTGGGACCTCCAGTGCAATATTGAACAACAGCAGTGAGAACAGACATCCTTGTCTTATTCCCTATCTTAGAAAGCAAGCTCTGGGTCCATTACTATGAAGTGTCATGTTCTAGTAAGCTGTTAAACTTCTCTTAGATGCCCTTTATCAGGTCGAGAACATTTCTTTTTTCTTTCCTTTCCTTTTCTTTTTTCTTTCTTTCTTTCTTTCTTTCTTTTTTTTTTTTTTGTGACAGAGTCTTACTCCAAGGAGCAGGCTGCAGTGCAGTGGTGCAATCTCAGATCACTGCAGCCTCAACCTCCGGGGCTCAGGTGATTCTCCCACCTCAGCCTCCTGAGTAGCTGGGACTATGGGTGCATACCACCATGCCTGGCCTCAGAAAAGCCCAAGATTAAAAAAAATTGTGATGGGGGTCTTGCTATGTTGCCCAGGCTGGTCTCGAACCCCTAGGCTCGAGACCACTCACCTTGGCCTCCCAAAGTGTTGGGATTACAGGTGTGAGCCACCGTGCCCAGCTGAGAAAGTTTCTGTATGTTCCTAGTCTACTGAGTCTTTATTAGAAATGGAAGTTGGAGTTTATAAAAAATGGTTTTTTTTGCATCTACCAAGATGATCGTATGTGTTTTTCTTTTTAGCCTGTTAAGATGCTGAATTATAATGATTGATTTTCAACTGTTAAACCAACATTTGAATTGCTGAGACAAACCCCATTTTGACATAATGTCATTCTGTTTATATTTAGTTGGATTCAACTTGCAAGTATTTTGTTAAGAATTATTGTGTCCATGTTCATGAGAAATATTGGTCTGTAACTTTCTTCTGTGATGTTGTTTTCCAGTTTTGGTATCAGGGTAATGGCAGCCTCAGAAAATGAGTTGAAAAATTCTTTTCACTTCTATCTTTGGGAAGAGTTTCTGTAGAATGGATACAATATCTTCCTTAAGTGCTTTGGTGGAATTTTCCAGAAAAGCCATCTGGGTCTGGAATTTTCTTTGTGAAAGGTTTTTAAACTACAAACGCAATGTCTTTAACAAATGTGTGGCTATTCAGAGACCTATTAATTCTTGAGAGAGCCTCAGGGGTTTGCATGCTTCAAAGAATTTTCCAGTTCACCTAGGTCGTCAAATTTGTTGGCAAAAAGTTGTTCAGAATATTCACTTGTTATCCTTTTCATGTCTGTGGGATCCATAATGTTGCCTCTCATCCTCGACATTAGTTATATGTATTTTCTCTCTTTTTCTCCTGATCAATCTGGCCAGAGGTTTAGTCATTCTGTTGATTTCTTAAAAAAACAACTTTTGTTTTCATTGATTTTTCTAGTGTTTTAATGTTTTCATTTCACTAATTTCTGTTCTTATCTTTATCATTCCCTTTCTTCTGCTTAATTCGGATTTTTCTCTTCCTTTTTTCTTGTTCCGTAAGGTAAAGCCTGAGGTTATTGATTTGAGACTTTCTTCCTTATAACATAAGCATTTCATGCTATAACTTCCCTCGAACCATCGCTTTAGCTGCATTTTTATATGCCATGTTTTCACTGTATTCAACTTAAAACATTTACCGATTTCCATTGTGATTTCTTCTTTAACTCATGGATTACTTAGGAGTTTGTTGTTTAGTGTCCAAAGGTTTGGTGATTTTCTTGGCATATTTCTGTTATTGATTTCTAATTTAATTCCATTGTGGTCAGAAAATATATTTGGTAGGATTTCAGTTCTTTAAAAATTGCCTGAGACTTGTTGATTGCCCAAAACATATTTTCTTTTGATAACTGTTTTGTGTTCTCTTAAGAAGCGTGTGTATTCTGCTGTTGTTGGGTGGTGTGTTGTATAAATGTCAAGTTCATTGTTACTGTCATTCAGATCTTCTATATCCTTACTGATTTTCTGTCTGCTTTTGTCAATTACTGGGAAAGTAGTGTTGAACTCTCCAACTACAGTTATGTATTTGTTAATTTCTCTTTGCAGTTCTATTGGTTTTTGTATCACACATTAAGATTATTATGAACTCTTGAATAATTGACCTCTTTATCATTACAAAACTACCCACTTTATTCCTGGTAATATTCTTTTCTCTTAAATCTATTTTGCCTGATATTAGTCTGATCATAGACACTCCAGCTTTCTTTTAGTTAGTTTTAATGTAGTTCATCTTTTTCTGTGTTTTTTACTGTTTGTCTATCTGTGCCTTTATAGTTATGTGTAATGGGTTTCATGAAAGTATAGTGGGTTTCTTGTAGGCACTGTATAATTGGGTCTTGCTTGGTCTTCTGTTTGACAATCTCTGCCTTATAATTGGTGAATTTGCACAATTTACATTTTGATTATTAATTTTGTTCAGTTTAATTCGATTGTCTTAATACTTATTTTCTATTTGGCCTGTCTGTTTTTAGTTCCCCTTTTCTCTTTTCCTTCCTTCTTTTCGGATACAGTAATATTTATGATTACATTTTACCCTTGTGTTGGCTCATCAGCTCTACTTCTTTGTTTTATGTGTATATGTGTGCTGTTATTGTTGTTTGGTGATTACTTTAGGTATACATATTTAACTTAGGTGTATATATTTAACTCACTTTGGTGGTATATGTATTTAACTTATCACACTCTCCCTTCAAATAATATTAGATTATTTCATGAGTTAATATAAGAACCTCATCACAATGCACTTCCACTTTCCCCTACCCTAGATTTTGGGTTATTTTGTTATACATTTTATTTCTACATGTAAGTCCCAAAATACATTGTTATTATTTTTGCTTTAGAAAGTTACATATCTTGTAAAGAGTTTTTTTTTTTTTTTTTTTTTTTTTGAGACAGAGTCTGGCACTGTCGCCTAGGCTGGAGTGCAATGGCACGATCTCGGCTCACTGCAACCTCTACCTCCTGGGTTCAAGCAATTCTCCTGCCTCAGCCTCCCGAGTAGCTGGGATCACTGATGCATGCCACCATTCCTGGCTAATTTTTTGTGTTTTTAGTAGAGACTGGGTTTCACTATGTTGGCCAGGCTGGTCTTGAACTCCTAACCTCGTGATCTGCCCAGCAAAGCCTTTTATATTTTCCTACATGATAGCCATTTTTGGTGTTCTTCATTCTTTGGAGTAGATACAGATTCCTTCTGGTATAATTTTCCTTCTACTTGAAGGACTCCCTTTAACATTTCAATCTGGACTGCTGGTGATCAATTCCCTCTGATTTAAAAGGTCTGAAAAAGCCTCTATTTCACCTCCATGTTTGAAAGATATTTTCATTGAGTGTTACTTTTTAGGTTGACTTTTTTTTCCCTTTCAATAAAGATGTTGCACCATTTTCTTTTGGCTTGGGTTATTTCCAACATGAAGCCTGTTGTCATTCTTTTCTTTGTTTCTCTACATAATGTGTCTCTTTACTCTGCTTTTATGAGTTTTCAGCATTTGGTTATTATGCAGCTTGGTGTAGTTTTCTTCCTGTTTCTTTTTTTCTGCTTAGGGTTCACTGGGACTCTTGGATCTGTAGATTTATCATTTTCATCGAATTTGGAAGCAAATTTGGTTATGAAGTCTTCAATTTTTTTTTTCTGTTCCATTTCTGTCTCCCCGCTCCCTAGGACTCAGTTACACATGTGTTAGGCCACTTGATGTTGTCCCACAACTCAATTATCCTCTGTTCATTTTTTCCCCAGCAATTTTCCACTGTTACATTTTGCATAGTTTCAATTGCCATACCTTTATATTCACTAATCTTTCCTTTTGCAGTGTTTAATCTTCCGTTAATCCCATTTAATCTGCTGTTAATCTTATCTAATCTAGTGTATTTTTTATCTTACACATTTTATTTTTTAACTCTTAAAAGCTCAATTTGGGCCTTTTAAAATATATTCTACTTGTTTCTTTTTCTTTTCTTTTTTTTTTAAATTTTGAGATGGAGTCTCACTCCATCACCCAGGCTGGAGTGCAGTGGTGTGATCTCGGCTCACTGCAACTTCCACCTCCTGGGTTCAAGCAATTCTCATGCCTCAGCCACCCAAGTAGTTGGGATTACAAGCATGCACCACCCTGCCCAGTTAATTTTTGCATTTTTAGCAGAGAGAGGGTTTCATCGTCTTGGCCAGGTTGGTCTTGAACTCCTGACCTCAGGTGATCCACCTGCCTCAGCCTCCCAAAGTGCTGGGATTAAAGGTGTGAGCCACCATGTCTGGCCCATTTGTTTCTTTTTCATACTTAGGATTTCTGCTACCTTCTCGAACATATACCTATTTTACCACCTATTTTACTCATTCTAACATCAGATCATTTCTAGATTTGTTTCTATTGATTTATTTTTCTTCTTCTTATGGGCCATGTTTTCTTCCTTCTTTTTATGCCCGGTAATTTTTGATTGGATGCCAGACATTGTAATTTTACTTTGTTAGGTGTTGGAGGTTTCCTTTTCCTTTAAATGTTTTTTGGCCTTGTTCTAAGACACAGTTAAGTTGCTCAGAGACAGTTTGGTCCATTCAAGGTTTACTTTAAGCTTTGGAGGCAGATCCAGGTCAAATTTAGTCTAGAGCTAATTTGACCCCACGACTGAGGCAACACCCGTCTGAAGACTCTATGTTCTATCAATAGGAGGTCTTTCTACTCTGGCTAGTGGGAAGATAAACTATTTTCATTCCTCAGTAAGGTTGTTCTGCCTCTTCTTTTCTGATTGCCCTTTCCTCAGTCTTGGCAGTTTCCTCAAGCTCATGCACTCAGTCCTTAGCTAAAGATTGGAGTAGAAAACCTCTGCAGATCTCTAAAAGTCTTTCTGTCTGTGCAGCATTCTCACCTCTGGTGTTCTCCACTGTGAATTGTAGGTGTCTTTTGTTCCCTGAGCTCTGTGTTCCAACTCAGAGAGATTGTTGGGCTCGCTTTGGATTTTCCTTCCTGGGAATACAGCCTGGAAATTCTCTCCAGGGGCTGTCAGAGGGCTCACTTGACTTGCTTATGTTTGCTTTGGGCTCATTCCTCTGAGCTACCTTTCATCCAGTGTCTGAAAACCGTAATTTCGTGTGTGTATGTGGGTGTGTGGGTGTGTAGTGTAAGGTTGGGGGTGTGTGTGTGCATGTGTGTGTGTAGTGTAAGGTTGGGGGTGTGTGTGTAGTGTAAGTTTGGGTGTGTGTATGTGTGCGTGTGTGTGTGTGCATGCGTGCATGTGTGTGTGTGTGTAGTGTAAGGTTGGAGGGTAAATCTGATCCCTGTTACTCAATTTGCCAGGCAATGGAAGTTCTTAGCTTGACTTCTCAGAAGGGAACAGACAAGCAGGCCGAGCCTTCTTTGGCATTTCCCCTTTTCTCCTTCCTGCTATCTGGAATGAAGATGTAATAGCTGGAGTTCCAGGATCTTTCTTAGACCAGGAGGTTTTCTGAGGGATGGAAATTACATGCTGAAGATGTGGGAAAAGACAGACGGGTGGAAGGATCAGGGTCCTTGATGATTCGCCACCCCAGCCCTGGATGGCTGATCTCCCAAGTTATTTTACTGGAGAAAATAAATCCTCGTGTGTTGAATCCTGTGCTATTCTATGCCTCTTGTTTTGCAGCCAAACCTAGTTCTAATGGACGCAGAAGCCCCCACCCCAAAACATCCTAATTTCTCTCCCCGGTGTCCAGCCAGAGAGCACCCAGAGGATGACGACCCACAGCAGGGAGTGACAAAGCTGGCTCAGTTTCTGTGATGACCCCTTCCCCTGCTCAGCCAGGACTCGATGCCAGCAGGCGGCAGCTGCCACTGCTCTCCAGGACCCCTCCCGCCCCTGCTGTACCCGGCTTTCTTCCTCCCTGTTGCTTCCCACATCTTGTTGCGGCTTCCTCCTCTCGGAGTGGCGGCCCCTCCCCTGGCCAATCTCCCTGGCTGAGGTCTTGGCATCCTTCCTCTAACCCATGGTGCTTGCCCACAAGTGGCCTTTGTTCCCGGTCCCGCCTCTCTATCCTGCCCTTGCTCCTCAAATACCATCTCCAGCCTTCGTCCAGCCCTGCTGGGCCCACACACCTTGCAAGGAGCAGTGGTGGGGACAGTGCAGTCTGTAGCCCTGTGGAATGCAGTCGTGGGTGGGGGCAGTGGCATGACTGGTGCAGGGGTGGAGCCATGGGGGTGGTTTGGCAGTTTGGTGGGTAGTAGAGGCAGTGCAGGGAGTCCCGGTGGTGGGGTGGGGTGCAGTGCAGGGGTGTGACTTTGGCGTGGACGATGTGACTTCCCTCTCACTCCTGCCTCCCACAGGCTGCTGCCCCTGGCAAGGGTGGCCAACATGTGGGGTGTTGCCACCTGATACCCTTCCCCTCACCCCCTTGCCCGTCCTTCCATCTGGCTAAGAGAACCCTGATTTGCTCTGATCACCTTGTTTCTTGCATATGGCCACCAAGCCAATCGTGGTGCCATTGGTCTTGCCAGCAACGGTTCAGGATGGGCATGGAGGTGGCTGGGGCAGTCCCGAGGAGATGGGAGGAAAATGCGCTGGCGAACTTCCCCCATCAAAGAGACTCATAGGACAGACACTGTCACTGCTCCCTGAGGTGTGTTAACACGTGCAGGCGAGGTCTGGAACCAAGGGCCACCTTGGGACATGTGGGATGGAGCCACCAAGGCTGGGAGAGCAGATTGGGGAAGGACCCCAACCCCAATGAAGCCACCGAGGTGCTGAGATATCCCATCTGCACGCCTTCCTTAGAAAGCAGGCCCTCCTCATCGCTGTGATGCGGGGACGAGAGTCACCACCTGCCTGCGTCATCAGGAGGAGCAAAGGGCTCACGGAGGGGGCTCCCAGGACAGGCTGTGGACACACTATGTGCCCCAGAAGGACTTGTTTTCCTTCCTTGAAGTGGGGGTGGCGGTGGCAAGAGAATATGGGTCCCAGATGGTCCCCACCTCACCCTGGGGCACAGAGACTTCAATATTATTTGTAGTGTTTCTATATTTTGCTCTAAAAAAGGGAAAGAGTTGAAACAATCAGGACAGAATGCTAGTGATTGTCCTTTCTGTGTGGCGGGCGCACAGCTGTGCGCGCTTTGTTCAGCGGACTGTTCCGAAATGAAATAAAACGAAACGCAGAGCCGCCCTCCCCCCACCCCCCGTGCCCGGTCTGCAGGCCTGCGGGTGCTGCGTGGCGCGGCGGAGTGTCCCCTGCTCTGGTTTCAGGATGGCTCAGCCCAGCGTCCTCCCCGTCCCTGTCCTTGCCAGCGTTGCCAGCTCACGCTCCTCCCTGCAGCCCTCGTGCTTGGAGCAGAGGAGCAGATGGCGGCTCCGAGGGCCACCTGGGTGCCCTAGACACTTCTCTTTTCCCTGCACCATGCAGGGCCTGTGGCCTGCCAGCAGCTCCGGGTGAGGCTGTGGAAGCTGCTATGGGCTGAGAGATGGAGAGGTCCTGGTCTCCACAGGGAGGAGGGAATCAAGGGGAAGGTTCACCCTCTTTGCTTCTCTCCCGCAAGCTGCTGTGCAGCCCCCTGGCTCTGTGGGTGTTGGGGAAGGGGGGTGCTATCAGGAAATCCAGTGTAACTAGGGGTTCTGTCTTACAGTTTGGGCTTCAAGGGATGTCCCCAGCAGGGCCCCAAAGAGCAGCTGTCAGGCCCAACACATGAGCAGTGTCAGGAGGCCTCAACCCACCTCTGCCCAGTAGGTGCCCCCATTCCAACCAGTGTCCTGGATCTCCCTCGGGCCTTGCTGCTTGTCTCTGCCATTGTCAGAGCCCGGGGAGTTCCCACCCCTCCTGGGTGCTGGGTCCACGAGGGGACTCAGCAAAGGGTGACTTTGAGCCAGCTCAGAGCAGAGGGGCTGGGGGCTGGGGGTATGGAGGGAAGGGGTCTGCAGGGCAGGGGGCGGGTGGCCCAGAGTGTGGGTGGGAGCAGGTTTGAGGAGGGTGGATGCATGTCCAAGGGGGAAAAGGAGAGCTGGGTTTGTCCTGCTCTGGGTCTCAGAAAGTCTGAATGACTTGGATGAACCACCCTGTCTTCCAGCCTCAGGTTTAGCCTTTTGTAAAATGGTCCTGTTATGGAGGACTTGGGGTTACTGAAAGAACACAAGACACCCTGGTGCTTTATTCAATAAGTGCCGCCCCTTCCTGCCTCTGGGGCAGGCTGGTCACTGGCTCTGAGCACCAGGCATTCAAGACGCCTTGCTGCTGGCTCTGGCCATTTACTTGGTCTCTGTTTGGGCTTATCTGGGGCCTTGTGGCCACCAGGCCACCCACACGCTGAGCAGCCCGCCACCCTGAAAGCTGGGCTCTGGTGTCCCGTGTATACCTTCTTTGTCCTGAACTGCCTGCACCAACCTGTCAGGAGCGCAGGGTAATGTACCGGTTAGGTGCTGAATGCAGGATGGCTATTTCACTGTTGTTACGGAGAGGAAAACCCAACAGTTCTCACCCCCATCCTCCTTGCCAACGTCTCTGGAGGCACGAACATGTTAACTGTGTTAGGCAAAGTTGGAGATTTCTAAGCTCCACAAGCCCCAGTCCGCCCAGCCTCCACCTTCCTCCCACACACCTCTCTCCCCCGCCGCAGCTCCCCGGCGAAGAGCGACTCCCAAGGTCTCCAGGCTTTGCAAAGTGATCATCGTGGGCTGCGTTGCCGGAGGTTTTCTTCACACTGAAATTATCCAGAGGGAAGGCGAGAGCCCCTGCGTGTCCTCTGTGGGCGTGCTTGTCAAACGGATGCTGACGGAGTGGGCCCATGTGTGTGGATAACGCCCACCTTTTTGCTGCCCTCACCTTGCCTCTGGGGCCTGTGGTTATAACTGAAGGCCCCTGCCTGCCTAGCTGACCACTTGGTCATTCAAGGCGCCTCTGTGGTGTCCTCAGGGCGTCATAGTAGCTGAGCCAAGAGTGACTTTGCTGCAGCAAGAAGCAGGAAGCCAGCTGAGCTTCTCAGCCTCCTCTCCACCCACCCACTGGCTCCAGACTGGAAAGCGCGTGTTCTTCCTGTCCATTCAGTGAATCTCATATTTCACATTCCCGCTCTTGGGTCTCAGGCAACCAGAGGGATGCCCTATTTGTCAGGACTCTTTAGGTTGCAAAGAACAAAGAATACAACTCCTGGTGGCTTCAACATAAAGGAAATATATTGGCTTATGTAAATGAAGAGTTAGAAGCTTCAGGTAAGGCTTGATCCAGCACCTCAAAAGATTGTCACCACAGACGCAGCTGTACTCTGTCTCTCTTCATTCTTGGGATCCAAATGGTGCCCCCAGCATGCCCAGACACTCCCCTCTTGGGAGTAAAATGTCTGCCCAGACTGCAAGCTCATACCCTTAGGTCTCCTCACCACTCCATTCTGGGGAAGAAAGGATCAATTTCAGTAACGCCAGACAGTCCTGAAATTGCCTCTTTTATTGGCTAAAAGTAGGTCACATGCCCGTTCCTAACCAATCCCTGTACCCAGGGGTGGGAGGTGCTGATTGACTTAAGCCAATGGTGGCCACGTTTAGAGTGGAGTTAGAGTCAGTTGTGGAGAGTCAAGTCTCAGTTGGCCAGAGAAAGGAGAGGTGACCAGTGATTGTCCACTAGAGTCACCTAGCCCGGGCAGCACAGGCAATACACTGTCATTTATTGAGCACCTGTGACATACAGGAGCTATCTGCTGCCTTCATGGGTACAGTCCCATTTAATCCTCATGACAGCCCTGAGAGAGGAGCACTCGGACTTCATCTTACCAGCAAGGAGGCTAAAGCTCTGAAGGGTGCAGCCACGTCACCACAGCCACGCAGCCACGTCACCACAGCCACGCAGCCACGGCCCCACAACTCAAAGGAACAGAATCGAGGTTGGTGCCTAGGTCTGGTTTTCCATTTACAGCAGGGGCTTTGTGCAAGTCCGGAGCTAAAAGCCAGCATGAACTAGATCCTCAGCGCTTCCTGAGCTATTTCCCCTGCCCACCCTGGAGGGTACCGGGGCTTGTGGGCTTCTAATGCAAGCACCTACGTTGCCCTGCTAAGGGCTTCTCTGGCCATGGTCCTGCACTTTGGCCTGCAGGCACTGGGCAGGCTGGAAGTGCCAGAGGTAACAGCTCTGGAGCAAACCCTCAACTCAGAAGGGGCGGGAGTGGTGGACAAATACCCTAGCCTCCTTGCCCTGCAGTGGGACAACTCCGAGGTGCGTTCTGTACCACTGCTTGGAGGGTCCCCAGCAGGCTAAGCCCCGGTCGCCACGGAGTCAACCTGCTCACTAACACCCCCACCCTGTCTCGCTTCCCCACTTTTGCACACGCTTCCTGGAATCACCTCCCACATAAGCCACTGGTACCCAAATGCTCGTCTCAGGGTTGGCTTTGGGACTTCCAACTAAGACAGCAACATTTGGGGCCTGAACCTCCTGTGTCCAGGTACCATGTGCTACCAGGCACATTGGGCGTCGACTTTTTATTTAACTTCTGTGTGAGTGTTCCCTTTACTGGCTCAGGATCTGTGGGCAGGGCAAGGGGAGGAAGAGAGGGCCTGGCCCTCCAGGTCTAGTTGAGGCCATAGGTCAGCACACAATACCTGATCTGGTGTTTGATGGACACTTCCTTACACTCCCTACCTGATGCCTAAATACTACCTACAACTTTCCTACCCCAGTGATTCCACTCTGCTTGCATGCCCCTAGAGATGGGGAGCTCACTACTATTGCGGCAACCAGCACCATCTATAGATGCCCCTGACTGCTTGAAATGTATTAGCTACTTAACAAATACTGCATGTTGAGTAAATGACTAAACAAAATAATTATTTTAATATCAAATCTCCAAGTGGAAGACTGGGACAGCCAGAAACACAATAATGCTGGGAATGAAGGGAAGGCTTGCATTTAGGCTTCCGTAATCTAATTCAGTGGGCCAAATCTGGGTCACTGTCTGTTTTTGTCCATCCTGCAAACTAAGAATGGTTTCTACATTTTTAAATGGTTGGAAAAAAAGAAGAATATTTCATGTAAAATTATATGAAAATTATATAAAATTATATATAATATATGTAAAATTATATGAAATTCAAGTGTCCACAAATTGAGTGCTCCTGGAGCCCAGCCAAGCTCACTGGTTCCTGTCCCGTCTGTGGCTGCTCTGACATCCCAGTGGCAGAGTTGAGGTGACAGAGGCGGCTTGGCCTGTTTAGACAGAGCCTAAAATATTTACTATCTGTCCCTGAAAAAGTGTGCTGACCCCGGTCTGGCTCAGCCTCACCAGCAGTGGGACCCCCCCTTTATATTTGAGGAAACCGAGGCTCAGCAAGATCAGAAACTCAGGCAAGGATTTGAGGGGCCCAACGCCCAGGATGGGAAGACTGACCCCAGAGCCAGGGGACCTCCCTCAGCCCGGCGCTCAGGCCCTCTGAGAGGCGGGTCCTCCCTCCCATGTCCTCGCTGGTCCTGCTGGGTGGCTCTGTGCTGCGCAGGGTGGGTGCAATCAGAGGCTCATTGATGCGCCGGCTTTGCGCGTCAGAGAATCAACGTTGCTTCCCCGAGCAGCTGGTGAAGGCTGAAAAGTGGGTCAGGTCCCAGGAGGTGCAGGTCCGTTTTTAGCTTTCATTAGGGCTTCATTCATTAATTCCTTCGTTTAGTATTTACTGAGCAGCTACTCAGTTCCAGCCCCTGCCATGGGGACTGAGAACACGGGCAGGGCTCGATGGAGTCGGGGTGGGGGTCCCAGCCCTGAAGGGGCCTGCAGTCTGGCGTGTGGGGGCCAATTATAGAAACAAGCGTGAAGTGGGGGTGTGATCAGGTGGAGAAGTAGCCCCCCAGCACTCACGTTCAGCGGGGCAGATGAGTGGAAGATGAGAAGGGCTCCTGACATCTGAGTGTTGGCGGGATGGAGCGGCAGGGAAGGCTTGCCAGGCAGAAGGACCTGCGCTTGCAAAGGTGTGGAGGGGTGAGGGTGGCGGGGGGGGCTTGGGCCAGCTGACGCCTATGTGGTGTGGGGGGCTGGGGCTGTGAGGGGTGAGGAGGCTGCAGAGTGGGTGGACATGGGGGCTTCTGGGGGAAGAAAGCAGGCCCCACGTGCGGTAGCGGAAAGGGCCCAGTGACAGCTTTGGGATGGGGTCAGGGGCCAGGCCTGCCACTTAGGAAGGTCATCTTGGAGCCACAGTGTGGAGGGGGTCCTGGCAAGGCAGCAGGGACAGAAGGCACAGAGGGGATGAGGGAGAGAGAAGCCTGAGTAGAGTGGGTGAGCTGGGGCTGGGGCAGCAGCAGGCCGCAGGCTGGGAGGCTCCTGGGGCCCCTTGGAGTGGTTTGATGGCCTCCGAACCCAAGCACCCCTGCTCTCTGCTCCTGCCCCAGGGCTGGGGGAGGGCACGGGTGGGGACAGAGGTGTTGGTGCTGGGGTCCTCCAAAGGTGCATCGCCAACAGCCACGCACCCTCAGCCTCCCCACCAGGTCCCTCCTCTGCAAGGACCCGCTGTCCCAGCCCTGCCACCTTGGAGAGGCTCCCCTGCTGTGCCCTGTTTTCTGACCCGAAGTATCCATGCATTCCCAAGACCTTGCCCCTGGGGACCGGGCAGGCTCGTGGATCCCCCATCTGATTCTAAACCAAGGCCAGACGCAGGCCCCATCAGAGGACAGACTGGTATGGTCACTGCCATAGCCTTCACCGTGGCACCGGCTGGCAGAGGAGCATGGGGCGCTCGGGGTGGTCCTTTGGGCCTCTGGAGCTCTGGGCATCACAGAGCATGTCCTTGGAGCCTCCCTAGAGCCCTGGGCGTGTTCGTACCTTCTCTGCTCCACAATTCAGTCCATGCTGCTGTCCGCAGTCCTCATGCCCTTGATGGTGATTAATGGTTGATGTGTGTGTTCTCTCCGGAGGCTGGGCCCTTGGGCGCAGTTAGTACCCTCAGCCCTGTGGACCACCCCTCCTGTGTGCCCAGAAGCTGGTAATGGGGTTACCAGATAGCCAGGGTCACATGGACTTGGGTGACAGGCATTCTGGGGTGACCAGCTGGGCAGAAAATGGGCCTCCTGGAGCCAGGCCAAGGAAAGCAACCACCCCATTGGCTATGGGGTGAACCCACCCCAAGGCAGGGCCCAGGGAGCCAGGTGCACGGATGGAGCAGGCAGGGATGGGTAGAGCAGTGCAGAGGCCACGATTAGTGGCTGAGGAGGGGGTACTGAGGGGAGCAGGGGCCTGGTGGGGATGGGTGCGGTTGAACTGTGGTCACTCTCTCAGATGACAAACAGCGCCAGCTCCTGCCATGTCTCAAAGCCCCTCCTCACAATCCTGGGTCCCAGGTGGACTTTCCAGACCCCTCAGACTGTGCATGGCCCCCTCAGAGGCCATGAGCCCTGGTTCCTGACACCGTGGTGCAGGGTCCTATTGTGCAGGGTGGTGGCCCTCAGCTACCTGCTGCGTCCGTCCTCGAACCAGCCTCCCTCTCCCAGCCCTCTCCGCTGGGCTGTCCCTCCTGGGTGTGGCCCAGTGCCTTATTGGTGAGAAATCACCGTTGTTCCAGCTGTAAACATACAGTTGAGCCTGAATCATCGCTGCCAGCTGCCGTGGGGGGTAATAAGGGAGCGTGTGTCAGGGTTTCTAAGTTCTGCTGGGCGGGTGCACCTCAAGGAGGAGACACAAAAGCCTTGGGGAAGGCCCGCTCTCTTCTACCTGGCCCGCCTGGGGTAGGCAGGGTCCTTCTGGCACGGGAGGGGCAGCGTGGAGCCTCCGCTTTCACTTCCAGTTGCAGTCAAAGCATCTGGTTTGGGGGCCAGGCGCAGTGGCTCACGCCTGTAATCCCAGCACTTTGGGAGGCCGAGGTGGGCAGATCATGAGGTCAGGAGATCGAGACCTTCTTGGCTAACACGGTGAAACCCTGTCTCTACTAAAAATACAAAAAATTAGCCGGGCGTGGTGGCGGGCGCCTGTAGTCCTGGCTACTCAGGAGGCTGAGGCAGGAGAATGGCTGAACCTGGGAGATGGAGCTTGCAGTGAGCCGAGATCGCGCCACTGCACTCCGGCCTGGGCGACAGAGTGAGACTCTGTCTCAAAAAAAAAAAAAAAAAAAAAAAAAAAAAAAAAAAAAAAAGAAAGAAAGAAAGAAAGAAATTGAGCATATTGTTCTCTTTGTAAAGGAATAGAATTTCCTGCTATGAAGATTGAAAGTGACTTTAAGGATACCGCTGCCCCAGTTCATTTTACAAAGATCCCAAGGTCAATCCCCTCTAGAGAGGAAATATGATCTGGTTTTGGGGAGACATTCGTCAGACCATGGGGTGAGCCTCAATGTCGCCTTGAAGAGTGAGGCAGGTGCTAACCCCAGGGATCCCCCAGAGGTGTCTAGGCCCTCTAAGATGCATGCCTCCGGAAGACCCTGCCTCGGTTTCCCTCCAGCCACAGGCTGGTGGATGTCTCAAGAAGTGTCTTGGACAGGCTGGCTCACGCCTGTAATCCCAGCACTTTGGAAGGCCAGGGCAGGAAGATTGCTTGAACTCGGGGGTTCGAGACCAACCTGGGCAACATAGCAAGACCTCATCTCTCTCTTAAAACAAAAATGATGTGTCTGAAGGAGTCAGCCTCTTAGAGGAACTGCCCAAAGTCCTCACCCTCCCGGGTCTTTGTGCCAAACCAGCACTGTGGCTGGGGCTTCTCCTAGGCCGGGTCCTTCTCTGGGGCTTCCAGGAGTCTAAGGTGCTCTGAGGTTGAGACACAGGGCTGCGCAACCCCTTCCCTCTTCCCCCAGAAGCCTCCAGATGCTACTGTCCTCATTCATGCATCCTGTGGATTCAATCATTCATTCAACAATGATTTTTTTGCATACTTACTGTGTGCCAGGCTTTGCTATGAGGGCTGGGAACACAACAGTGAACAAAAGCCCTTGCCCTCACAGAGCTCACGTTCTAGTGGGGAAGACAGACAGTAAATCAACAAACAAGCTGGGGCGCGGTGGCTCACGCCTATAATCCCAGCACTTTGGGAGGAGGTCAGGAGTTTGAGACCAGTTCACTTGAGGTCAGGAGTTCGAGACCAGCCTGGGCAATGTGGTGAAACCCCATCTCTACTAAAAATACAAAAATTAGCCAGATGTGGTGGCGGGCACCATAATCCCAGCTACTTGGGAGGCTGAGGCACGAGAATCACTTGAACCTGGGTGGCAGAGGTTGCAGTGAGCCAAGATCACGCCATTGCACTCCAGCCTGGGCAACAAGAGTGAAACTCCGTCTCAAAAAAAAAAAAAAAAAAAAGAATCAACAAACAAAGCAATAATATGTCCGGGCATGGGGGTGTCTCTCCTGCCACTGTATTTGGACAAGGGGACTGCGGTTAGGGGAGGCGTCCAACACAGTAGCCACCAACCACACGTGCCTGCTGAGTCCTTGAGATGTGGCGAGTGCCACTGAGAATGGAATTGTACATTTTATTAAATTAATTTGACTTTACATAGCCACATGTGGCTGGCAGCTGCCGTATTGGACAGTGTGGCTCTAGAGGAGCACATGGACAGGAAAAGCTGTCACAGCCAGTTGGAAAGTACGATCTGTGGTCCTCAGTAGTAAGGGGTGGAGCCCGAAGTGACCCTGAGGCTGCAGACTCCAAGGTCCCCCCACCCCCGCCACCCCGTTCACTGTGGCGGAGGCCCTGAGTCAGATCAGCCCCTGGCTCCATCTGGAAGCTTTGGATTGGGAGATAGCTCTGCAGTAGAGCATTTGACTGCAGAAGCTTCCGATGCCCCAGTACAGGCCAGGGGCAGGAGCAGGTCTGGGGCAGAACAGGGGCTGCCATCACTTTGGCTTGGAAGGAGGGGAACAGGAGCCGACTCCACCTGCATCCAGGTAGCTTAACTCTCAGCACTCAGAACTAAGACCACTCATCAACATGCTGTAACCCTTTGTCTTAGGAGATTCTGGTCCAGGAAGATGAGACTGTAAATCAGCGACTTGCTTCCTTGTTTGCTCTGGACACTGTTTTCGCTGTAGTCTATCCTTTTCAAAATGATTGATCGATTGATTGATTGATTGATTGAGATGGGGTCAGGCTCTGTTGCCCAGCTGGAGTTCAGTGGCATGATTTTGGCTCACTGCAACCTCTGCCTCCCAGGCTCAAGCAATCCTCCCACCTCAGCCTCCTGAGCAGATGGCACCACAGGTGGGCGCCACCACACCTGGCTAATTTTTTTGTATTTTTAGTAGAGACAGGGTTTCACTATGTTGTCCAGGCTGGTCTCAAACTCCTGAGCTCAGGAAATCCAACCCCTTCAGCCTCCCAAAGTGCTGGGATTACAGGCTTGAGCCACTGTGCCCGGCCTATCCTTTTTGAGACAGGGTTTTGCTCTGTTGTCCAGGCTGGAGTGCAATGGCACGATCACAGCTCATTGGGACCTAGAACACCTGGCCTCAAGCAATCCTCTGGCCTCAGCCTCCTGAATAACGGGGACTACAGGTGTGTATCACCATGCCCAGCTAATTTTTGTATTTTTTGTAGAGACGGGATTTCTTTATGTTACCCAGGCTGGTCTTGAACTCCTGTCTTGAAGAGATCCTCCTGCCTCAGTCTCTAGCCTGTCCTTTATAAGCAAGTCATGGTGCCACCCACACTTGAGGGGTGGGCATGACACAATAACATGAATACCAAAAGCCACAGGATGATGTATAAAAATCAAGTTATCAGCCAGGTGCAGTGGCTCATGCCTGTAATCCCAGCACTTTGGCAGGCCGAGGCAGGTGGATTGCTTGAGGTCAGGAGTTTGAGACCAGCCTGGTCAACATGATGAAACCCCGTTTCTACTAAAAATACAAAAATAAGCTGGGCGTGGTGTTGGTACCCATGGTCCCAGCTACTTGGGAGGCTGAAGCACGAGAATCGCTTGAACCTGGGAGGTGGAGGTTGCAGTGAGCCGAGATCACTCCAGCCTGGCGACAGAGCGAGATTCTGTCTAAAAAAAAATTTTTTTAAATCAAATTATCTCTGCAGTGGGTTGCTCGAACTGTCCCCTTCACAGGACAGTGAGTGCCCATGGGGACCAGCCTCTCAGGTCGGTGGGTCCCTCAATGGGGTAACTGCTCATTATCAAATGGGACTCACTTTAAGACTTACCCTTGGCACTGAGTCTACCCATCCTAAGCTGTTGTATATCAAAACCTGTGTCAAAAAAAGAAACAGAATTACCATTTGGTCCAGCAATTCCACTTCCAGGTATATATACACAAAAGAAGTGAAAGCAGGCATGCACCAACAGATACTGGTACATCTGGGTTCACAGCAGCATTATTCACAATAGCTAAGAGGCAGAAACAAATGAGTGTCTGTTGAGGGATGGGTGGGTAAACAAAAAGTGGTCCATCCATCCAATGGAATATTATTCAGCCTTGAAAAGGAAGGAGATTCCAACACAGGCTACAGGGTGGACAAACCTTGAGGACATTGTGCTAAGTGAACTGAGCCAGTAACATAAGAACAAGTCCTGTATGATCCCACTTGTAGGAGGTACCCAAAGTGGTCAAATGCATTGAGTCAGAAAGTAGAATAGTGATTTCCAGGGGCTGGAGGGAGAGGGTAGAGGGGGCATTGCTTTACAGAGACAGAGGTCCCTCAGCTTGAGGAAACTGAAAAAGTTGAGGGTGATGATGTTTGCACAATGTGAATGTACTTTTTTGTTTTGTTTTGTTTTGAGACGGAGTCTCGCTCTTTAACCAGGCTGGAGTGCAGTGGCGCAATCTCGGCTCACTGCAACCTCCACCTCCCAGGTTCAAGCGATTCTCCTGCCTCAGCCTCCTGAGTAGCTGGGACTATGGGTACACGCCACCACACCCAGCTAATTTTTGTATTTTTAGTAGAGACGGGGTTTCACCATGTTGGCCAGGATGGTCTTGATCTCTTGACCTCATGATCCACCCGCCTTGGTCTCCCAAAGGCTGGCATTACAGGCGTGAGCCACTGCACCTGGCCTCAATGTGAACGTACTTAATGTCACTGAACTGTACACTTAAAAGTGGTTAAAACGGTATCTTTTATGTTATATATATATATATTACCACAATTTAAAAAAATTCTTTATTTTTATTTTTATTTTTTTGAGATGGAGTCTCAATCTGGCACCCAGGCTGGAGTGCCGTGGTGCCGTCTTGGCTCACTGCAACCTCTGCCTCCCGGGTTCAAGCAATTCTCCTGCCTCAACCTCCCGAGTAGCTTGGATTACAGGTGCCCACCACCACACCCGGCTAATTTTTGTATTTTCAGTAGAGACAGGGTTTCACCATTGTTGGCCAGGCTGTTGTTGAAATCCTGACCTCAGGTGATCCGCCGCCTTGGCCTTCCAAAGCGCTGGGATTACAGGCATGAGCCACTGTGCCCGGCCAATTCTTAAAAATTCTAAGAGAAAAAAACAAAACAAAAAACCTTTGCCAATCTCCATATTGAAAGGCCTGCTTTGAACTCCTCCAGCCCAGACCCCCAAGCCCTGTAAGTGTTAGCCCTGCCCTCCTCTCCTGGGACCTGACCCAGATCCTTAAGCAGTAGCTGGCAGGAGGTAGTCAGCTCCGCCTTGCCTCGGAGCAATGGTTCTGTTGGTCTTTTTGGGGAATAAGCAGCAGTCACATGGCTACATTGCTGCTCAGGAGTTTGAGACCAGCCTGGGCAGCAGAGTGAAACCCCGTCTCTACTAAAAACACAAATACAATACTGAGATATTGTGGCCCGGGATTTCCATGTGGAAGCTGCTCTCTGAATGAAGACGGCCCAGGAGGTTGCCTGTCTGCCCTAGGCTATTGGACACCACATCCCCAAAGAAATCTGCGATTGTGCCGGCCAGTCCGCAATGCAGTCGCTCCACGTGGAGGCTGGGCCAGACATACGGGAGGACACAGGATTGAAGAGCCGGCCAGAGTGGACAGGGCAGCAGAAGAAAGATGGGGTGCACAATGTTGGGGGACCCTGGACAGCACCTGTGGATGTAGCCGCTGCTCCTGACAACTTCTGGAAGATTCCACAGACCCACGGAATGATGGCCAGCAGCACACGTGGATGTGGCTGTGCCGGTTGGTTGATTGGTTGGTTGTAGAAAAGAATTTTGCCTTGCCCAAAAAAGAGTTCAGGTCTTTGCTTTCAACTCCTGGGAGGTGACCTCTAGGTCCTTGGAATGTCCTGCCAAAGAGTGTCTTCTCCCTGCAGGCTTTGGGCCAGACCAGCAAGTCTAACAAGGTGATTTGAGGTGGGCAGTTTGAGTCACACGGTAACACGGTATCAGCTGGATGTCTGGGGGAAGCTTTTGACTGGGGTCTCCCAGGTAGATGATTGACGGTAGAGGCCCCAGAGAAGATCCTGAGCTGAATGCCAAAGCTTGGGCGAGCTTCCCTAGTTGACAAAACCCCATGTCACAGGAAGTAACACTGTCCATGACCCCATGGGGAGAAGACAACGGGAAGCCCCGTGTCTGGAACTTTCCTGAACTCTGCCCCATGTACCTCCTCCCTCAGCAGAGTCTAATCTGTCCCTTTCATAAGCTCACTGTGAGCATAGCAGCTTTCAGTGAGTTCTGTGAGTCCTTCCATCAAATTTTGAAAACGAAGCATGGTCTTGGGAACCTCCAAACCCTCAGCTGGTGTCAGAAGTGAGGGTGAACTTGTGGACTGTCCCTTATGTCACAGCGACTCTCTGATTGGCAGATGTCCATGCAGAACGGAGTGCTGGATATGTTGACTGTCACCTTGGTGAGCAGGATTTTGAGAAAGAGCAGTTGATGTCGGTTCCCTCTTATAGGTTATCCTAGAGTAGTTGAGAGAGAGAGAGCAAGAGAGAGAGAGAGAGCGAGAGAGAGAGAGCGAGAGAGAGAGAGAGAGAGAGAGAGAGAGAGAGAGGAGACTTCCTGCCTCAGCTCAGAGCTCACCGGGTAGCTGCTTCCTGGTAGATCT
This sequence comes from Homo sapiens, assembly GCF_000001405.40. Lineage (NCBI taxonomy): Eukaryota > Metazoa > Chordata > Mammalia > Primates > Hominidae > Homo > Homo sapiens. The sequence goes on from NC_000014.9 coordinate 100,617,535, forward strand.
GTGTTAGGGTGCCACCCTGGAAAGTTGGAGTGAGGGAAAAGGGGAGTGGGGGAGGCTGTGCACAGGAGAGCGCAGGAGAAGCACAGCCTTTGTTCTGTCTCCTGGGATGACTTCAGAGGCTGCCTGAAAATTCTTATGTGGAGCATGTGTATGGGCGGTGGGAGGGAGAAGAAATGATCCCAAACTCTTGTCTCCTATTGGTCAAAGCAACTGGGGAGATCCCTAACCTCTAGAGAAACTGGAGTGACAGATGCTGGTTCCCCTTGGTGTGCGTGGGAGGGAGGCAGCCTGGGTTAGAAGCTGCGTTTTGCGGGAGACCTGGCAGGCTGGACTGGACAGGGCTTCCTGGGCAAGAACTCCTGGGGGCACCCGGCTTCCTTCCGGCTGTCGAACTTCCTAAATGAACATCCAACATATCCTTCTTATGAGGAAGAGAGAAGCCTTAAGGACTTTGGTCCCTGGGATGGGACCAGAACCAGTAGAGTTTGAGCTAAAAACAAAGACCGCCTTAAGGAGGGCCGGCTTTCAGAAAGCCTCGCTTGTTTGGGAACCTTCCTAAAATAACACTGTTCGAAAGCTAAGACAAGAGCTCAGTTGTGCAAACCATAGGGAGTTTTAATCTGTGTGCCTGCTTGCGCCTGCCAGCTCGGCACGTGCTCGGAATCGGAGGCCAGTCTCTGGAGGGTTCTCTGCTGGAGTGGCTTGAATGAGGCCTTCATGCAGAAGCAGATCCCACCCTCACTTCTCTGAAGGATGATAGCAGGCTCCAGGGCCCTGAGTGGGGCACTGATCAAATGCGTGGGTCCTTCTTAGGATCTTTTTAATGGGTTGCTCCTTTTTAAATGATGCTCAGTTCTCAGTGGGCGTCTCTGCCCTTCTGAAAGACGAGGCTGCCTCCTGCCCACCCTCATCGTAGGCAGCCAGGGTCCTGGCACGGGGAGGGAGCTGCCACTGCCGAGGAGTGTCTCTTCCTGTGAGCAGCTGCGGCTGGCTGCCCAGAGCTTTCTGGGGAAGTAGGATCAGAGCTGTGGCTCTGATGGGGTTTTCTCTGCCCTGGCGGGAGGGGTGAGAAAAATGAAGAAGTCAGGTCACTGCTACTCTTCCTGGGAGGAAGACTGGGGGAAACGTTATAATGTTTTGGCTCAAATCCTCTTTGTGAGAAGGTTCTGTGAGTCCAGAAAGGATAGGGTCACCATCTGACTTCTAAGGGTGATTGGACTTTGGGTGCCAGTAGAGCCTCCCAAGATTCTGCTGCCAGGGGAGGGTGGTGGGGGTTGGTCACAGCAGGAGCTGACATTTTCTGTCAAATGCTGCCTTGTTTGTCATTGCACCCAGAAAATTAATGGTGGTAGCAGGAGCAGTTTCTGCCAGCCAGGCTCGCTGCTAAGCACACGAGCGCCTTTAAGCCTCACCGCAGCCCTTATCCTCACTTCCAAATGCACCGTGCTCTAAACATTGAGAACGTTTTCCTAAGCTTGGCAGCACAGCCAGATGTGATTCGACACAAGGCTATTTGTGATCTTTATTGATCCCTTGGAGTCAATATGCACACATCACACTGGGAGATATGGATGTTTGATTAGGAAGTGCTATCCCGGCCCCTGGGGGTTGTTATGTAATAGATGGTATAAGTGCCATGTGACCTGTCTGAGAGCCACACAACTTGAATTTCTAGTAGACATCTGGCCTTGAGGCTTCTGGAGAAGGGACTTGGGACCTATATTCGCCTTATTTTATAGACATGTCATTTGAAGCGTTGGAGTCAGGAAGAGAAGCTGAAGCTGGGATTTGCTCCCAGCTCCGTGAGACCTGAAGCTGGGGCACTTTGCAAGCCTTCCATGCAAAACCCAGTCTGGCTCTGAGGTACAGGCTCAGTTTGCTCAAAGGAAAGATTTCTCCAGTGTTGTCTGGATTTGTGTGGCCGTCAGAAGAGCACAAGGCGTGTCAAGTTCATGCAATGCCACTGACAATGAGTGAACACTGCCATCACCGTCACAGTTGCCATGATGATCTCGCCTGAGCCTCACAGCCCTGGGAGTGGGCGGCATCACCCCCATTTGACAGGGATACTCAGGACCCTGGTGACAGGCTTACAGGTCACCCGACTGGGAGGGGAAGTCGGGGATCCAGGCTTTGCCCAACATTTGCAGCAGTTTCCCCTACACTCCTGGAGGCAGGGGTGACTTATGAAATGAGACTAATTTGGAAGCTGCTGGATAACTAGAGATAGGAGTGACCTGGGCCCTGCCGCCAGGGAGCCCAGTCTAGTTCAGGAGCAGAGCTGCAGCAAGCTGAGGGCAGAGATCACCTAAGACAGCACATCTCCAGGGACCCTTCAAGGGCTGTGAGCCCAAGGGACCCTGGCTGGAGGCTGGGGGCGCCTGTGGCCTCTCTCCTGTGCACCCTCCCTGTGGTCCTGAGCCCTGAGGGAAAGGCTGGTCCAGGGAGGCCTTGCCTGGGAGGGGTGGAGAAGAAGCAGCTAAGGTTGGTGCTCTCCTGCCAGGAGCTGTCAGCACCTCTGGCTTCCAGGCCCCCCCTGCAATTTAGGGGAATGGCTGGGACTGGCTTTCTGCAAGTGCTAATTTTCAGCTGTTGCGTTCATGTGGAACCTAAAATTAATTAGCTCCTACATGAGCTCCAGCCTGAGTGCATAAAAAGGATCCTCATTAGGAAAACTTCACCCTTTGGTTGACAGGAGGCTGGCAGCTGGAAGTCAGATCTATAGAGCAGTAACGGTGCAGTGGCTCGGCCAGGAGAAGTCCCACTTGCCCCTAACCCTTCAGGTCATGCCTGCCTCCCCGAGAAAACTGGGTGCTTCCAAAGCCCATTACCACCCCGCAGGTGTTCCTGAGTGTGGACCTAATCGCAGGCTTTGAGGAACCCTGGCCTATGCAGTAGGAAGCCCTAGAGGATGTCATTTGGACGGGATGTCAGAGAAGGCCCATTTAAGGTGACTTAGGTAGTGACATTTAAGGAGGAACCCCCAGTAGGAGTTAGCCAAGCAGGGGACAGAGGGAACAGCTTTCCAGGCGGGGGAACAACCCTTGCAAATACCATGAGTTGAAAAAGAGCTTGGCAGAGAGCCAGGGTGTCTGGAGCACAGAGAATGCAGCAGAGTGGTGGAGACCTGAAGGTGGCAAGGGACAGTCTAGACCGGGCTTTGGAGGCCAGCAGGAGCGTTTGATCTTTATTCTAAGAACTGTAGGGATCTAGAAGGGTTTGGGCAGGGAGAAGACTGGACCAGGCACCTTCCAAAAAGACTCCCTCCCCCAATGCTCTCTCCAAAGAGGGAAGAATCCCCCCAGCCCCTTCCCCACCCGCCGACAGCATCTAGCGCCACTGCCATCGTCACTGTGGATAATTGCTAGGTGTGCCGGGCAAGTGTTTTCTCTTCTGCTGAGCCAGCGGCGGGCAGGCGATAATCACAGCTTTCACCATCCTCCCTCCAGCCAGCCTCCACCTCCCTATCCCCCGTCCTCATATCCTTTATTTGGCAGAGCCCTGAGGAGGCTGCAAAAAGGCTCAGGACCCAAGAACTGAGAGGGTCCTTGGAGGCTGCTGAAGAGGTGAAAGGCATCAGGCCAGTCTTTCCAAACATAATAATAAATAATGTTGCTGTCGTTTGTAATAAGAATGATGAGGAGCCAGCATTTGCCAAGCCTTTCCTATGCTCAGGCATAATTGCTTGAATTTCCTCATTGAATCTTATCTCTCTCTCTCTGTGTGTGTGTGTGTGTGTGTGTGTGTGTGTGTGTGACGGAGTTTCACTCTTGTTGCCGATGCTGGAGTGCAGTGTGTGTGTGTGTGTGTGTGTGTGTGTGTGTGTGTGACGGAGTTTCGCTCTTGTTGCCGACGCTGGAGTGCAGTGACGCGATGTTGGCTCGCTGCAACCTCCACCTCCTGGTTCAAGCGATTCTCCTGCCTCAGCCTCCCAAGTAGTTGGGATTACAGGCATGCGTCACCACGCCTGGCTAATTTGAACTCCTGACCTCAGGTGATCCACCTGCCTTGGTCTCCCAAAGTGCTGAGATTATAGGCATGAGCCACCACGCGTGGTCTAATCTCCTTTTTTAATTTGCAATTTTTTGGGTTCATAGTAGGTGTATATATTTATGGGGTACATGAGATGTTTTGATACAGGCATGCAATGCGTGATAATCACATCAACCTCATTCAATCTTTTACTTCAACCTTATGAGATGGAGACGGTTTTGAGCCCGTTTTACAGAGCAAGAAATGAAGGTGTGGAGAGGCAGAGTGACTTGCCCAAGATCCCGCAGCCCCGTGGCACATGGTACTACACTGGGGCATATACCTCAGCGTGACCTCCCTTCACCCTCTCAGTCCGCAAGGGTTTCTTGGTACCCACTAGCACTGGGTTGGGAGTCTGTCCCATTATGTCGGCCACACCCCCAGCCCCAACTAGGGGCGGCTCTAAGAAGGCCGTGTGACCACACCCCCCACAGCCCCACATGATTGGTCCAAGGTAGACACACCCCTGGAGGGCAGCCAATCCACGTGCAGGGGTGTGGCGTGCAAAGATGAGTGGGACCAATCCCCGGGGCAGCGAAGCAGAGAGAAGGAGCCTGGCCTAGGACTGTGCCTCCGAGAGGGCCAATGCGTAGACAGTGGCCGAGAGGGAGTGATGTCCAAGGAGGCCCAAGGCACAAAGCAGAAACCAGATTTCAAGGGAGAAGGGAGGAGAGGAAGAGGCTGACCCACAGGGGGCCCATCATCGTGGACCCAGAATGACTCCCCTCCTGCTCCCTCCCTGGCTGGGCTGTCCAGCTCGAACAGGTCCTGTGTGGGTCTCCCCTTCCCGAAGGTGGGGCCGACAGGATGTGAGAGGAAGTCCCAGAACAGCTCCTGAAAGGGACCGGTCCAGCTGGCAGGCACCAACTTGCCCTTCCTCTTTCCCCCTCCTCCTGCTGGAAGGAGGAAGTGGCAGCTGGAGTCATCCTGGGAGCATGAGGTCACTTCAGGGACAGAGATCATGCCCCTTCGATGAACAAGGAGGCCTCCTGCTGCAGGCCCACCAGCCCTGCCTCCCGGCCTGTAGACTGCTCGTGAGGTGAGAGACCACTGTGTCGAGGGTCGTCTCCCTGTGACGCTTATCTCTGGATCCCCATAACTGGCCACTGAAGGCAGCTCCTAGCTGAATGCTGTGTCTGATGTCTCCATGATAGCTCCCTTTATACACAGCAACTATAGATTCTACCCCTACGCTCCCAAGAGTAGCACCAGGACCCTTGTAACAGTGCCGTGAGGAAGGGATGGTCAGCCTCATCTTTAGGACCCATCACCCGCGAGTCTCTCCCTCAGTCTGAAAAGGGAGATAAGAACGAGTCCTCAAGGGCGCGGATCAAATGCAGAATGTGGGTGGGGCTCCTGGCACAGAGCAAGCAAACTGGAGGTTGTTCACAACTGAACCCTAATGCATCCATCTGTGACCCGCAGACCTCACTGTCCCCTTCCCTGCCCGACCTCCCACCACCAGCTGTACCACATCTGAGTGGTGGGGGCACCGGTTTCTGTTTGGGGGATTCATGCATATTTTAAACTTTGCCTTCACACCGATCAAGAAAAATCAGCCCACTGAATAAATGATCACTTGCCTTCCAGAGCTGGTGAGAAGGGGCAAACAGATTGATTATTTGCTGCCGGGTGTTGTGTGTGTGTGTGGGTCCTCTGTGCCGCTGCCGTGTGTCTATTGATGCCAGGTCGGCAGAAGCACCGGGTGGCTAGGGCAGCCATGGGGCGGAGGCTGTGATGCCCCCCACCCAGGTGGGGGATGTTCGATTGCAGGTCTGGCTGGTTGTATTGCTTTTGGCCAAAGGCCTTCTCGAGACCACTGGGGAGGGTTGGAGTTCAGGGCAGTGAAAATTTTTGGTCTTTCAGGGGCGATTTAATGAGAGAAAACTCGATGCATCTTGGGTTCATTTAACCGTGGAGCCAACAAGGACAGCAGACCTACTTCCCTGATCCCCCACATCAAGCATAAAGGGACCACGCTGGGGACCAGCTGTAGCTCACCCCATCATGACCCTGAGGCTATGACAGCATATAAGTTCCCAGGAAAAGGGGGACCTCAAAGAGAGACTATTTGGAATTATAGAAAATAAAGGCACCCGCATGTTTTTCATGCCAAGTTTGTGTCTGCCTTTTCTACATCACTGTGGGGAGGTGTCCTGGTGGGCCACAGCAGCTGCCTCTTCCAGGAAGCCCTCCCTGATGTGCCTTCCAAGACTCCTGTGGCTCACTCCTTCCCTGCCCTTTCTGCTCAGTCCCAGCTTCTGGATGTTGGGTGCCTGCATTTCTGGCTCAGCCTCTCACAGCAAACTGTGAGCCCCTACTGTCCAGTTAAGTTCTGTATCCCCAAAACCTGCTTACATACAAACCTGCTGGAGCAACCAAACTTGACCACTCATGGCCGCCAGGAAACCCCCTGCTTCCAGCCTCCATGCTTTTGCTCCAGCTGTAGCCTCCACCTGGGATGCTGTTCCTGAGTCTTGCCCTCCTCAAATCGAACTCATTTTCAAGGACTGCGTAGGTCATCTCCTCCTTAAGGTTGACTTCCTCGCCGCTGTAGGGGAATGGCTCCACCATGGTGCTCTGGCAACCTGTACTTCTCCATGTCGGCCACATACACATAACCCACCTGGTCTGAGCCTTGGCAGAAAGCCAGAAGAGCACCAGGGCTTGTGAGGAGCTGCTTCACGGCCATTTCTCTTCCTCCTCCCTTCTTCCAGGCTGGCGGGCAGGAACCTGGGTCCCATGCCCTCCAGGTTTCCAATGAAGCATGAGGCCTTCTGCCTTGCCCTGTGGGGTAGAGCGACAGGCTACAAAACTGCTTCCCTGCACAGGAAACAGGCTCCTTAGCAATGGGCTGTCCGGCATCCACATGGCAGTCACCCAGCCCCTTTTATTTTTGTGTTGCCCTGCTTCAGGGAGACCCGGTGCCACTGGCTCTCCTGCTTTTGTGATGTAAGCAATTGGTTGTCTGAATCTAAGAAAGATCCCTTTGATTCTTTGCCTGCTAGGTCTCTTAGCTTCACCTCTCGACACATTCTGCTCCCTCTTCTGGGATCCCAGGACACAGCACTTGTGTCTGCTCCTAAGTTTGTGACACCCCACATCTAGGAACCCCGATGACATAATCATGGTGAACCACAGAGGCTCCAAGGCTAGGATGGTGGTGGTGGCAACAGTCATATTGACAGCCACGTGGGAGAGCTGAGGATGTGCCAAGTGCTAGAGGCCCTGAAGTGCAACCCTGGGGTTTGGTACCATTGTCATTTCCATTTCTCTAACATGGAAACAGAGGTGCAGAAGAGCTTGATAACTTGCCCAGGGCCATGCAGCCGTGAGTGAGTGAGTGAGTGAGTGAGTGAGTGAGTGTGTGAGTGAGTGTGTGAGTGAGTGAGTGAGTGTGTGAGTGAGTGTGTGAGTGAGTGAGTGTGTGAGTGAGTGAGTGAGTGAGTGATGGAGAAGGGATTCAGGCTCAAGAGATGTGGCTTTGAACCCACACTTGACCGGCATGTGTGTCCATTGTATGCACTCATTTTGGCTGATTCTGAATTCCTCTTTCTTGAAACCTGAATGTTGACCCTTGTCTTAGTCTACCTGGGCTGTCATAACAAAATGCCATAGGCTGGGGTACATAACAGACATTTGTTCCTCCTGGTTCTGGAGGCTGGAAGTCCAAGATCAAGTTGCCAGCTGATTTGGCTCCTGGCAAGGACTGTCTTGCAGATGACCACTGCCTTCTTGCTGTATCCTCAAATAGGAGATATATATATAAAGAGAGAGAGAGAGAGAGAGAGAGAGAGAATGAGAGACAGAATGAGAGAGACAGAATGAGTGAGAGAGAGGGAGAGAGGGAGGGAGGAGAGAGTTTCTTTTGGTCTGTGGTCTCGTCATCTAAGGACACTAATCCCATCATGGAGCCCCACCTTCATGACTTCATTTGACCCTAATCACCTCTTGTCTCAGTATGGGCTGCCACAGCAGCCATCTTCTCCTTGTATCCTCTCTCTCCTGACTCTTCTTCTAAGGGCACTAATCCCATTTGTGAAGGCTCCACCCTTACGACCTAGTTCCTCCCAAAGGTGGTTATGGTTTGAATGATGGTGTCCACTCCAAAATTCATGTTGAAACTCAATTCCCAATGCAACAGTATTACGATATGTGGCCTTTGGGAGGTGATTAAGCCATGAGGGGTCTGCCCTCATGGATGGGATTGGCACCCTTATAAAAAAGTCTCGAGGTTGAAAGGAGCACTCTTTTGCCCTTCCATCCCTTCTGCCTTGTGAGGACACAGCCTTCCTCCCCTCCAGAGATGCAGCCACAAGGCACCATCTTGGAAGCAGAGAGCAGCCCTTGCCAGACACTGAACCTGCCAGCACCTTAATCTTGGATTTCCCAGTCTCCAGAGCCATGAGAAAATAAAATCTAATTTTTATCAATTACCAGTCTCTGGTATTTTGTTACAGAAGCACAAGTTGACTGAGACAGACCCTGTCTCCAAATACCATCACACTGGAGATTAGAACTTCAAAATATGAACTTGGGGGGGACACAAACATTCAGTCCATAGCATCCCACCCTTGGCCCCCCACATTCCTGTCCTTCTCACATACAAATACATTTGTTCCATCCCACAGCTCCAGAAGTCTTAACTTTTTCCAGGATCAACTCTAAAGTCTCTCATTCAAAGTCTTACCTGAATAGCATCTAAATCACATATGGGGGAGACTTGAGGTACAGTCTACCCTGAGGCAAAATTCCCTTCCAGCTGTGACATTGTAAAACTAGACAAATTGTGTGCTTCCAAAATGCAATGGTGAGACAGCGATAGGATAGATATTCCCATTCCAAAAAGGAGAGACAGGAAAGAAGGAAGGAGTAAGTGCAAAACCCAAGTAAATGCAAAACCTAGCACAGCAAATTCCATTAGACTTTAAAGCTCGAGAATCATCCTGTCTGGCTAGATGCTCTGCCCTCCAGGCCCACTGGAGTGGCAGTTTCACGTCCATAGCTCAGTGGGGTGATGCCCACAGCTTTGGTTGGGGGCTGCCTAACCTGCTGAGATGGAAGTACTGGCTCTGATGATCTCTGAATGGCCTTCAGGGCCATTCTTCCATTTTCTTGAAGAATGGTGCAAGTTTGCCACCAAATAGCTTTATCATCCTGTCCTATAAAAGCCAAGAAGTCCCACAGCCTTTCTTCATTCCGTCCAGTCTCTGTCTCCTTCAATTCAAACTGGTAGTGTTTCTGCTGGATGGCTGATAAAGTCTGTGGTTCATACTTGCACTAATCTTCTTATCAAATGGTCAGTCAGCCACACACTTAGTATTCTCTTCCAAACATACTTTCTCATTTTTTGCACTATGAATAGCCTGAGCATTTCCCAAATATTTAAGTTCTGCTTCCTTTCTGCTTAACACCTCTTCCTTCATTTCTGTCTTCTTATATTTTACTAGAAGCAATGAGGAGAAACCAAGCCACTCCTTCCACACTTAGCTTAGAGAGCTCCTCATGTAAATATCCAATTCATTGCTCATGGCAATTTCATCACTCACAAGTTCTGCCTTCCACAAAGCAATAGGCCATGAACACAATTCTGCCAAATTCTTTGCCGCTTTGTAACAAGGGTCACCTTTTCTCCACTGTTAGATAATTTCTTCCACGTTCCTGTCCAAGACCTCATGCAGAATCTCCCTTAAATTTCATATTTTTACCTACATCCTGTACATGCTTAATTATGTATTCTCTAAGAAGATAGGTATTTTCTCTACAGCTCTCCTCCTTTTTCTTTTCTTTTTTCTTTTTTTTCTTTGAGATGGAGTCTTGCTCTGTCACTCAGGCTGTAGTGCAGTGGTGTGATTTTGGCTCACTGCAACCTCTGCTTCCTGGGTTCAAGAGATTCTCATGCCTCAGCCTCCCGAGTAGCTGGGATTATAGGCATGCACCACCACACCCAGCTAATTTTTGTATGTTTAGTAGAGATGGGGTTTCACCATATTGGCCAGACTGGTCTTGAACTCCTGACCTCAAGTGATCTGCCCACCTCAGCCTCTGAGAGTGCTGGGATTACAGGCCTGAGCCACAGCACCCTGCCTCCTCTTCTCTTTGAGCTCTCACCAGAGTCACCTTTAACAGTCCTTTCATGGCAATAGTAGCTTTTTCTAGCCTCTCAAAGCTCTTCCAGTCTCTACCCATTACCCAGTTCCAAAGTTGCTTTCATGTTTTTAGGTATTTATTACAGCAGCACCCTGCTTCATGGTATCCATTTCTGTCTTGGTCCGCTTGAGCTGCTATAACCAAATACCATCGACTGGGTGACTGAAACAATAGGTATTTATTTCTCACAGTTTTGGAGGTTGAGAAGTCCAAGACCAAGGTGCTGGCAGATTTGGTTCCTGGTGAGGCTGCCTTTAGGGTATGCCCCTTTGCTGTATTTTCAAATGGTGGACACACACACATCCACACACATGTCCCCCGCCTCCACACACACACGGGGTGGTGGGGTGGGTGGGGGGAGAGAGAGAATGCTTTCTGATCTCTTTTTCTGAGGGCACTGATCCTCCTATAAAAGCTTCACCCTCATGATTTCATCTAAACCTAATGACTACCCAAAGACCCCATCTCCAAACCCTATCACATTCAGGATTAGGCCTTCAACATATGAATTTGGGGGGACACAGCTGTTCAGTTCAGAGCAGCCCCATCGCCCATGCTTTGTCCTGCCTGACTTTGAATTTTGGCTTGGATTGGCTCCCAGATGTTGCCCAAGAAGGACACAAAAGACACACGTGAAAAAATGTACGTGATAGGCATCGTTACTCCATCGTATGGATGAGGAGCTGAGGCTCAGAGAGGCTGGGAAACCTGCTCGGAGTCACAGAGCAGGTGTGTAAAAAGACAAGAAGCAAAGTCCAAGGCCCACCGCCTCTCATCTCCCGGGTTGCCGCTGGAGTTCTCCACAGTGGCCCACTCGCTGCATTCTTGATTTGAGGACGGAGCCACAGAGAAGAGGTGGCTTGGCTGGCTGTCGGTATCTACTGGCCTTGGAAGAGGTGCTAAAAATCTCCCTGGATCTTTCAGAATTGAGGCCCTGTGAAGGCAGAGGGGTAACGCGCACACCTTTCTGTTTTTCCAGCCTGGAAGGAAGAGCAAGGTGAAAGTGACCACCGTCAAGCAGGTCAGCCAGTGACACTCAGCAGAAGAGGCCATGGCTCCTGCACAGAGGTTGAGTCCCAGACCACACAATCAAGGAAAAGCCCCTGGGTTACTCTCCCTACCCCATCTGCCATTGTCCCCACTGGCTGGAGGGCCACTCGAGTTTGGAGCCTGTCCTCAGAGGCCAAGTCCCTGACGCCCGCCAGTCTCTGGCCCCTTTACTCCCTTCTGTGCCCCTCCTGGTGTCTCCTTTGCACGGAGATTGGGTCTTCATCCGGAAGCTCATGTCTCATGTGTTTTAGGACAGTTTCTCCAGGAAACCCTGAACTGAGCCCCACGGGTGAGTGCTCTATGAAGGGGGCACTCCGCGGAGAAACTGGTGAGGGAGCAGGAAGCAGAACAGGGAAGGAGAGGAGGCCAAGCGAAGAGCGATGGCAGGACATCCCTCAAGGACAACTCCAGCCTGATTCCACTGGGAGCCCTGGGGCATAAGGTGCACCCCAGCCCGCCCTGACCCGGCCGGAGCTTTCACACTCCTGCACTGGCCAGTTGGTGGCAAAGTGCTGCCCCGGGAGGCTGTAATTGCCCAGCCATCCGGCTCTCTGGGACCATAGCCAACACAGCTTCAGGAGCTGAAGCAGAACCCCTGGGGGAGGCCACTGAAGCAGAAGCTCGCTGAGGCTGGGGACGGGGTACACAGGATGGAAGGGATCTGCCGGGACACCGACTGGCCGGGTCTGCTCCAGGGTCCTGTGGTCCCACAGCCCCACGGTCCCACAGATGTTCTGCAGGGGTTGGCCAGTCACTTGGAGGCAGTGGGTGTCTGCAATCACGGCCCTCTAGGGTCTGATAATAACTGCAAAGATGAATAGCAACCCTCCCACCGGCCGGGCCCTGGGGCACCTGCTGCCATTTCTGCAGCCAAAGGTGTAGGGACAGGCACCTTTCTGCCCCTCTCAGCAGCACAAGAATGGGCGCTGGGCCTGGAACTCTTCCTTCCCCGAGATAAAGAGGCCCTCACAGCCTAAGTGGGGCTTGTTTCTGTGTGTGGGAAGACTTTTCCCTGATTCAGGCTCTGTGCCTTCCTTTGCCCTCCTTAAACCTGTGCGTCATACGGCATCTGGCCAACCCCCCACTGCGGGGAGCAGGGTAGGGCTCTCCTGCTGCCACACAAGAGAGATGACTGCTGGCCAATGGCCCTGCCTCAGCTGCCGGGAGGGATGCGCTGGCCGTGGGGACCAGTGCCCGCCGCTGCAGCTGATCCTGCCCTGTCCCGTCTCCATGTGAATAAAGCCTTGTTCCAGCCAGTGCCTCACTGCGTGTATTCCTTGGCGACTCGGAGACCAAGATCCAGGGGTACCCGGACTTCTACTCCCGATAGCAGGCAACGGATGCCTCCTGCTCGATGAAAGGGTCATATCAGACACCAGGACTTGGACAGACACCAGGACACCCCTTCCCCAGCCCTCACTGCGCGCTCTTCCCCAGGGTCAGCATCTCCCACCCTGCATCACAGTTCCCCCTCCCCACATATCACTGAGGGTGTGGGGCATATGACCTGACAGTCAGGTTCGACAGCTCTCCCAAGACCTTCGGCCACATCCTGGGAGCTCCTGGCTTGTTGCGGCCTCTGCCCTTGAGCCCTAAAAGAGCTGGGCCTTGGTGCTTTAGCCACACCCAATGCACTGCCAACGCAGCAAACATCGGATTTACCCAGAGCCTTGTGAGCAACTGGAGCGGGTCCCCAGACCAGACACTTGTGAAATATGCAGACCCCTGGCCCCACTCTCTGAGACCCAAATTCCAAAGGCTGTTGGTGGGCAGGCACCCCAGGTGATTCCAGCTCAGGGGTCTATGGGCCTCACTTTGAGAAACACTGAACTGGGGCAAAATGGAAAAGCAGCTGAAGACAAAGAAAATGGAAGTGGCCACCAGGAGGCCTGATCATAGGTGAGGAAATGCAACCCAGAAGACCAGGACCTTCCAGGGGCGACTTTCAGAGGACCCCAGGAGTCTGGAATTCTCCCCCAAGCCCTACTGAGGCGGCCTTATGAACTTGGATACCTCTCAAAGTCTGCACCCTGTAACAGGAGCTTATCCTTCCTTTTCTGTCCTGATGGGGTATTTATGATCATTGACCACGTATAAGGCCACAGAGTAGACCTTAATTAATATCAACATGCAGATGCTGCCAGTGCCTCATTGGCTACCCACGACACAACAATAGAAATAACAAAACCAAAGACAATGAAAAAAACTCTAACACTCCACTACATACATCTTGAGTCAAAGAAGATGTGAGCATTTCAGCTGCAGAATACTTAAAAAATAATGATCTTGAGAATAATACTTACAGGGTATAAACAAAGCAGTATTACCACTGGCAAATTCGTAACACCAAATATTTTCAACTGCTGGGTGCAATGGCTCACGCATGTAATCACGAGTGCTTTGGGAGGCCAAGGTGGGAGGACCACTTGAGGCCAGGAGTTCAAGATCAGCCTTGGCAACGTAGTGAGACGTTGTCTCTACAAAAAAATTTAAAAATTACCTGGGCATGGCGGTGTGCACCAGGAGTCCCAGCTACTCTGGAGGCTGAGGCAGGAGAATTGCTTTGAGCCCAGGAGTTAGAGGCTGCAGTGAGTCATAATTGCACCACTGCACTCCAGCCTAGGTGACAGAGAAAGACCGTGATAAAATAAAATAAAATAAAGTAAAAAAGGCCGGGCATGTTGGCTCATGCCTGTAATCCTTGCACTTTGGGAGGCTGAGGTGGGCGGATTGCTTGCGCTCAGGATTTTGAGACCAGCCTGGGCAACATGGTGAAACCCTGTCTCTACTAAAATACAAAAATTAGCTTGGTGTGCTGGCGGGCGCCTGTAATCCCAGCTACTTGGGAGGCTGAGGCAGGAGAACTGCATGAACCTAGGAGGCAGAGGTTGCAGTGAGCTGAGATGGCTCCACTGCACTCCAGCCTGGATGACAGAGCGAGACTCTGCCTCAAAAAAACAAAAAACACCAGAATCTACAAAGAACTTAAACAAATTTACAAGAAAAAAAAAATCAAACAACCCCATCAAAAAGTGGGCAAAGGATATGAACAGACACTTCTCAAAAGAAGACATTTATGCAGCCAACAGACACATGAAGCAATGCTCATCATCCCTGGCCATCAGAGAAATGCAAATCAAAACCACAATGAGATACCATCTCACACCAGTTAGAATGGCGATCATTAAAAAGTCAGGAAACAACAGGTGCTGGAGAGGATGTGGAGGGAACAGGAACACTTTTACACTGTTGGTGGGAGTGTAAACTAGTTCAACCATTGTGGAGGACAGTGTGGCGATTCCTCAAGGATCTAGAACTAGAAATACCATTTGACCCAGCTATCTCTTACTGGGTATATACCCAAAGGATTATAAATCATGCTGCTGTAAAGACACATGCACACGTATGTTTATTGCGGCACTATTCACAATAGCAAAGACTTGTAACCAACCCAAATGTCCATCAATGATAGACTGGATTAAGAAAATTTGGCACATATACACCATGGAATACTATGCAGCCATAAAAATTGATGAGTTCACGTCCTTTCTAGGGACATGGATGAAGCTGGAAACCATCATTCTGAGCAAACTATCACAAGGACAGAAAACCAAACACCACATGTTCTCACTCATAGGTGGGAATTGAACAATGAGAACACTTAGACACAGGGTGGGGAACATAACACACCGGGGCCTGTCGTGGGGTGGGGGGAGAGGGGAGGGATAGCATTAGGAGATATACCTAATGTAAATGACGAGTTAACGGGTGCAGCCACCAACATGGCACATGTATACATATGTAACAAACCTGCACGTTGTCCACATGTACCCTAGAATTTAAAGTATAATAATAAAACAAAAACAAAAACAAAAAAGCATAAAGGAAATAAACGAACTACATACAAAACTCAAAAGATAGAAGAAGACACAAAAAGAGAAATTCAGTTGGAAAACAGGGAGAAAAAGTAGATTTGATAAACACATTTGAGAATTAACTCTTCCAAAAACTGGATACTCATTCAATACCTATTTGGACTATTTTAACAGCTCTATTTCACAGATGAGTCCACGGAGGGTCACAGAAGGGAAACTGGGCTGCTGAGGGAGGTTTTGGGGAGCCGGGATGGGAAGGCAGGTCTTTCCGACTCTCACCCTTGCGGTTTCTCCATACAGCTCAACACCTCCCTCCCAACCTGTTTTAGTTTCCTGGGGCTGCCATAAAAAATGACCACAAACTGGGAGGCTTAAAGGAACACGCATTTAGTCTGTGGCTGTTCTGGAGGCTAGAAGTGCAGAATCAAGGTGCCAGCAGGGCCACGCTCCCTCGGGGGCTGCGTAGGACCCTCCCTGCCTCTTTAGCTTCCAGAGGCTCATGGCCTTCCCTGGCACGTGACTGCATGGCTCCAATCTTTCTCTGCATTGTCACATGCGCTTCTTCCCAGTGTGTGTCTCTCTGTGCCCCCTCCTTGTCTTATAAGGATGCCCGTCATCAGAATGTAGGCCCATTCAAGTCCAGCAGGACCTCAACGAACCACATCTGTAAGGACCCTACTTCCAAATGAGAGCTGTCGGAGGTTCCAGAGGACGTGAGTTTTGCATGGCGCACTATTCAAGTTGATACACAACTTGATCAGCATTTGGGACCGAAAACCATCTCTTCCTTTCACAACCCAAACTGACTCCTGGGCAGGGCAAACCTGTGGATGCTGACGTATCTCCTGGTGCCCTCCCACCCCATCCCTCACTGCTCATCTCTGTAGTAGGGGGGGTCATGCGACACCCACTCCAGTGCGGGGGACCACCCCGGGCAGGCGCCTCCCCGGCTGTGTGTGTGTGCTTCCCTGCTCCCAGGAGGAGGCAGCCCCCACCTCCTTGCCAGCTTCGAGGTGAGTCCACCACGCTGAGGCTGCACAGTGCCAGTGTTAACTCAGCAAGGTGGATTTTTAAACTAAATTGGCCAAAAATTTTGATGACCTAAAGACAGACTGTAATTATAAGTCTAGAATCCGGTGATGAGCACATGGGTGCATTTTATTGTCTATGTCATATATGTCTATGCTTTTTGGGGTACTTTCTGAGTGCCCATTTGGGGCAAGGATCTTTTCTTGCCATGTGTAATTGAACTCCCTAATAATCCGGTACAGGGGACGTCACTATCCTTGTTTAATAGATGAGGAAGCAGGGCCCAGGCAGGGTAATTGGCTCCCTCAGGCTTTGTAGCTATGAAGTAGAGTTCAGCTTCGAACCCAGGACTTTGTGACTTAAACGCTTGTGTTTTTGCCCTCATCCTACAGGCAGGGCAGGCTGCAGAGGATTTATTTATCAGACAGCGAGAGCATAAGTTTAGATTAGCAAGCTAAGCGAGGTGAGCCGTGTTCTTGATGAGCTGTGTTCTGATTTCACCTGGGGACAGTGCTTTGATCCTGCCCGCCCACTGGCAGCTGCTCCTCATTAGCTGGTCCCCACAGCTGGACGCGGCCGAGTCAAAGCGTTGTTGCAAGAGCTACCTGGGCAGGCCAACTCTTGCCCAGGGCTGGCATCTCAGCAGCCAGGTGGCTGCTCTGAGCCTGGCAGAGGCTTTCTGGAAGCTGGTGCTCAGGAGTGCAGATTATAGCACCAGAACCAAACAGGTGAGCCGGCCGTGGGCTGCAAGCCCCCCAGGAGCCCTCCATGAACTAGTGATATGCTTCTTTCCATCCTGCCTCTGCCGTTCAGTGCTCAAGCCTACAGAGAGGATGCTGGAGCCTCCATATGACAGGGACAGGGCAGCCAGCAGCAAAGCAATGGTCCCCTCTGAGGGCAGCTCGGGGACAAGCAGTCTTCACAGGGGACCCCAGGCTTCCCTAGCAAGTGAACTGGGCTGACCTCTGTTTCCCTGGGCTTGTCCAAGGCCCACCTGTAGCAGCAGGTGTTGGAGGTCAAGGAGCAGTTCCTGGGGGAAGCGGGATTTACAATGAGGAAACTCTGACTTCATCTTTTCACCATGAATTGGAAAATAAACTCCCATTCTTCCATTTTCAATGTTGGCCAAACCCCAACATTCCGCATAAATATGGTTATAACCTGGGGCGCATCCTCTCCCCGCTGCTGACTGAGGGTCAGCAAGGGACAGAGACGCCTTCAAAATCCCGTGCGTTTGGTTTACATCTTGGTACATCAGAAAATGCTTCTCGCCTGGTCTCCATTTGTGATCTCTCTTGACTCCTGTTTTGAACTTTTGGGGTCAAGCCTATATTAAAGTCCAGGGTTGGGTCAACAGATGGCCCTGGGAAGAAGCAGAAAAGAAGCTGGTGGCCTTGGCCTCTTGATGCTCATTGTCTTGGAAACAGACACATCCTCTCTGGGTCTCTGCAGGGGCTGAAAGGCACCTGGGGCTGGCTGTTCATTCTCTGGCATGGGCTGTCCATTCCGTGGTCCCAAACCATCTTGCTGCTATCAAATGAGGCCAGCAGATCTGTTTGGGATCACTGGGGGAGAGGTTCCAGCTCTTCCTAAAGTGTGGACTGTTATCCAAATGTGCCAGCAGCCACCAGGGGTGGGCCAGACATCACCTCCCCTAACACAGATGGAGAGGCTCTGGAAATTCACGTTGCAATTAGTAGCTCCTCTGTAGGGCAGCAGGCTCTAGGGTTACTGCCCCGCCCTGATCACACAAATACCCCGGCCCGACCTGGAGGTATCTGCAGTGAGCCTTCCACAGAAACCACCCTCTGTCCCGTTTTGTCAGGTGCTGGCTGGGAAGCTCGAGCAGGTTATTTGGGGGAGAGTCAGGAGACATGGGAGAGTCATTTATTTCAAAGAGTGGGAGCTGCTGTTCTGCAGGCGCCTGAGTGACAGGGGCTGTACTTTGCCGATCACCATGATGAAAGGCTACAATTGGCCTCTTGGCTTCTGAAGGTGCGGACAACTCAGCCAGAGCTGGGTGGATTCTCCAGTGAAATCATCCGCTCATCATCTCTGCTCTTGACACCATGTGCCCAAAGACACCCCACAACACACACACACACACACACACACACACACACACACACACACACTGCACCCCCTAAGCTGGGGCTTTCTCCTGGTCATGAGCCCTGGAACCAGAATGAGGCAAGCCCATCATTCCATAGTGGGAAACTGAGGACCAGAGAGGGAGGATGATTTGCCCAACGCTGGGGCCAGAAGGGGCACAGTGCCTGCCCCCAACCCAGGGTGCCTGCTCCAGGCTCAGGGGGTGGTGGCTGCAGGGATAACCTTCCGTCTTCGGAGAGGGCTGTGGGTGGGGGCTGGAGGCTGCTGGCATCCCCTCCTGGTGTTTCCTTGAGGGTCTTCTAGGACTCTTTTGAGCCTGGAGAGAAGGGGAATGGGGGTCGACAAACTGCACCAAGCTCCGCAATCCCCTGACCAAGCCTATCTGCCCTGTCATTCAGGAATGAATTGTATGGGAATGAATGAATACAAGTAAAACTAACAACAATAGCTAGCTCCTCAAGCTTTCCCTGCGTGCTGGGGGCCACAGTGACCCGGGGTGGCCCTTGGCTCCCCTCCTTCCCACTCACATCCAGGCAGGAAGTGGCCCCGTTGGCTCTGTGGATCCTACAGTGGCCGGTAGGACGTGTTTTCTGTCTGTGTCCCTAGCATGGCCACCGAGCGCTCAGAATACGGCTAGTGTGACTGAGGAACTCACGTTGCTTTCTCATTTAATTTTAATTAATTTAAATTAAAAGGGCCACCTGGGGCTAGTGGCTCCCATATTGGACAGTGCAGTTCTAGGCTATCCAGAAGCTGACTGCCTCTCCCGGCCTCTGTGATGCCTGCCCTGTCCCGGCATGGTCCTCTGCCCTGTGGACCACTGCGGTGGTGTCCTGCGCTCCCGTCTTCTCGCTTTGGCCTTTGCCAGAGGAGGCTGATAAAAGTACATCTGCTCAGAGACTGCACAGGGCCCTGGCCAGGTCCTCACACGGCCTGTGGGCCCCGCTGCACCTCCAATCCCACTCCCTGCTCCTTCCCCTGCCCTGCTCCACTGCCCGGGCCTCCACGCTCCTCCCACGTGCACTCGTGCCCCTGCCTCAGGGCCTTTGCACTGGCTGTGCCCTCTGCTCAATGCCCTTTACTTAGACACCACATGGCTCACTGCTTCTCTTCCTTCCGACTCTGCCTAAATTCCACTTTCTCAGAGAGGCCTTTGCTGACAACGCGTAAGAGGACGTACATTAGCAATGCAGCCCCTTCTGTGTCCCCCTTTTGGCAGATGTATTTTCTTTAAAACATTTGCCACCACCTGGCTTTTGAATTGGTTGTTTATTTTCTGCCTCCCCTGACTCGAATGTAAATTCCACGAGGACAGACACTTTTTTTCTGTTGTTTTGTTCACGGATGCATCCCAAGCTCCTGGGATAGCCCCTGGCTCACAGTAGGTGCTCAGTCAATGCTGATGGATTGGGGGAAAGATTATCTCAATCAATCGTCACTGTCATCCAAGGGGAAGGTATCCTTATCGCCAAGCTACAGGTGAGAAATCTGAGGCTGAGGGTGAGCTTTCAATGAGGTGCACTCAACTTAGAAACTCACAGGCATAATCACCACCATGTCTCAGCCATGAGACCGCCTCAAAGCCTCCGTTTCCTCCTCTATAGAATGAGGGTCAGAACCACCTACCTCATGGTGGTGCTGTGAGCATTCAGTGCCAGCTGCTGGGCAGTCAGTGAACTTGACCCCCCCTTCCCCTTCTGAGAGCACCTATCTCTGGGTGTCTCTGTGTAACGTGGCAGGGTCTACATGGGCTCTGGGCCCAGAGGAGACCAACCATAGCCGTGGATTAGGGGGAAGGTTTGCCTGACAATGCAGGACAAGGATGTCCTGGCAAACTCCTCTCTGGACACATGAGAGGAGGGAGGTATGGGGTGTGGCCAGTGGCAGGGCTCAGGGGCTGGTCCAAGGAGCTGGGAGGCATCCTGGGGTTCCCACAAAGCACAGCTTCCTCGCTGCCCCTAATTTCCAAGCCCCAGCAGCTTCCCTCATCTTACGCTGCCATGTGTCTGTGGAGGGCAGCACTGATGAGCTTGGGGCCAGGGCAGATTTCCTGGCAATGTTGCCTGGCGTATGCTTAGGAGCTGGATCTTTGGAGGTGGCTGGATGGGGGGTGGCAGGGAGGAGTGGCACCTCACATACGTCCCAGAATTCTGAGCTTGGCCTTCGAGGCCTGGCCCCAGGCTCCTGGCTTTGGACATCAAGCTGAGTTCTAGAGAACGGAACAGAGAGGGGCTGGCCTCAACTCTGCACCAGCTGTGTGTGATGCCTGACACGTGAAGCCTTTCGTGGGCCCTCTCACTTAGTTTTCACAACTTCCCTGCAACCTGGCGTTATTACTGTTATTCCCTCACTCACTCACTATGTGCCAGGCCTGTGCCAGCTGTTAGTGGCTGAACCAGTCCTCATATCCAAGACGTGTGCAGAGGCGGGAGGTGTGAGGACACAGGGCTGCAGGGGTGGCTGATTTAGGGAGAAAGACACCCAGGCTCAGAGGGCTGAGGGGATGGACTTGGGTCCCATCTTGGAGAAGCAGAGCCAGGCCCCAAGCCCACACTGGGGGCTCCCAGCCTGTGCCTTCCCACCCCATGGGCTGGGTGGATGCGGCCTTGGCGTCGATGCCCCTCAGTGCCCCGGAGCCCCGGGTACCAACAGCCCTGTCTTGTCCCAGCAGAAGGCCTGGCCTGCCCCTTCCCTCTCCAGGTTTCATCTGAGGGTGTGGGCGCTCCTGTTGGGGAATGGTGTGTGTTTGTAGCAGGAGCCCTCTGCCTGGTTCACCTGCGGGGAATTCCCCATTGCCCACGACTCCTCCACTCAGGGAGGCCTGTGGGTTCAGGAGAGGCCCAGGCCTCCAGGGCGCGTGGCCGGCTGTGTTTAGGGGCCTGGTGCCTGCTGTCAGGGCCCGCTGAGGTCCCCAGGCTGGCCCCACCCACCCACTCAGCCCTCCTCCCAGCCAGGCCTGACTGAAGGCAGGGTGTCCCTGCTGTCCCGTTCCCCTGGGCCTGACCCCAGTCCTGGGCACACAGCCCCCGCTGCCTGCTGGGCCTCAGCCTTGGTCACTGTTTGTCTCCAGCCCCTTGAGGCAGGGCCCTGCTCTTGTCTGACTTGCCCCCTGAAGGCCTTAGATCTCAGGAAGATGCCCCTTCCCTGACAATTGTCTCCCCCATTGGGCTTCTGGGTGTCAGCCCAGCTCAGTGTTTGGAGTGAGGCAGGCTTGAATTACAGTCCTAAATGGTGGGCCAGGTATCGCCCCTCTCCAAGCCTGGCTCCCCCACCTGTTCAGGGAGTGCAGCCGTCCCTTCACCACAAGGTCATTCCAAGGACGCTCAGAGAAAGCTCACCTCTAGCATCTGGCACAACAGGGGGCCTGGCACCTTCCCTGGAATGCCTCTCACAGGGCAAGGCTCCTGCCTGACCTGGGCCTGGCTCACAGAAATGCGCTAAGTGTGGATGAATGGATGAGAGGATGCCAGGGGAGATAGGGGCAGCAATGCCAGGGGAGACAGGGGCAGCAACGCCAGGGGAGACAGGGGCAGCAGTGCTAGGAGAGACAGGGCAGCAACGGCCCCTGCCCCTGAGAAACTGAAAGTCCAAGGGGGAGATGATGCGGAGCGAGACAGGTCCTATTCCCTGAGCTCTGGGCTGGAGCAGAGCTGAGCACAAGGGACTGTGGTTTGCTAGGAAGGAAGTCAGGGAGGGCTTCCCAGAGGAGGGCACCCCAGAGGAGGGCATATTGAGAGGGCCTTTGGGGGATGCAGAGGAGTCTAAGACAGACGAGGTGGAAATGAGCCTTCCAGGGAGGGTGAAGCATGTGAGGTTGGGACAGGAGAAGGGCCCAGGAATTTTGGGAGTTGGCCTCTTTGCTGGGAGCAGTGGGGATCCACGAAGACTTTTAAGCAGGGGCATAACGTAGTGGGAGCTGGCTTTTTATACCTCACTTCGGGGTAGAGGATGCACTGCCCAGGCTGGTGGTGGAGTGGTGAGGATCTGCTGCCGGCTGTAAGGCCTAACGTGCGGGGTCTGCCCGAGACGCCTCCCTCTGCCATCCTGTAGACCCCACCTGAGTAGCTCCATGGGGACTTCCCAGGGCTTGGCCAAGTTTCCAGAACACTCTGGAGGCTTCTAGGTCAGAGGCTCCATCTCCCAACCCCAACGATGCCCTCGTTTCTCAGTGGTACCCAACCCCCACCAGAGCAAGAATCCTCAAGGCTGGGCCATATGGCAGATGGGGCACTGCGAGAAAGGGAGCGGGAGGGAGAACGCGTTGGGGGCAGTCTTGGAAGGCAGGTCGTGGCTTCTACCTGCATGTCCCCGAGCCCATGCAGAGCCTGACATGGAGGAGCCCCTCAACCAACTTGTGAACGTCAGGGTGAGCACACCTGGTGACGGGCACTGTCAGGGCGCGGGCCCACATCCAGAGAGGAAAAAACATCAGGGCTGCCCCCTCTGCCCTGCAGAGCCCCTTCCACTGCCCGGCTATCTCCTCCTCTCATTGGTCACCCTCTTTCTAGCTGTTTCTGCCTCCAGGGAGCCTTCTAGAGCCCCTCTGCTGTGGGCTTCTTGTGCCCCACATCTCCCCGGCTGGCTTCGCACGTCATGAATGAACGAATGGGGCAATGACTTGCTTATTTCTGTCTCATCCACCGGACCTGGGTCTGTCTGTTCACTTCTGTGTCCCAGTGTGTGGAGGGATGCCTGCCCCACATAGGGCCTTGACAAACTTTTGTTGCATAAAGGAATGAGTGTTCAACAAAGATGTAGATACAAACAGACTGTGGCTCACGCCTGCACTGTGGTTAAAATCGCCAGGTGACACCCTGGTGGCGGGAGACCACATCCTGCCTCGCACAGGCTCCCAGCCACCAAGCCGACGCTCTGGGTTAAGTGGATCCTGGCCTGCAGGAGGCCATCGCAGCTGCCACCGCAGGCTCCCCAGGTCTCCCTGATCCCTCCTCTGAGGGTCCTGGCCGCTTCCCAGGGAAGTGGGGATGACGGAAATACAAATCCCTCATGGGGGATGCTCAGTCAGTCCTGGGCTGTCCTGATACACGCATTCTTCCAATGTGGGCCCCGGAGAATGTGCTGATCCTGCAATAGGGTGTCTTCAGAACATGAATCATGAGTATGAAAGAAAACAAGCCACGGACCCTGCTGAGGAAGCCTCTGGAGTCAGGATGTGGTGGGCCCTGGCAGGCTGGGCATTAAGAGCATAGGCTCTGCCGTCGGGGGATCTGGGTTGAAGTGTCCGCCCTGCCACTGCCTCCTGGCAGTCTGGGGCTGTCTCAAGCTTCTGTTTCTAGTCTGGTTTGTGGGGACCGGAATCCTTGTCCTGCTCTGGAATCCTGGGCAGAGAGGACACAGTCCTTGTCCTGCTCTGGAAGCCTGGGCGGAGAGGACACAGTCCTTGTCCTGCTCTGGAAGCCTGGGCGGAGAGGACACAGTCCTTGTCCTGCTCTGGAAGCCTGGGCGGAGAGGACACAGTCCTTGTCCTGCTCTGGAAGCCTGGGCGGAGAGGACACAGTCCTTGTCCTGCTCTGCAATCCTGGGCGGAGAGGACACAGTCCTGTGGCTGGCATGAAGGAAATGCTCAGCACTCCCAGGGACTCTGGGAAGCTCACTCCCTCTGCTAGTCAGTCTCCTCAACTGTAGATGGGGCTAATGAGGGCTACTCCCACAGGTTGCTGGGAGGATTTAATAAGGTAATTAATAACAAGCAGTAAGGGAAGTTGGTAACACTTGTTAAGAACTTAACAAGCACCAGGTGTCATTCAAACTGCTTCTTTATCCCCATTTTACGGATAAGAAAACTGAGGCATGAGGCGTTAGTGATCTGCACAGGATCTCATGCCAGAGATGTATGGCTGCTGACCTTGGCTTCTGGCCAGTTTGGCTCTGAGGCTAAGCTCCTGGTGGCCACACCACTGCGACTTGCTGGGCCTCAGCTCTCCTCCCCCTGCATCTTCTGCTTCTAGTCCCCGCTGCATCTCAGCTGCCTGACAGCGCTGCCTTTATTTGGATGTAGTGCAGATCTGGCCAGGCCCTGCCTGCTGGGCATGGGGGCTCCCCTGGACCGCCCTGCTCCCTCCCCAGCCTGACTTCAAAGCCCTCAGTGCTGCAGACAGACACACCTGACTATTGGCAGCGGTTCTGTCTCCAGCCATTGCTCCCGGACACCCTCCTTGTTCCTGGCTATGTCCAGCCCTCCCATGAAGCCTCAGGGAGGCCTTCTTTGACCACCCCACGCTGTACTCCTCAGGCTCCCTTGGCCCCGCAGCGCCCTGTGCTGTCTCTTTACAGATCAGCTGCTCCCACTGGCCTCTGGACAGCTCCAGACTCATCCCTGTATCCTCCTCACCAAGTCACCAGCCCAGGCCAGGGGAGAAGGGGACTAGGGAGGAGGGAGGAGATGAGGGTGTGGAAGGTGTCATTATTTAGAAGCCGGGGGCATTGAGGTCATGGGCCTGGGCTCAGGATGAATGAGGACCAGAGGGGGAGGACTGAGGGGGCAGGGGCCGGCTCAAGGTGGAGGGGCATGAGGATGGTGTGGGGGGCCCAGGGCAGAAGAGGAAGGGCTAGGAAGCAAACTGATCTTGATAACAGCTTACACTGTTGGAGCCCCTACCTGGGCTGAAGCTGGTGATAGAGAGCTGGGCCCCACTCCAGGGAGGTGACCCTGAGGGGCAGGCACATGAGTAGGTAACTCCAATCCGGGGGACCTGGGACATGGAGAGACAGGCCTGGGGGAAACAGGGGCATTGCAGATGTCATTCAGTTAGACGAGGTCATATCAGAATAAGGTGGGCCCTAATCCAAGGACTGGTGTTCTTATAAGAGGAGAGAGGCCCAGTGCAGTGGCTCACACCTGTAATCCCACCACTCTGGGAGGCCGAGGAGGGAGGATCACCTGAGGTCGGGAGTTCAAGACCAGCCTGGCCAACATGGTGAAACCCCATCTCTACTAAAAATACAAAAATTAGCCAGGCATTCTGGTGGGCACCTGTAATCCCAGCTACTCGGGAGGCTGAGGCAAGAGAATCACTTGAACCTGGGAGGCAGAGGTCGCAGTGAGCTGAGATTGCGCCACTGCACTCCAGCCTGGGTGACAGAGCAAGAGCAAGAGTCCATCTCAAAAAAAAAAAAAAAGAAAAAAAAGAAAAGAAAAGAAGAGGAGAGGCCACAGGGGCACACCTGGGGAGGAGAAGCCATATGAAGACAGAGGCAGAAATGGGGATGACCTGTCCATAGTCAAAGGTTGCCAGCAGTTACCAGACTTCAGAGAGTACAGTTACCAGACTTGGATGCCAGACAGCATCCTCCCCTAGTGCCTCCAGAGAAGTGTGACCCTGGTAACACCTCAATCTCAGACTTCTAGCCTCCAGAACCCTGAGAGAATAGATTTCTGTTGCTTGAGCCCCTCAGTCTGTGGCACTTTGTTAAGGCAGCTGCGGGAAACTAGTACAGACCCCAGGGCTCCTCTGATCCTTAGCCCCGGGAAGGACCAGGGGTAGAGACAGGGACCCCAAACCAAGACTGAGAACAGTGTGCAAAATCAACATGAAACTCCATTTTAGGAAAACAAAGTAAGTAGCATTTCCGGTGCGCCTGAGGTTATGGACTGAGGTTTGAGGCTGTTGCATGGGGGCCTTGTGATTTGGGCTGGAGGAAAGTTGTGCCCTCTTGGGCCCTGCTGGCCACATCTCTGGTTCCTGGGTTGGCGTCATCTGTGACTGCTGGGGCAGTGTTGAAGGGCCAGTATGTGAGTGGCCACTGTGTCTGCCGCCCCAAATTAATATTTGATGGTGTTGAATCACTTTCTTCTGAGACAGAGAAAGAGGCCATCACACATGGGTAATAAGATGCGCTGGGCTGTTCAGCGCAGTCGGGGCCTGAGGAGGTTGACGGCACTGTGAATAATTCATCCGCCTGTAATGATTTTCTAGCCCTTGCGTCCCTCTTGGCCAGAGACAGCCTGACCTGCCCTCCCCTGCCCTGGCAATCCAGCCCAGTGCCTGGTCACTCTCAGTCACACCAACCTGAGAGTGAGAGGCACACGCTCCCCCTAGCTGGGTGGTCTGGGACTTGGCCTCGGTTTCCCCAGCTGCACCAGCAAGAGAGCTGTGTGCCTTGCTCCTACACAGGAGGTACAGAGAGGCCAAGTGCTGTGGCACTGACCCTGGAGTTGGCACCACCCATGTGCTGTGTGACCCTGAGCACCTCTCTGGACCTTGGTCTTGTTACTCTGTACAATGGGGACAGGAGCACTTGCCACCCTGCCTGTCTCACAGGGTCTTATTTCTGCTGTTTTGGTTGGACATTCCTGGTATGAGGTATAGTGTCAGCTGTATTCATTTAGTCTGTTTTTGTTTTTTTGAGATGGAGTCTCTCTCTGTCGCCTAGGCTGCAATGGCACAATCTCGGCTCACTGCAACATCCGCCTCCCAGGTTCAAGCGATTCTCCTGCCTCAGCTTCCTGAGTAGCTGGGATTACAGGTGCACACCACCATGCCCGGCTAATTTTTGTATTTTTAGTAGGGATGGGGTTTCACCATGTTGGCCAGTCTGGTCTCGAACTCCTGACTTCAAGTGATCCACCCGCCTCCGCCTCCCAAAGTGCTGGGATTACAGGCATGAGCCACTGTGCCCGGCCTCATTTAGCTTGACCTCAGTGTGCTGGTCGATGCTGTCCTCACTGAGTGGGTGGCATCCCAGTGGCAGAGACAGGAAGGGGCAGGGGACTGACCAGGAAACAGATGTCTACACTGTGAATGAGTGAGAACAGCCAGGGAGAGCACAAGAGGCTTGGGGTGGAACTGCAGAGCAAAGAGGAGGCGATGAGCTTGGCCAGCGAAGGTCTGAGAAGACTGCCTGGAGGAGGGAGCTGTAAAGCTAATGACTGTGGGAACAAAACATGCACAAGGTGTTCACCATAACAGCAATAGCCACGGTAACGTGCTGCAATACAGCACTAATGGGGTGCAATGTCTCCCACTTTCCCCCCATCCTACTAAAGGGAACCTTCACGTTTAAAAAATCGTTCTTTATGCATATTTGGATTAAACCCCTCCAGGGACTTTCTACTGACTTCAAATAACATCTGCTCTGGCCTGCAAGGCCCCCATCCTCTGTCCCTTGTCTTATCTCAGACCTATTCTCTACCACTTCCTCCTCCTGTTTTCCTGGAACTCCTGGTCTTCTTTCTGTTGCACAAAAAGGCCAGATCAATGCTCACCTCGGGGCCTTTGCAATCGCTATTTCTGCACCAGGAATGATCCCTCCGCCCCGGTCTTTCCTTGCACTTCTTCAGTCTCAGCTCAAACGTCACCTCCACACAGAGGCCTTCCTTGAACACCCCCCAGAGTTGCTGCCCACTCCCAGCCATGGCCACTGCGTTGAATTGCCCTTTTAACTTTGCTTCACAGTTCTTAACACTATAGGACATTTTCTAGTGCAGCCACATCTTTGCCTGTGACACTTTGCCTAGTGACTGTCTATCCCCCTTGGTTGTAAACTTGCCAGGACAGAGACCATGCACCTCTGATGGCTGTATCTCGGGGTGCGGTGACCGGCACACAGTTACCTCTTAAGGAGA
This sequence comes from Homo sapiens, assembly GCF_000001405.40. NCBI lineage: Eukaryota > Metazoa > Chordata > Mammalia > Primates > Hominidae > Homo > Homo sapiens. The sequence continues at coordinate 100,645,369 of NC_000014.9, forward strand.
ACTTATTGCAGTTGAAATCATTCTAAGCCATGCCCTAACTTCCTGGTTTTCAGCTCAGTGTAGCAGCCAGACTCCAGACAGCAGACAGAATCCACACAGTAATCTGATCAAGGCAAGTTGATAGATTATTGATTATAACGGGGCTCTGCAGTAATGAGGGACTGGGCAGTAAGGAGTGAAGGGAACTTGAAAGAACCTAGCGGTTGCAGGCATAAGGAGCAGTTGCTACCCCAGTTCTGAGATACAGCAGCCAAGGAAGACCCTCCCCCGACCAGGGCTCAGTGGGGAGGGCACAGCTGTGGCTTAGTGGATGTGGCTGTGGGCTGCACCAACAGAGCTTGCTGGAAATCCACCCTTTAGGGTGCTGGGGAGGCTGTTCATGAGGAGATATCTGCTACAAACCCACCCTAGAGAGAGCAGAGGGAAGCTGCCAACTGCGTTCACCGCACTGCTGGAGAGGCCGCCCACACTGCAGGAGTCTGCCCAGCCACCGCCCAGTACCAGGAGGGAAAATCCCTGCCTCCTGTCCTGTCTCTCCAGCGCCCTCTGCTGACAAAGCTTAATGTGGTGTCGACAGGCAAAGAAAATCACAAAGGCACCAGCTCATTTTTTAATACAACAGCCAATGCAGGGCAGATTCGGAGCTGGGAGACAATAAATTGATAACTGGCACGGTCCACCCCTTTGGCTACTCACCTTCCATGTGTACTACACACATTTGGACTCCTGTACAGCAGCAAAACATCTTTATATCTCCACCTAACAAGATGCAGCTACAGATCTTACCCATGACAGTTTCTGCCCTCTCTCTGAAACGAGGAGACATGCAGTCCAGCAGCCAGTGTTTCTGTCACTGACTATGTGAATTACTCCTCAAATTCATTTGCATTTCCACTAAATATTTTATTACCTACACACTAAACTGTGAAGTTAACTTCCAACAGTTTGGATATAAAATAAAAATGGAAAGGAGGGGAAGAAAATAATTAGTCTAGGCTGGGTGTGGTGGCTCACGCCTGTAATCCCAGCACTTTGGGAGGCTGGACCAGGTGGATCACTTGAGCCCAGGAGTTCAAGCCCAGCCTGGGCAACATAAGAAGACCCCACCTCTACATAAAGTTTAAAAAATTAGCCAGGCATGGTGGGTACTTGCCTGTGGTCCCAGCTACTTGGGAGGCTGAGGTGGGAGGATCACTTGAGCCTGGGAGGTTGAGGCTGTAGTGAGCGGTAATCACGCCACTGCACTCCAGCCTGGGCAACAAAGTGAGGCCCTGTTTCAAAAAAAATGATTAGCCTCTACAGATAAGTATGTACATAAAACAAACAAGTAGAAAATAGCTACTATGGGACTCATTTCTGTAAGGTAGTTGTGAGGTTAGAATTGATATCAATGGCTTCCTTCTTCAACTACCCATTCTACACTTCCCCTGTCCTTAGCCAGAACCTCAGCTGGCCTCTAACTAGTGGAGTGAGCCTAGTCTCCCTTCATGAAGGCTGTGAGTCCTCTGTCACCATGCACGTTTTTGGTTGCTGTACTTTTCCATTAACCATTTGCTAGGATCTGAATGTTTGCAAAATCCATACTTTAAAATCCAAAACCCCTACTAGGTGATGGTATTAGGAGGTGGGGCCTTTGAGAGGTGAGCGCTCCTCACGGGTATTAGTGCCCTTACAAATGAAATCCGGAGAGCTAGTTTCCCACTCCCACCACGTGAGGATACAGCAAGAAGATGTTGTCTAGGAGGAATCAGATCTTTACCAAACACCAAATCTGCCAGTCCCTTGATCTTGTACTTATCAGCCTCTAGAGCAATGGGAAATACATTTCTGTTATTTATAAGACACTTAGTTTATGGTATTTTGTTATAGCAGCCAAGATGGGCTAAGACAGAAAATTGTTATGGAGAAGTAGAGGTGCTGCTGTAACACATACCTAAAAATGTGGAAGTGGCTTTGAAACTGGGTAATGGGTACAGACTGCCAAGAGTTTTGAGGTGCATTCTAGGAAAAACCTGCATTGCTGTGAGTGGATCATAAGGTGAATTCTAGTGAGGGCCCAGACGGGGAGGAGCAGAGCTGCAGAAAAAGCCTCCAGCTTCTTAGAGAATACCTAAGCAGTCATTAACAGAAGGTTGGTAGAAATATGGATGGCACAGGCCATTCCGATGAACTCAGACAGAAGGTGAAATGTATCATTGGACAAGGAAGGAAAGGCCACCCTTGTTACAAAGTACAAAGAACTTGGCTGAATTGTGTTCATGTTCTAGTGTTTTGCGGAAGGTAGAGCCTGTGAGCAATGAAATTGGATATTTGATAGAGGAAATTTCTAAGCAAAGTGTTGAAGGTGTAGCCTGGTGTCTCTTGACTGCTTATAGTAAAAAGTGAGAAAACAGAAATGATTCAAAGACAGAATTGTCAATCAAAAGAGAAGCAGAACTTAAACAGTTGGAAAATTTTCAGCCTATCCATATTGGAAAAAATGACAAAACATATTGGAGAGAGAACAAGGATGTGGCTAAATGACTGATAAATAGATAAGTATGGGCTGGGCACGGTGGCTCATACCTGTAATCCCAGCACTTTGGGAGGCCAAGGCAGGTGGATCACCTGAGGTCAGGAGTTCGAGATCAGCCCAGCCAACATGGCGAAATCCTGTCTCTACTAAAAATACAAAAATTTGCCAGACGTAGTGGCACATGCCTGTAGTCCCAGCTACTCAGGAGGCTGAGGCAGGAGAATCACTTGAACCCAGGAGGCAGAGGTTGCAGTGAGCCAAGATTGTACCATTGCACCCCAGCCTTGGTGACAGGAGAGAAACTCCATCTCAAAAAAAAAAAAAAAAAAAAAAAAAAAAAAAAAAAAAGAGATAAGTATGGGTTGGCCATCTCAACAGAAGCCAGGATCTATTCATTAAGACAACAGGAGAGATTAGTCAACCATCTAAACCAGGGGTGTCCAATCTTTTGGTTTCCCTGAGCCACATTGGAAGAAGAACTGTTTTGGGCCACACATAAAATGCACTAACACTAACCATTGCTGATGTACTAAAAAAAATTGCAAAAAAAAAAAAAATCTCATAATGTCTTAGGAAAGTTTATGAATTTGTGTTGGGCTTCAAAGCTGTCCTGGGCCACATGAGGCCCATGGGCCATGGGTTGGACAAGCTTGATCTGAACAGAAGCCAGAACCTGTTGTCCAAAATGATGGAAGAATTGGGGTCTGTCCTTTCCCTCACAGGCCCAGAGTACTAGGCCCTGGAGGGCAGAATGATATCAAAGGAGGGGCCACCGCCACTGCCATACTGTATGGCAGCTTCCATTTCCCTCCATGCATTCCATTGCTGAGCTCCTTATCCACCCCAGCTGTGGCTTCTGCAGGCCCTAGTGTGGCATACACTGTGCCCAGCAAAGCTGTAGAGGCTTGGCTGCCTCCCTCTAGATTTCAAAGGATGCCCCAAGGGGCCTCAGGGCCCAGAGAGAGAAACACTGCAGGGACAAGACCATCATAGACAGCCCCTACCAGAATAATACCCACCATAGCCAGGGGTGGGACCATCTCCACAAACCCAGATCAGCAGAGCCATTGGAATGTGATTCTAACCTGGGAGTGTCACAGGCATGAAATCCCAACCTGTGAGACCTGTAGTATGGGGTGTGCCCAGCACAGCCATGGGGGCAGGGCCACCACCACTGTGTGTCCAACAGGCAGGATCCCCACCCCAGTGAGTCTGGAGGGCAGATCACCAAGCCAAAGCAGATTATTTCTGAGCCTTAAGGTTTCTGGTCTTGGCCGGGACCTGTCACTCCTTCCTTCTTTCCTATTTTTCCGTTTGGGAATGGGAATGTCTAGCCTATGCCTGTTCTACCATTGTATTTAGGAAGCACATAACATGTTTGATATCACAGGCTCCCAGCTGGAGAGCAATTTGCCTCAGAATGAATCATACCTTGGGTCTCATCCATATCTGATACAGATGATATTTACATGAGACTTTGAACTTTAGACTTTTGAGTTGATGCTGGAACAAGTTAAGATGTTTTGGGCAATTGGGATGGAATGAATGCATTTTGCATGCAAAAAGCACATTAAATTTGGGAGGCCAAGAGAAAAATGCTATGAAGTGAATGTTTATGTCCCTCCAAAATTCATATGCTGAAATCTTAGCCCCCATGGTGGCGGTGTTAGGTGATGAGACCTTTGGGAGATGCTATGGTTTAAATGTGTCTCCCAAAGTTTGTGTCTTGGGAACTTAATACCCAATACAACAATGTTGGGAGACAGTGTCTGATAAAAGGTGATGAGGTCATGAGGACTCTGCCTTCATGAATGGATTAATGTCATTATTGTGGGAGTGAGTTAGCTATCATGAGAGTGGGTGTGTTATAAAAGTGAGTTTGGATCCCCTTCCTCCCTCACTCTTGCCCTTGCTCTTCTGCGTTCCACCATGGGATGACACAGCACGAAGGCCATCACCAGATGCTGGCGCCATGCTGTTGGGCTTCTCAGCCTTTAGAACCTTGAGCCAAATACCTTTCTGTTTATAATAAATTACCCAGTCTGTGACAGTCTGTTATAGCAACACAAAATGGACTAAAACAGGAGATTAGATGATGAGGGCAGAGCCCTCATGACTGTGATTAGTGCCTTTATTTAAAAAAAAAACCCCAGAGTGCTCTTTATCCCTCTCACCATGTGAGAACACAACGAGAAGGTGCTGTCTATGAGGAAGCAGGCCCTCACCAGACACTGAATCTGCTGGTGCTTTAATCTTGGACTTTCCAGGCTCCAGAACTGTGAGAAATCAATTTCGGTTGTTTATAAGCCATTCAATTTGTGGTATTTTGTTATAGCAAACAGGCTAACACACCATTACTATTGGTCACAGGAGAACTAAGAGAGGTACCCTGGAGAATCCTCTGCGTTTCAGATACTTTCCTCCCTGTCCTCATTGTGCAGCAGCAGCCCAGTTTCCCCTTGCTAATCAGGATCAATCACTCCAGTGAGTAGAGTCATTTCTTTCCTTTTCTTTTTGTGTTGATTCAGTGGCTTAAGGAGTCCAAAGCAGCCAGGTGATAGCCTCATCTTCCAATTCAGAGAAACCATTGCTGTGTCTGATGGTGGCAGGGTTCCACCTGACTTCTGAACAGTACAAACTGGGAAGCTCCATGGAGTGTGGTAGGTATGAACACCTCTGCTTCTTGTAAGTGACATTAATCTCTCAAATTCCCCTGGGATAAAGTATAGCTTCTGGTTCACTCACTTGGATGGAAGTGGAAGTTTCAGGGATTTCCACTAAGTTCTTCTTGTGATAATGGCCCTCACCACATGGGTCACAGAGCCAATGCAGGGATGCTGACAGTTGCTAAGTATGTCTCCTCCAATTATACATTTAAGAGCTAGACAGATAACCACTAGTGGGGATGGGGTCCATGGACCAACTGGGCCTACTGTGAACCAGACCTGAGTTAAGACTCCATCTATCATCTTCCCACTGTCCACCTCCTTTTAGATTGCTGGGGCATAGTGGAATTTTGGGCCCTCAGGAATTAGTGTTAGTTCAGAACCACTGTCTAGCAATCCTCAAACCATCTAGGCATTTCCTTCCCCTGTTGCACACTCCCTGTAGTAAAAGGCCACAGGTCCCCCTGGAAATGGCTTGGAGGAAGGTTGACAGTGTGCTGTCATGCTGGCCTCCGTTCAACCAAGTCGCCCAGGGTCTGTGCATTTGCTGAGATCTGGAAGTTGGGTAAGAAGCCATGATTCTTCATTGCAACAACTCAAGTCAGACTTGAGGCTACCAGGCCTTGCGCTCTCCCGGTTGTGTTTCCTGTTTAAACTAAGGCTGTAGCAGGCTGCCCATCTCTTTCTTCCCGGGGACACCATGATGAATTAGCCACCACCAAAGATCTGTGTGGGCCAAGGCATGTTGATTGCTTGTGCGTCCCTGCTGTCCGTGATGCTGGATGTACCCACTTTGTCTTTGGCAGTGAAGTGATGATGCCACTTGGCTTCTGCCGCTCTGCAATCTCATCATTCCCACTGAAATCAGGGCATGCAGCTCGGTGGCAGCATCCCCTGCTGTCATGCCTGGTCTAAAAAGGACTGCAACCACAGAGATTTTCAGGGATGCAGGCGTGCCGCTCACCACTGTATTTTTCAATTCCTCAGTGAAGGAAGTGTCTCCTGGGCCCTCTTGCAGAACATAGTAGAGGGATGGGTGTGCAGGTTTCACCTGATAGATCCAGCCCAGCATTCCTATCCTCTAAGCCTTTCGGTTCCCTCCTCCGCCTCATGCCAGGGAAGCTCTGTCATCTCAATCTCATTACCTGAAGGTCACGGGTGAGTCCAAGCTTTAGTCAAGAACCAGCCAAATAATCTGTTAGATCCACCTTCTGCTGGTGGCAGGAAAACTTCCAATGATCCCTGTCTCCTGCTGTTCATTCCTTTATGTAACTCCCTTCCTTTGAGTATAGGTGGGCTTGTGACATGCTTCGAACCAACAGAATATGACCAAGCTGATGGGCGGTCACTGCTGTGATTAGCTTCTGTAAGGTGGTAGCAGGCTCTCAGTTGCCTTCTCAGCATGCAGGCTTTGATAAAGTAAGTGACCATGCTGAAGAGGTCCATGAGGGCAGCCTTCAGCCAGGGCCACCTAGTAACTGAGGCCTTCAGCCCAACAGCCTGCAGGGAACTGACTCCTGCAACAACCTTGTGTGCCTGGAAGTGGATGGTTTCCCAGGGAACCCTTCTGATAAGACTGCAGCTCTGGCTGACACCTGGATTGCTGCCCTATGAGAATCCTGGCCCAGAGGAGCCACGTCAGCCATGCCCAGGTTCCTACCCCATAGAAGCCATGAGATTAAAAGTGTGTGCTGTTGTAAGCCTTGAAGTTTGTGGTAATCTGATACATGGCAATAGATGATTAATGCATAGTTACACAAACTAGCACATTGGATTCAGATTTTCTAGTAAGTGCAACTATGCCAAAACATTTGGCCTGGTCTAATGTTGTATTAATATTTCTCCCTCTGTGATCTAACACCCTTAGAATCCACTCTGCACGTGGTACCCAGGTTTCTGCCCACATATATAAGCAAAGTCTTGTAATTCTTTTGGTGGTAAAGTGTGTACTTGCCCCTGCAGCATGCTGGGATTGGAGCCCAGCTGTGGGTCTAGTGGCAACAGGGTGGCTGCGATGGATCTCGAGATGAATGGGCACCTCCTTCCAGGGCATCTGCCCTGGGTGAGTTTATCCCATGGTTTTCAAGCAGAGGAGAGCCAGTCTCTTCTGACATGAGATGGGTAGCTGCCTCCACTTGCAAAGGAGGCTCCGTGTGACTTGGGGACTCAAGATTGACGGTCTTATTTGGATCCAATCAGATGTTTTCATTCCAAGTTTTGAGATCTGATTCTTCACTAATCAGGGCTCTAACTTTCACATGAGAAACTTGTTGAGCGCATGAATTCAATTGTTATACCTCAGCAGCCTGCACAATTAAAGCTTGTGTCTGATTTTCATCAGCATCAGCCCTGCAGCTAAATGAAATAAGAGCCTCTTTTACAGCTGTCACCGAAGCTCGCTGGTTCTCAGACTGTGACTTGAGCTGAAGGCTAACGGATCCAAGCTTTTCATTTTCTCTTTGTAAGAGCTTGCGTACACTCAAAAGAATCCACACCTCACCAAAATGTTTATAGTCATCGTTACTGCCATAATGGTCAAGTTCAGGAGCCACGTGGGTTCCTTAGGAGCCACTTCATCGCAATCAATGGCAGATGATAGTTGATTAATGGCAATGCTGCTGCATATGGGGGTCACTAACATCCCGTTTCCCATTGGCAAGGAGCTCAGCTTTGTGTTCAAGCCCAAAGGCATGACCAAACCAATCCCCACATCCCATCCATCACCTGGAACCACTCTTGGTACCAATTTTATGTCAGTCAGGGTACATCTGCCCACTTCCCACAGCCTTTAGCTGTGGTCCCCACGCAGCCTGTGGGGCGTGCAGATGATGTGGCTCCCTGTGGATGAGAAAATGGAGGCTTGGGGAGGGGAAATAGTCTCCAAGATCACCCAGTGAAGACACCTCTGAGTCGGAGCTTGAACCCAGGTCTCTGGGCTACAAATTTGGCGCTCTGGCTGCTGGGAGACACTGCCTCCTGGTGGCCGCCCTGGCCACAAACAGCTGGGGATGGAGTTCTCGGGTGGCTTCGAGCAAATTTCCCCGGGGGCGGCCACATCCCACGCAGCACACACACCAGCGAGCCTCTTCTCACCCTGGCTCCCCGCTCCTCTAGGAGCAACTTGGGGAATTCCTACACATTTAATCCCTACTGTGCGCTAAGTAGCGAAGATGGTCGTTCCATGTCACCCTCCCTGCAACCTTGCAAGGTGGGTGCTATCACCCCCAACTAAGCAGGGTGGAGGCGACAGCGGAGAAAACGAGGCTCAGAGAGGCAGAGACTTGTCCAAGGCCACATAGTTGGAAGGCACCAATGTGGGGGCTTGAATCAAAACCAGAGGAAAGATATGCCCAACATTCCTGTCCCTTGGCTCTGGGAGCCCCCGTGGAGGCAGAGATGAGTGCAGGAGTGGGTGCAGAGGTTGGCTCCTCAAAAGAATGCCAGTCCAGGCTGGGTAAACGATGGGTGCTCTGAGCGGTGGGGGGTTTCCCTCCTGCTGTGGGGCTTCCTGAAGGAATCGTGGTGGGAAGCAGGGGTTCCCCTTCAAGGGGGCAGGGGAGACACTCTGGAGTGACATTTGCCACCCACCACTCTGTAATGATCAGAGTGGGAGTAAATGGAGCTGGGCCTCAGAGTAATTGGCCGGGGAACCCTGAGTCTCGGCTCGGCCCAGGGTCACAAAGGTCCCCGAGTTAATGAAGCAAACTCTCCCCAGTGTCAGAGGCCGCCTTCAGCACCCCTACAGAGGACGAAACTTTCAGCAGCAGCTTTTCAAGGTTCCAAAAAGAAAGTTGGTGGAGGGGGGCAGAAAGGGAAGGCGTTGTTTTCATGCCTCTTGCTTCATTTGCATAAGGTGAAAAAATGTTTCCATAGAAACAACTAGAGTCTGTAATTTTTGAATAACGATTTCTGCACACAGCACAACCTGTCTTTTCCAAAGGGGAATTAAGAAATTCTCAACAGCATTTCTTACCATAACAAAAGGCAAAGTTTCCCAATTCTAGGATTGCTGCTCCAGAAGGGAGGGCCTTGGCTCCAGCCCCTGCCCTCTCTCGGCCTCAGTTTACTCCTTCTGTGAAATGGGGCGAATGAGGGTGGAATTAGACTCAGCAGGGATGAAGCCGCCTGCACCGTGGAAGGGGAGGGCGGGCGCTGGAGTGAGATGGGATTCCTGTGTCGGGGCTGGGAGGCAGCAGGGCCGGGCAGCGTTGTGAGGAGCTTTCCAGAAGAGGCGGGGGCAGGGGCTGAGGACCCGAGGACCACCCAGGCCACACGGAGAGGCCCCCGCCCGACCCTGCCCCCCGGGGTCTCCTCTGCGGCGAAGAGCGTGGGTGCAGGACCCCGGCGCGCAGCGCAGCGCAGCGGACCCGGCTCACCTGAGCGAAGGTTGCGGCCTCGCTGGCCGCCTCTGCCCCCTTGTGGCCCGAGGCCACCGCAGCACCCACTTGCCCGGGGCACTGACCTGCGTGGCTGGCTCCGCCAGGGCCTGACCTCCCTCCTGGTGCCTTTGCAGAGGGGGAGCAGCCACAGGGCCTGGGGGTGGGGTTGGGCTGGGAGAGGGACCCCAGGATCCTCTGGCCACCTGCCCTCCTCCCAGGCGTTGGCACACGTGGTTCCACGGAGGGGCTCCCTGGGGCATCTCGGGAAGTGCAGATTCCCGGGCCTGCCTCTGCAGGTCTGACTCAGGAGGCCAAGAGGTGACGGCTAAAGTGGAGAGGACCACAGCGAGGCCTGCAGAGGGTAACGTGGGGGACTTGTCTGCTCCCCCATATTACAGATGAGAAAACTGAGGCCCTGCGTGGGGGGCCCCCCCTGTCCGTGGCTTCCCACCAAGGAGGCCCTGCATGTTCTGTCCATCCTCTGACTGCTCAGCGACCAAGGCAGCTGGGTGGTGGTCCGGGTCTGTGGAGGACGGTAACCGGGGGCTGTTGTCCTTGGAGTCCCGGTCTGCCTGTATTTATCCTCCTCATTTAACTGAGGGCTGATTATTGTGCTGGGACTGGAGCTGGGCAGGCAGCAGTGCCTGGTGTCTCTGGCTTAATTACAGCTGGAGGAGACGGGAGCAATGAGGCGTGAGCTGCTGGTGACTCCAACACAGGAAACGCTCCTGCAGACGTCCTTCCCTCCTCATTTTTAAGAAATACATGTACAAAGCCTCCCCGATTGAAAAATAATGACCCCACTGGATGGTGACTTTTTGGGGGGCAGCAGGGTCTGCCCTCAGCCTAGCTTCTGGAGCCCCTCCTCACTCTGGTGCTCTCCCCTTTAGCCTCCATCTCCTGACCTCCTCCCTCAGCAGGCTTCCGACTGTCCCCTGGGCTCCAGATGGCAGGGATGGGTTTGGAGAGGTGGCACTGTGAGGTGTGGGGAGGCCTGGCTCCTGCTGGTGGTCCTGAACAGAGGCTGCCATTAGGGTTACAGGTGAGACAGATGGGCACAGATGGGCAGAGCCGATGGCTCTGGAAGTTCAGGGGGTGGCCCAGGGTGGCCCATCTTGCTGGGGCTGCAGTTTCCCTGGGCAGCTGGATGTTGGCTGGCAGCACTGGGCAAAGAGGAGACAGAAGCACAGAAACGGAATCAGGCAGCCCAGCCCAGCCCTCTGTGTCCTGCTGCAGGATAGCCTCCAGTCAGGTAAAACAGGTGGTGGCTTCAGGACTTGCACAGACAGAGCATGTGCTATGTCACTGGGAAGGAGCTCACCGGGAGACAGATGGGGCCTTGGGAAAGCGGGTTCCTGCTGTGGAGCCTCAGTTTCCTCATCTGTGACACGGGGCTTTGGTGAGGGTTGCTGTGAGAATGAAGAGTGAGTGATTTGTGAACAGCCAGCTCACGGCTGAGAGGTGGAGAAAGAAGATGGGGCTGTTCTCTTCCCCAGCTGGAGTCTTGGAGGACAGCAGCTGCCCAGAGGAAATGGAAAGTTAGGTCCGAAGGCTGCTTTGAAATGGTTGGAGGCTGGTTACCCTGAACCCAGCTCTGGTTTGGCTGCTATCAGCTGGCTCACTGGTGAAAACCTCAGAGCTTTTTTTTTTTTTTTTGGTGGGAATTAGAGCCCATGATGGGTGCATGTATTTGGAAACCATAACACTCCATTGGCACATGCGAGAGTGGTTTGCGATGGAACTCAGTCCTCACAACACTGAGGAAACACAGTTGGGAGACTGAGGCACACAGAGAAGGTGGCTCACCCAGGGCCACACGGCAGGGAGATGTGGCAGCTCTGATGGGGACGTCCAGCCTGGTGGCATCTCAGCATACACAGTTAGGGGGTTCCTCTTAGAGAGAAGGAATACAAAATCCTGCGGCGGTGGATATTCAGACATGTGTGGAGTCCCAGCAAGTGGTCCATTCTATATTAGGCAAATATTAGAGACGGCAACGCAGCCAGGCCCTCCCTGCCAGGAAGTGTGGAAACCCTGAGGAATCAGCACCCGCTGTCACTCGAACCCAGGCCTGGACTCCTGCCCCAGTGCTCTTTCCACCAAAGCACCTTCCTCGAATGCACCCGGTTTCCTGGGAGTGAGCTTCTTTGCCACTGGAATGAACAAAAAATCCAGATGAGGATTTCAGGGTGGCTCTGCCCTGCCTGCCTCACACCGCCCTTTCCAGAACAGGCGGGGGAGCGCGAGGCAGGGCGGTTCTCGCTTGGAGACGGGTGGGTGGACTGGAGGGCAGAGGCAGGCTCTGGGTTCTGCACCCATTTACATATCCCCTGCGCACTGTCCGGAGCACTCCTTCCCTTCCCTGGTTCCTCAAGGCACGGCTCCCCCAGGCAGATGAAAGCTTAATAGAGTTTTGCGACATGAAAGTCAGTCGGAGGAAAGAGCCTTGAACAGTTGTGCGTGAGAGAGAGGCAAGCGCCCGAAATTATTTTACGACAAAGGCAGCTCTCTCTGCCACAGAGGCACAGAGGAGAAAGGAGCCCAGGAAACGGGTCATTTCTTTCGTGGAAAAATGGAAATGCTCTGAAGCATTTTGGGAGACGTGCTGTGAAGCAGGTGACACCAGAAGACAAGGACACTGGGGGCTCCCTGCCGGGAGGCGCAAAAAGCAACTCCCGTTCGAGGGTCAGAGGAGCCTGGATGCTAATGTCTCTCCAAAGTGACTTGGAGCCAACTGCCGGAAAGGCCATGCCCTTAGGAGCACAGGCAGGTCCCAGCTCAGGTGAGCCTGAACCTTCTGCCCCATCAGGAGGTTCCAGTGGGAGGAGCTCAGGTGGGGAGGAGTCGGAAGTCAGGATTTCATGCCTCCCTCATTGGCTCTGGGGTTCCCTTTAAGGTGGACACTCGGTGTGGGCAGTGGGAGGCAAGAGTGAAGCAGAGGAGAGCAAGCGTGGTGGTTTAGCAAAGTAAAGCAAAGTAAACCTGGAGGGAGCAAATGACTTTGTCCTGGGTGTGAAAGGGTAAGGCCCCATTGTAGGTCATTTATTCATTCAACAAACACGGGTTGAACTGTGTCTTGGGCTGGCCTCAGAGAAGCTCAAGAAAAGAAAGATGCTGTCATTGCCCCGAGGAGCCACTGTCTGGCATGCAGGCCAACTGTGACAAGCTGTGGTCCAGGTGAGGTGGGGTCTGGACAAGCCAGGAGGGGTTCACTGTGGATGAGCCAGGGAATGGGGAGAGGCCCCAGAGACGGGCTATGAAGACCAGTCTTGGGGCAAGAACAGTAGGTGGGGAGGGGAGGGAGAACCTTCCAGCAGGAGGATGCACCTGTGGCTAAAGCTTGGAGGTGCAGGGAACGCCCCCAAGCACCTGGGGCCACAGTGCAGGGTGTGGCCAGGACAGGAGTCCTGGAGCTGGACAGCCTGAGGGGCCACATGGTGCTGGGCTCTGTTCCCGGTGGGGAGGGGTGGGACTGTCCCTGTGGACAGCAGGGGGCTACTAGGGGCCCTGGGGAGTGGCAGTGAGGGCAGATACAGGATGTGGCCAGGTGGCGCTGGCTCAGGCAAGTGGGATGGGGAGGGGAGCAGAGGCTGCAGCCAGGAGGGCAAAGGGGAGGTGGCTAGGCCATGGAGGGGAGGAGGAGCATGGGGAGAGCAGCATTGGGGGAGCTCCAGAAGGCCCCTGGTGTCAGAACAGAGGGCAGACCTGCTCCTCCTCCTCCCTCCCTCTCTGCAGCTGCAGCCGGAAGGGCCTTGTCCCTGGGAGGGCTGCCTTGACTCCTCCCCTCCAGCCCAGGTGACTTCCGTGCCTCTCTGTGTCCTCCAGGGTGCTGGGCCCCTGGCCAGCCTGTGGCTCCTCCATGCCCCTGAGTGTGTGGGCAGCTCTGCGGGATGAGAGGATGTCAGGGCAGGGCCCACCCTGAGCTAAGTCCAGTTGTCATGGATTTTCCTTTGTTTATTCCATCTTGGGGTCAGACCTAGCCCAGTGCTGGCCAACCCAGCAGTTGTGCTAGCCCAGGACATATACGGGAGGTCTCATGTGTGGCCCGAGCCCACCCTGTCTCGGTCCAGGACTAGGAGGCTGAGGGTCTGGCTGGGGGCAGCATCCCTGGACAGTGGGTGTGGCCAGGGGGGCTCCTTGCCGGGGGATATGCCACAGAGCCCCGCTTCACCACTCAGGGCTGTCCCCGTCCAGTTGCAGGGGACCTGCAAAGTTTGCTCCCCCATGGGGACCTGCAAAGTTTGATGGGTCTGTGTGGGAGTCACTTGGCAAAAAGGGGACTGGCTCCTGCGAGAATTCCCAAGAGGATTCGAAATCCCTGGAGCTTGCCAGACTTCTGCTAGCTGGGGCCAGGGCACTGCCGTGACTCCTCAGTTCTCCCGCTAGGGAGATGGGGCTAAAAGTCTTGCTCTGCCCACCGCAGGGTCTTCTTGGGAGAATAAAACGAGGCCAAGCGTCTCCAGAAAGCTTGGGGCTTCTGCGATCAGGGGGTTGGGATGGAGGCCCCACAGAGCCAGTATCAGCAGAGCAGGGCAATAACCCACATTTCATAATCCTTGAACTTGGACAAACAGACACTGGGTCCCATGTCAGCAGGCCTAAGGCCGGAAGGGTGGCTCGCCACCTTCTGAAGACAGGGATCAGAGGCCCAGACAGGGATTCCGGGGCCTTGGGGCCCCAGCACCATGCCCGAGCTCCACGTGAGAAGATGAGCTCAGGCCTCCGCTCCCTCTAAGCTGGTGGGTGGGAATTTGGGATGGGATTTGTGCGAGGTGAGGAAAATTGTTTCTAGTTTCCTCCTTATGGGGCCTGAGCTGGGCCCCTGTGTCTACCACTGGGGCAGGCCTGGGCCCAGCTGTGGATAGCTGCCATGCCGGCCACTTCACCTCTGGCTCTGCCAAGCCTTGTCCCCGTGGGGCCGCCCTCCACCCCGGCTCTACTGTGCCAGAAAGGAGGCCCCAGAGGCCAGGAGGCACCTGGTCAGCCCACACCTACACCGGCCAAGTAGCAGGTGGACTTTTCACGTGGGAAGCCAGACCAAATCTCTGGGCTCCATTTTCCTGCTAAAGGGAAACAGAAAACCTGGAACCCATCAGTTGTCATTGGGGATGGAGGGGACAGAAGGGACAGGGCCACCTCAATCCTGTCCCTCGAGACCTGAGACAAAGATGTACAAGGTGTGGAGCAGGCAGCGGGACCAGGTTCACTCCCAGAAACCTGGGCTTGGTGAACTAGGGGAGCCTGAGGCTTCGGGGTAACCGGAGAGAACGAGAGAGCTTCCGCACAGTGAGGCTCGCGGCAAGTGCGCAGTAAATGTTAGCCCTGTGGCTGCCCTCCCCGGGACTCAGTTGACCCGTCTCGTCAAACAAAGAAGTCACTCAGAGCATTGGTTCACCCAGGTCCAGGGTGCTGAGAGGGCTGTTCTAGGGGTCTCTGGGTCCCCCATGCCTCCCTTCAACCAGGGAAACTCCCTGAAAATCTATTCTACATTTTGGGCTTCTGGATAAGAATTCACGGGAATAAAGGATCCCACAACTAAAATACATTTTGTAAAAAGGCTGGTTTGGAGACGCATGTGCATACAAAGGGCAGCCCGCAGCCCTCCTGCTCCAAGTCTGTTGGCGGAACTTAAGCCCAGGCAGCCTGTGTGCAAGGGGAGGGCAGCCTGGCTCTGTAGGAGATGGCTGGTTTCAGGGTGGCCTTGACCTTACTATCACGGAGTTCAGTGACCTCTTTGCAGACCTGCTCTGGGCTCAGCTGGGATTCCAGGGACTATCAGCAATTGGAGGGGAGTGTCCCTCCCCACTGAGAGAGGTGGAGAAGGACAGGAGCAGACAGCCCTGCAAATGACTCATCCCTGCCCTCCGTGCCTCAGTGCCCTCATCTGTGAAATGGGTATAATAGGAGTGTCCCTCTTCATAGCGTTGCATGGATGAAATGAGATAATGCATCTAGAGCTCTTAGTGTGGGCGGCCTGGCATGTAGTAAGTGATCAATTAATGGTGGCATGAGTCACTGTTACTCATATTATTATTCATATCGCAGTGCCCTTCGGCTTCTTCAAGAATGTATACTGAGCTGGCCTCACTCCAGAGTTGTTTACTTGTGCTTGTCTTCACAAGGTAATTGAGAAGAGGCCAAAGAGAGCAAGGGCCAGCCCTCCGGCCGCCTGCTTCCCAGGCCGGACTGTTTCCTTCTCCAGGGCCACCTCTGCAAACTCTTCAAAAGAAGCAAGGTCATACTCCCTAGTCTAAGCAAAGGAGGAAACCAAAGGCAGCTTTGATATGTCAGCTTAGGGAACAAGCTGACGGCACGGATCACAAGCGCTGGGTTCTGCCTGAGCAAATGGCTCTAAATGACGTACTTCAGGCTCTCCTCTTAATGTGCTGGGTGTTTATGATTTTTTAAGAAGTGCCTCATCAAAAAAAATGCAATAATGATGCTCCTAACTTAACAGCAGCACTTTAGAAGAGATGAATTATTCACATCAGAGATGAAACAGGGACTCTACAAACTGGGCCAGCTGAAGCAGTCCCTTTCCCGGGAACTATTTTTATCTTTTTTTTACAGTCTTTCATCTTGGGAGACACGCGGTTCGCAATGTACGGGGAGCCCATTGCTTGGAGCCCAAGCTGGCAGGATGTCAAACCTGAAGTACTAGGCGTCTTGGAGCTTCTGCCTGGAGTACGAAATCCGAGGAAACTGAAGTGTGGAAAACGGGGCAGTAGCAATGTGAATGAGGATGATTGAGGGGTGCTGGGGACTCCCTGTTTCTTAACCTTGGAGGGCTCTCAGAGGCATGCTTCTCCATCGTCGACCCAGGGCACCATGGAGCTATCTTGCCCTTTCTTTTCCTGACATCCAATGATTCCCCACCTAATAGTGCATGGAGCTCTTGGGAAAGAGTGTATAGATTCTATATGGTGTGCATGGAGCAGCTGGCCCTGAGGAAGGAAGGGATTTCATTATTGCAAGGCTCAGGGGCAAGTGTGGACTAGCAGGGTCCCAAACTCTACAGGCCTTGACAGTCCAACATTGTCACACTCAACACTCGCCCATTTGCTTTAAAAAGCACCCTAGACCTGCACTCTCTGATATAGCAGCCATGAGCCACATGGGTACTGAACACTTGAAATGCAGTTTGACCAAATCGAAAGGTGCTGTGAGTGCAAGCAGCATACGGGACTTCAGAGACTTAGTACAAAAGGAGAATGTAAACGATCTCGTGAAGATTTCTACATCGATTACACATTGAGATGATAATATTTTGAATACATTGGGTTAAATAAAATATATTGTTAAAATTAATTTCACCTGGTTAAGAGCCAGGTGAAATTTACTTTTCAAAACATGTTGCTAGAAATTGTGAAATTACTTATGTGGCTCACTTTACATTTTTTTTTTTTTTTTTTTGCCCAGGCTGAATGGAGTGCAGTGGCGTGATCTCGGCTCACTGCAACCTCCGCCTCCAAGGTTCAAGCGATTCTTCTGCCTCAGCCTCCTGAGTCGCTGGGATTCTAGGCACATGCCACCACACCCGGCTAATTTTTGTATTTTTGGTAGAGACAGGGTTTCGCCATGTTGGCCAGGCTGGTCTCGAACTCTTGACCTCAGGTGATCTTCCCACCTCGGCCTCCCAAAGCGCTGGGATTACAGGTGTGAGCCACTGCACCCGGCCTCACTTTACATTTTTATTGGACAGCACTGCTCTAGAAAGGGAGCTAGGAAGATAGTAAGTAGTGGCTGACTCTTGGTGGTGGAATTACAAAAGCCTTTCCCCCCTCCTTTTTTAAAAATAATTTTTCTGTGTTTTTTAAGCTTTGCAGAAATGCCACAACTAGCCATTCTTGCTTTATATCTGCAAAGGCACATCTATTATTATTTTTAATGACTCTCAGAGCTTGTTGGGAAATGGGACTGAGTTAAGCAGCTTCCTGGAAGGATCAGTGTCAGCAACCATGCTGTGGGGAGAGTCAGGGAACAGCAAGAGTGTCGGGGGCTTTGAGGACTCCAGAGATTTGAACTGGGCTCAGGGTTCAAGAGCTCAGGTAGGAACCAGAACCCCAGTGAGGGGTGATGGGGAAGCTTATTAGTGAGACACAGGAAGTGGCTCCAGTGATGGCTTCATGGCTTTGGCCTGGTGGGGCCTCTTCCGGTGTACACAGCAGGAAGCTGTGCTCTTCCTGATGGACGTCAGCTCCTATCTCTCCTGGGGAGTGGAGGCTGCTCTGGAGTGGGGCCAAGATCGGGAGGCCCAGGAGAGAAAAGGGCCTGCAATCTACCTCCCAGTCAACAAGATGCTATAATAAAAACATAGCCAACTGTCACTCAGCGTTTATTACGGTGCCAGGTGCTGCTTCACATACTTTCCATATTTTAACTCATCTATTCCTGAATTGCAATCTATGAGATAGGAACTATTATTGTCCCCATTTCACAGATGAGGAAACAGGTGCAGAACCGTGGAGTAACCTGCGCAGGGTCTCCAGTAGAAAAACAGGCCCTTGGTCAGATGAATTTACCCACTTCGGCCACCAGGGGCGCTGTTGGCACAGCTTGAACTCGAGACCAGCGCTGTCCAACGGAAACCGAACGTAAGCCACATTTCTAAAAAGTACACAAGAAAAGTGAAATTAGTGTTATATTTTCTTTAACTCGGTATATCCAAAATAGTATCATCTTGGCATGTAATCAACACGACATTTATTAGATACTTTACTTTTTTTTTGTTAGACTGTGTCTCGAAATCCAACATGCTGTTTGTACTTAAATGCACTTTAGATGTGAGTTCCATTTTAGGCACCCCGTAACGATATGTGGCTCGTGGCTGCTGCATTGAACAGTTCAGCCACTAAAATCAAAGAACTAGCCCAGGATGGCGAATTGGTCCATCCAGTCTACCAACCCTGATTGTTGGTGTTGGTGCTTGGAGGCATGCTGTGATTGATTAGCAATGTCTGCTGTGAACGTGGAAGGGGCACTGTGGGAGGGTCTGTGTCTCCTGTATACTGACTGATCATGAGCCATGCCAGCACAGTGAAAAGAGACCTCTGTATTCCTGTGGGTGGTCGTGCACCAAGGGTTGTGGTGACCTCCCCCTCCTCTGCCCTCCTGTGGTTTTTACTGTGTGCGGTGGGCCAGGCTCCAGGTATACTGATCCTGGGTCCTGTGTTCACATTCCTGTGCCTCTGTTTTCTGGCTGTGACTCCAGATGAGCCACTATACTTCTGCGAGCCTCAGCTTCCATATCTGAAAAATAGGCGTAATAACCACTACTTAGCAGGACTGCTACATATATGAAGAATTGGCATTCAATAGACATAGAGTAAGTGGTGGCTCCCCATTCTTCCTCCTGCTTCCCCCCCACTCTCCTCAAGACAGACTCAAAGTCTGTCCTCACCCAAAACCCTCTCGGGAGGCAGACAGCTCCTTACTGCGCCTTCTTGGCGATCTCTCTGCCCCATCCAAGGCTGAGTGAGGCCTCCTGCTTGCTGGCTTCCTGCAGTGCCCCTCTGCCGGCCCCTTCTGTCAAGGCCAAGGACCGACTCAGCCCTCAGCAAGCTAGCACAATAGCCCTCCCCATCTCTGGCTCCAAGTGGGCTCTCACCTATCAGACAGCTGATGATGCTGAGACACTCTGCTGGTTCCATGGTTTTTTTGTTTTAGTTTTTTTGAGACAGAGCCTTGCTCTGTCACCCAGGCTGGAGTGCAGTGGCTTGATCTCGGCTCACTGCAACCTCCACCTCCCTTGTTCAAGCGATTCTCCTGCCTCAGCCTCCTGAGTAGCTGGGATTACAGGTGTGTGCCACTATGCCCGGCTAATTTTTTTGTGTTTTTAGTAGAGACAGGGTTTCACCATACTGGCCAGGCTGGTCTCGAACTCCTGACCTTGTGATCCACCAGCCTCGGCCTCCCAAAGTGCTGGGGTTACAGGCATGAGCCACCGCACCTGGCCCTGGTCCCATGTTTTTTAATAACCACCCCCCTCGGCCACTGTAGACAAGGACGTTCTCTTCCCGGCCTCCAGTTAGGACACTGGCTCTCCTCCAGCTCAGCATGCAGAGGCCTCCCATGGCCTGTGCCAGTTAGCACCTCTCCCAAGACACCTGGGGCCCCCTTCTGGGGAGGAATTTACAATCAAGCAACATCTGGCAGAGAGTGAACTGTAAATGGTGAACACGCTGGCGAGGCAGCGACTCCAATTAGGAAACAACTAGATTTCTCTAAGTATGATGGGAAAGTAATTCTCTGGCCAACAGAGTTTAATCAGAATGTTTTATGCAAGACGTATCCCTGACCCTGACAAATCTTCCCCTTCTTGCTGGAAATTAAACAAATACATTGTCAGCGCGGATTCCGATGAGCGCATAAACAGATGTGGGCTGGTACAATCATGAAATTGAGGAGTTTCAATGACTGAGACGAGCAAGAAACAGGCTGGAAGCTCTGCTGTGTCCTCTAGGCTTTTAGCCATTCCTGCTGTGTGCTGGGGGCCCCAGGAAAACAAAGACTTTCTGCCTTGTCTGTGGCGTCTCTCCATACCCCACCCCCAAAGAGACATCCTTTTCCTCCTTGTGACCCTGTAGTCTAAATGGCATCCTGAATTCCCTTCGGTTCCAGCTCCTGCCACCCTGCCCTGGGAGCATTTGCCCCAGCATCTGTCTCCCCTGGCAGGCCGTTCTGATGTGTCTTCACAGCCCTGGCATCCGGGACAATGCCTGGCACACAGCAGACCTTGAACAACTGTTTGCAAGAGGAAGAGAGGGAGGGCGGGAGGGCGAAGTCCGGGGACTCTGCCTTCCAGGAGGTTCCGTGATCAAAAGCTGACTTGCTTCTGAGTCTGTGGAGCTGAGCTGCAACTCAGCCAGGCTGCAACTCTGTGTGAGGCACTGTTTACTGACCAGGAAAGTGGGCAGAATGGCAGGTGGTTGCTGTGAGAATTACTTAAGGCAGTTGACTCATCTGGCACAGAAGAGGCATGAGCTGGTGGTGGTGGCAGTCGGTGGCTCACACTCCATGGGAAGCAACACTCACTGTGCCGAGTGCCTTGGTGGCAGTGTCGGGGCAAAGACAGAAGGAAGGCGGGAGAAAGACCAATGGTTCCATCCCAGAGGAGGGTGCTACTGGGCTGGCTCTTGAAGTCCCAGAGAGGTGACTCACCTAAAATCTCTCAGAGGGGGACGTTCTCGGGGCAGCCTGGCTTCCCCAGCGCCTTCGGAACCTAACACCTGGGCTTTCCCCCTTGCGCTTTCCCAGGCGCTTTTGGTAGCGTGTAGGCTCATGGACCCTTACCCAGGTCTTCTCATTGACTGTGGAAAATCACCTGGAAAACTTTAGAAGATTCTATTCCCCCAGACCAGCCTTGGAAGTTCTTGTTCAGGAACAGCAGGATGAACCCTGCCTCAGGGTTTGGGACAAACTGCCCAGGTGTGGACCATCCATTTAGCAAATGACTGTAAACGGTAGTGCTTTAGTGACTTGAGCACTCAATGGGATCCAGACAGACAGAGCAGGTGAGAGAGGACTGAGTGGGTCAGAGCCAGCCTGGCCGAGTCCCTGCTCTCCACTCTCCAGCCCTTCCCACTGTGTTCACCTGGGGGCAGGGATTTCCATTGCACAGGGAAGGAATGTGCTGTGCCCAGGGACACCTCCCCCATGGATCCCCATCCAAGGACTAGAATGCTGCCTGGCCCCTTGCTACAGCGATCCCGTGCTTTCCTTTCTCTTTGAGTTGGTACTGTTATCTCAACAGCCTTGGCTTTCTGGGTGAAGATCAGCAGCCATCCAGGCAGGCATTGCAGAGTGATAGATTCTAGGGTCAGACAGGCTGGTGCCCTCCTTATATTATTGACAAAGAAGAAAAAGAGCTCAGGGACAGAGTGGACCCCCTCATCATTCTGGCTTTGGAGATGTGAGACTGTGCTTCTCCTTCTCATGAGACACAGGGAAGAATTCAGGGGGATAAGTACAGACTATGCCAGTAGCTCAGACAGTCTTGGCCTGCATCTCCAGGCGTCCAGGGGGTTGTGAGGTGGGTGGAGCTGGTGAAAAGTGCTGAGGTCGCCCTCATGCCTCCCAAGCCTACCTCAGGCATCTTGGAGAGGGGCTGCAGAGAGCTGACGCCTCAGCGGAACACCCGCGGTAGTCCCCCAGCCCTCAGCCTTCACTCCCCTGGCCCTACCTCTCCCAGGCTCTTGGCCCCCTCTCTCCAGCCGCCTGTGTGACTGTAGCCACCATCACGGGTCTGAATAGCACATGGCCTTCTGGGAGGCGAGTGGGGCTTGAGTCTCTTCATTTTACAGGTGAGGAACGTGAGCTTGGGGAGGCAGAGGACAAAGCCTGGCCTGCAAGACACTGAGCTTCACCTCTTCCAGGAGGACGACATCATCACCATTTCTCAGATGAGGAAACTGAGGCTCAGAGAGATGCAGTGACCCACCAAGGCTGAGTGCAGGAATGTTGGCCCTCAGCATCCACCCTGGGCCCTGCATTGCCCTGGTTGTCTATGTGGCCCCAGCCCTCCTGGGCCATTTTGATCTGTTTTGTGCATTTGGGGCACGTGTATGAGAGCATGTTTGGAGAACTATGCTTTATAGCAAGAAGGTTTGAAATCACCAGACTCAGCCTTTCAGCGTAGGAGGGAGACTGAGGCTGGAGAGGGCGAGGCAGGAGCCTGGCCCACATGCAGGGCCGGGAGTCTCCCTGGGCAGCAGAGGGTCTGGGCAGAACATGGATGTCCATACGGTTATTAAGAAGGGGTGGCTGGGCACCCTGCCCGAAATGTCCTCGGTCACCCACTCACGTTCCAGGAGGCAACTGGGCCCCGGGAAGCGAATTCTCCAGGCCTCCTGAGGAGCATTCATTAGCCACGCACACAGATGGAGAGCAGCGGCGCCCGGGAGGCCGGAAGCGGCCCCTCGCTGCTCGCCAGTGGATCAAATGTTCCCTGGCTGGGTGGACATGGGTATTAGCCCTCTCTTGTCCCCTAAACGCTGATGCCTGGTCTCATCTCGAAAAAACAGTCCCTGTGGCAGTGCCAGGCAGCTGGGCTCTCACGGAGGGGGCCGCTTGGCCTCAGGACCCAGAGCAGCCGTGGCCAGATCTTCCTGTAGTCCATGCAGCTTCCCCTGGCCACCTGGCCAGTTGTGACCACACCTGGGACACCAGGCATGCACAGTGGGCCTGGCCTGGTGGCTCGCCCCAATGCTAACTCAGCGGCTGGCTGGGGTCGGAGGCATGAGAAGGGGCAGTGGTCTCTGGCTTCCTGGATGGAGTCTGAGAGGCAAGGAGTGCCAAGAGCCCTGTCCAGTGCAGGGGGAGATGCGCACAGAAGACAAAGAGGAGGCAGACCAAGATGGACAGGGGCAGCGGTGAGGGGTGGGCATGAAGGAAGCTTCTGGAATCAGGCTGAGGAAGGGAGGGGGTCAACTGCTGGCTCTTCAAGAAACCCTGCTATAGCTGATCTGTAAGCTACGGACCACCCAGCAGCCTCACACATGCACACAGGTGCACATGTACTCACACCATCTACCCTCACACACACCTGCGCACACACTCATATGTTCCCCCATGTACACACAGTCCCAGGCCATGCCCTGAGAGGAATGGGCTGTGTCCAGAGCCACTGGGGGCAGAGTCCAGTCAGCACATGTCGGGGAGGCAGGCAGGCGTCCTGGTGCACAGCCATGGAGGCAGCCTTCCCTGGGCTAGAATGCCTTGGAACCCCCGCCCCGCACCCAGGCACCCAGGCATGATGAGGCCTTCCCCTGGCACAGCACAGGCTGGGCCCAGCAGAGCTGAGCTGGGCAAAAGTGATGCCCAGTTCTCTGTGCTCTGCTCCATTCATCTGGGCTGGGTCTCAGGATGTCCCATCCCCCAAGTTCCCCTGTGTCTGGGGTTCCTAGGTTTGGGTTCTTGCCCACCTGCCTCTCTGCCTCAGGAGGACGGAGTGGCCGCATGAGGAGGGGGCTTTGATTGGGGGTCTGGCTGTGACCGGTGCTTTGCTTGGTTACTGATCATGGGACCGCCAGCCTCAGCCTACTTGTCCTTCTGTGCAGGCATCTCCTGAGCACCCAGTCCCTGGCAATTCAGTCTGGTGAACTGGCTGCAGAGGCTGGGCTGAGGCTTCTGTGCCCCCGTCTGTTTTAATGACTTCCTCTAAGGAGGTTCAGGCTGGCTGCAGGCTGGCTTCCTCTGACATGAAGGCGTGTCCTTCTAGCAGGAGGTCACTGGGGGGCTGTGTCTTCCCGGGGTCTTCATTCCCACATGGGGCCCATCCCTCGAAACAGTTAATGGAGGCCTGCCAGGTGCTGGTGCTGGGCTGGCGTTGGGGCCTTCACACAGGAGGGCGAGCCTGAGACCCTCTGACGCACTCCTCCTTGCCTCGGCACAGCTCCAGCCAGGGGGACTGAGGGAAGGCTTCCCAGAGGCGGTGACCCTGACATTGGGTTCCCAGGAGTGAAGAACATTTTGACAATCAGCAAGGAGAGCGTTCCAGACGAGGAAGCTGCATGTTGAGGTGAGGAGGAAGGCACGGCCCACAGCCCTGGAACTCTGGGAGCTGGGGCTCTTCTTAGGAGCCTCCTTGAGCACTTTTAAGCCTGATAAGAGCTATGATTCCTGAGGGCTGAGAGCACTTAGCTTTTACTCCTGCGTCCTCCTACTGAGCACAGTGCTGATACCAGTATCAGTTGAATACGCGAACGTGCAAACTGCCCCACCCCCGCCTTGCTCCAACACACACACACACACAGACACTCTTGCAGAAACAAATGTTCAATGCTGGCTGACATACAGCGACAGAAGAACAATTGGGGGAAAACACTCCTTCCACTTCACGATCTTCGCACACGCTGTCTGCCTGACGGGGACACTGTGCCATGCCCGCCCCCAGTCTGTTCTCAGGGCGTGCTGTGTCTGTCTTATTCCTGCGGTGTCCCTCCTGCCATGCACAGAGCTGTCCATTGGTAAATATTTATTGCTTGAATTCATGTGCTCCAAACACAGAAATATGTGCTGCATACCATTTAGTAAATGAAGTTGCTAAAGTGAATGTCCACACGGGGCTCCTGGCTGATGACAGAAGACTAAGACAAGAAAAGGGGAAAAGTGGGGCAAAAACGCACCAGGCTTCTGTTCAGCAATGTGTCTCCACTTAGAGAAACGGCCCCTGGCTGCCTGTCTAAGCCACTACTCCTTGCTCAGAGAACAAGAAGTTCCTTGCCTCTCTGCACATGCGGAGCAACCCTGAAGCCTCAGTTTCCCCATCTGCAGCATGGGGACAGTGAGGAGCCTACAGGGTTATTGTGAGGATGGGTCATAATAACATGGACAAAACACTCAGCGTGGTGCCTGGCACAGAGCAGAGTCCTGGGAGTGGTGATGCTCGTGGTGGTAAGGGCCACCCACCTGGAACCCAGAATGTGGCTCTTCCAGGGATGGTGGCAAACCTTTGGCCACCTTGGCAGTGATGAAACACCAGCCTTTGGTCTCTGGCCAAAAACTGCCTCTCCGGGGGCCTACCCCATGCCTGGCATCCTGAACTTGCTCTTGGGCTATTTAGAATCAACCTGATCCCTCTTATCCACCCAGACTCAGTTTCCCAACCTGGTAAATTGGGGCCAGTTGAACAGGCTGACATTCCCTGACAAACAGCCTGTCGTTCTATTGCCGCCTGCTACAAGTGCACCTTTCACTTTCTGCAAACAAAACAAAAAATAAAAAAAACCTCTGCTGCTTCCTGGCATTCTTGGGGCTCGCTCATCCGGGGGTGGACCAAGGGTGGGCCTCTTTTCAGGGATGCCGGTGCTGTGACCTCCCCCAGGGCCCATCTCCACTGGGGCAGCTAGAAGGGGAGAAGCCGGCTTGAGTTCCCACTCCCCACGCGCCTGCCACTTCCAGCGCAGAAGCAATTTGCTTTCATTATGAAGGCCATGGCAGAGTCTGTTTGCAGAAGGACTAAGCTTCTCAGCTGCCTGTACTGCGGGGAAAATTTTCCTTAATTATTTTTTTATAGCCTAACTTTTGTGTGAGAGGGTTTGTTATTATCCCTGCCTCGCTTGAGAGTCATAAGCCCGCAAGAAGAACCATAAATAAAACTTTACTTAATATTCAAAGTCTGTACGATGAGATGATGGATGGGGGGTGGGCAGGCGGCCCCCCCACATTGGCGGAGGTGCACCCGGCTTTCTGCCGGAAGGCAATTACTTTCAGCTCCTTGTAATCAGAACCGCTTCCTACCTCTGCATTTTGTTTTTCCAACTTTCTCATTTAAAACCAGGCTGGGTGACATTGTATCCCATTTGTATTGTGTCAAGGGAGATTACTTGGGGCGCTGCTGTGCCCAGGGCCACTGGGATGGCAATACTTTACCTGAGAATCCACCTCTGAAACATTGAAGCACGGCGGCAGCAAAGGCAGGGCCATGATTTGAACCCCAGATTCTGAAGCGTGGGGGACAAATGCCTGGCAGTGGAATTAATTTTTCTTGAGGAATAGAAGAGCTATAACGTTTCCCTCTATTATTTCAAAACCTGGAAGCTGACTCTCTAGGGGCCTGAGCTACCACAGGTAAAGTGGAAATGGAGGGGGCTGTCCTGGAATACACCAACGTTCTTGATTCCTCTTCTGCAGGGATCAAGAGGTCTGCTGTGTGACCTTCTTCAAGTTCCTGACCCTCTCTGGGCTGCAGTCACCTTATTCAGAAAATGGAGAGGCTAGACAAGAAAATGATGCTAATCTCACCCTTTTCTGGGCTGGCATTTTATTGAGCACCTACTAGGCGCTGGGCATTTTGCTAGGCCCTTCGTGCACACTGCCATGAGAAATCCACAGCAACCCCAGAGATGGGTTCATCAATAACTCACCAGCAAATACTTCCTGAGGCCCCACTGTGTGCCGAGCATGGGCATAGGTACTGGGCACACCTCGATGAACAAGGGAGGTAAGGATGTGACTCTCCTAGAACTTTCTGTCGAGAAGAGGAGATGGAGAATAAACATGGAAACAAGCAAGATCATTCTGGAGAAAATGCAATCAGATGATGTGCTAGATGGTAACAGAGAGAGGTCGAATGAGAGAGAGGGCCGTGACAGCCTCTCTGAGAAGCTGAAATCCAAGCAGAACCTGAAAGACGAGGAGAAACTCAGATACATAAAGACTGGGAAAAGCATTCAAGTAGAGGGAACAGTGCGTGCAAAGGCCCTGAGGTGGGTGCAGTAGATACCACAGGCCCCCTCACTCGAGACCACTCCAAGCACCTCCTGCCCTCTTGTGCCACAGAGCTCAGAAAGCTAAAGCAATGTTCCCCAGAGGTCCTGTGGCCAAGGTCCTGCATGGGCCTGGGTGACCCCTGCAGAAGCTTCTGAGCAAGACTGAGCAGGGAAAGAAAGGCCATGTCAGAAAACCATCCTCCAGCGAGCATGGAGGCAGAGAGTCTCATCCTGGCATCCCAGGTGCTGAGCAGAGCAGACAGCAGCAGAGGGGCTCCCTAGAGCAGCTGGGGGCCCTGCCTGTGCCGTCGCTCTTTCCCCTCCCTGCCCTCTGGTCTGACATCCCATTGGCATCACACACGATGCCTCCCGGAGGTGCTCTTGTGCACACAGCAGGTCAAAGTGCCAGAGAATTAGATCCTGTCCTCTTGGGAACAGCCCTCAGCCAGCAGTGAGCCCTTAGGAGGATGCTCCAAGCTCTATCCTCCCCGGGTCCAGAGGCCCTGGGATGGAGCGCCATTGTGGAAGCAGTGACAACTTGATGAAGCTCCCTGGGCTGGCCCCTTCCTCTCTGCCTTGTTCCCCGTTCCCTGCAGTCCTGCAATCACCTCCCAAATAAACCATGTGCCCTTGCTGGAATACTTGTCTCTGGGTCTGCGTCTGGGCACCTGCACGGCACGTGCTTGTGTGTTTCTCTCAGCTGATTTTGTTCCCACATGGGCAGAGTCAAGCTTGGTTTCCTGGAGATCTCAAAAGGCTTCGGGCACCCCCGACCAGCCCCATTCTGATGAAATTCATGAGAAGGGATCCCGATGACGACAACTAAGACCTGCTGGATACTCTAGGTGTCTACTCTCATCAGCCCCTTTCTCCAGGCAAGCTCATGAGACTTGGGGATGGCGCTGTCCTGGCTCTTGGGGTGATGGATTCTCAGGCTCCTGCCTTGGTCCTGGGCTGGTCCTCATCCTTTGGTAAGTGTGCTCTTTGCAGGAACTGAAAAGGTTAATGGGGCTTCCGCAGGCTCCCAGCCAGCTGCTAGGTAGCAGCTTGGACAGCCTGACGATGTAGCTCATTAGGTAGCTGATTACAGATGAGGACGGCAGCATTATCTCACTCCTCAGGCAGAGACGCGGCCACGAGCCGGCTGCCCTGCCAGCCCTCTGACAATAGCGTCGCGTTGTTTGCTTAGCTCAGGCAAACATGCTGCTCTGTACCTGGCCGGGGGTTGGGGGTTGGGCTCAGGGACTCAGAGGAGGAAGCAGCTCAGCTTCTCTCCAGGGGCACCCAGCAGACAGTGAAAGCGCCAGCCAAAGCCCCTGGTAACAGGAGACAGAGGGCTCCTGCTGCCCTGACTGCTCTCGACCCGCCCTCGACCCGCAGATACAGGGGTGGGAGCCCACTAACATCCTGTGACCGACACCGGCAGGCAGCGAGAGATGGGAGGCAGAAGAGCGAGCCCAGGGTCCCCAGGGCTTCGTGAAGCTGTGGAACCAACACCAGCAACTGTCCACCTCCAGGTTTCTCTCTAAGTGAGAAAAAAAAAAAAGCCTTGTGTGTTTAAGCCGACACAGATTGAGTTTGCTGTAACTTGCCTCCAATACCATTCATAATTTATAAGCTCATGTGCTGGCCCACAGAAGCAATCTGAACAAATTCTGAAAGTTTAAATCACTTGAGTCATGTTAAAAACAGTGCGGGATCTCCTTTATGTCCTCAGGAAACAACCTCCTCCAGGCCTCCACCCCAACCTTGGCCATCCCTTGGTGAAGGCACTTTACCACATTGTCATATACATAAGTAGCATGTGCTTTGGAGTGTGAGCTCTTGAGGCCAGCCCAGGGTCTGGCACAGAGCCCGACTTGGGGAGATGGTCAGATGGTGTTTGTTGAATGACTGAATGGTGTGCATGAATGAGTGAAATGGGATTCTCATGAGAAGGGCTGATTCAAGACCCTTTCCAATTCTGTGAGTCCACAATTCCTCGCTGAATTTGGGGCTAGTGAGGGAAGAACTGGGAGTTGAGTTGGTGCTGAACTAAAGCCCTGGTTTGTGGTGTTGCCAATTTCCCTGGTGTAAATACTCCCACCATGGCTGGTTCAAGCTGCCAAATGTTTAAAAAACAGCTCACAAGATCTCTTGAAAATTTAACAACGGGTTCTTACGAGCCAGTCAAGCCATCTCCAGCCCCGCGTTTATTTCTACTCATTTTCCTTCCTTCCGAGCAGGAGGCGCAAGGGAGTCCATCTCTGCAATGGAGACTGAGGGGGAAAGGGGCCAGAGGGTGGGCATGCAGATGTCGTAAGGGGCTTGGAGTTTTTCCTAAGGGCAGTGTTATTTATTTTTAAGTGTGTTCAGATTGGCATTTTACTGTGCTTCTGAGTAGTGCAGACAGGAGGGGATTAGAGCCAAGTTGCCATAGGCAGGCAGGGGAGCTGGGAGGCTGCTGGTCCCGTCCCAGTGGAGAAGGAGTGGGGGATTAGGAACTGCTGAGAAGTGGTGGTACTGCAGCCTCATGCTGGCCTGACCGTGGCTGGCCCGGGGGCTGTTACAGGAGGGTGACCCAGCGGGGCCACTGCATGAGTGCTGGTGCCATTTTCTGAGATGGGAAAAAAAACTGGAGGAGGAGTAAGATTTAGGGGAAAGAAGAGGAAACTCTTGCCTGCCTGCCCATTTTCCTCCTGAATTCTCCCCTTTGGGGAGGTCTGGTCTGGGGCCTGGAGGGCTCTTGCATAAGGCACAGCCTGCCATTTGGTTAGTAGGGGAAGGGGTGGAGGGATGGATGAGAGGTTAAGCAGACAGATACTGACTACGGCTGTGTGTGTACAGGGACTTCTGGAGGGTCCTGACATGAGGGGATGCAGTGAGGACACTCCACAGTGCCCGCTGCGGAAACAAGGGACCCAGCTTGAGATGTGCAAAGGACTTTGAACGCCAGGGAGCAAAATGAGTGTGACAGCAAGCAACCTGTGGTCCTCCGGCTGGGACCCTGGCTGGGCTCTGAGATGCTCCCCACTGGGTTTGGGGGGCTGCACGGGCAGCCAGAAGGCCAGCTCAGGACTTTTTCTGGGGGCACACGACACAGTCGTTTCCCAGGCCAGACAGGTACACAGGATTAATAAGGCCAACACGCTCTCCCGGGGGTGTGCAGCTGAGCTAGCCTTGCTCCAACTGAACCATCAATCACTCCCCGCTAATAGCTCTGCAGGCGGCCACTCTCCCCACCAAATTTAAAGCGAGAATCCGGGCTGCTGGGAGGAAGATGCTGCAGCCCCTAACCACCGTAATTATGAAGTCTTGTTGGGGAGAGATGCTTATCTTTAATGTTAAGTGAACAGAGCAGGAGACCAAACGTCCTGCCTGCGTGTGTGCGTCCATGTGCAGAAACGTCTGCCTGGAAACAGGGCTGCCTGAGACCCTGTCACTTTCAAAGTGGGGATGGAGAAATGAGCTGGGGGCACTTCTTACCATTAAAACTGCAATTAATGATATTGATACCTTATTCTTTTATTTTAAAATGTTATCTTTTCTCTTTACCTTAAAAGGAATCAGTTCACTGTGAAATAGGTGGGAAATACATGAACACAAAGAAGGAAATTGAGACCCCATAAGGCCCTGCCACAGGCCAATGACCAGGGTGGGGGTTTTTGTTATGGGTTTTGCCCCATGGCTAGGTGCATGCACGTTTTGTTGTTTTTACATAGTGGAGATGATTCACTGTATTTTTAATATGTATTTTTAAGTAAGTGACTAGTCCCAGGGGTGGGGCTGAACTGAGAATGCACATTCTGTTAATTTAACCAGTAAATCCGATTTTCAAATTCCCCTTACAGGGAGAGAAAGGAGAATATTTTGCTCACTTTCAATCGTTATCGACTCATCCCCCCAAAGCCGGCAATATCGACCCTGCCTTCCAACACACTTCTGGAGCTTGCCCGGCACACGGGGTTGATGCCGGGCGCTCCAAGGGGGCTGGAGCCCTCACCCCGGCTCACACTGGCCTGAGATGAAGAGGCAGCTACAAAGTGCTGAGGCTCAGGTGGTGTCCCTGGAGGAGGCCTCTCTGTGGTTCTCTGTGACTTAGAAAGTCAGAACTAAGGTTGGAGAAGCTCTGTCCTGGAAAGGCATTCTGGGTGGGGGAATGGCCTAAACAAAGGTGGGGAGGCAGGAACGCAGATGAGGAGGCAGGCGGCCCGCAGTTCAGCTGGCTGGGAACGCAGCCAGCTTTTCTTTGGGTGTAGTCTTTTGCGCCCGGGTCATTCTGAAGAGTGACTTGGACTCTGAAGAGGCTCCCTGGTTACTCCCCACTTTTCCTCAAAGCTCCAGCGCTGCTTCCTCTGGGAAGCCTTCCATGGTTTCTCTGACGGAGACACTCCCCTACTCCAGGCCTGCAGCACTCACCTGCATCTCACACTGCGATGCAAAATTTGTGTGATTAATGGGTTCAAATGTGCCCCCCTCCCCTGGACTTTACAGGGTGCTGGAGCTGCTGGCTTGCTGTTCCCAGTGCCAAGTCCCATATGGGTGCTCAGCCATATGGAAGGAAGGTGCTCACAGTCCCCACAATCTATCAACCCACCCTGCGGGTGGAGGTACCGTGACTGTGGCCCCCACACCCCGCCCCTCAAGCTCCTGCCTGGCTGGAGCGCCCGCCTGGACCTGCCTGGCCTCTCAGCTACTTTGTTGTGAGGTTCTAGGCATGGAGATGAGTTTCTAGTGACTCTGGCTTGTTTTCTTCCCTTTTTTCCTGGTGATCTTTCTGTGTAATTAAAAGACAGCTATTTGGCTGGGTGCGGTGGCTCATGCCTGTAATCCCAGCACTTTGGGAGG
This sequence comes from Homo sapiens, assembly GCF_000001405.40. Lineage (NCBI taxonomy): Eukaryota > Metazoa > Chordata > Mammalia > Primates > Hominidae > Homo > Homo sapiens. The sequence goes on from NC_000014.9 coordinate 100,676,966, forward strand.
CTGAGGCGGGTGGATCACCTGAGGTCGGGAGTCGGAGACCAGCCTGACTAACATGGAGAAACCCTGTCTCTACTAAAAATACAAAAGTAGCTGGGCATGGGGGCAGGTGCCTGTAATCCCAGCTACTCGGGAGGCTGAGGCAGGAGAATCGCTTGAACCCAGGAGGTGGAGGTTGAGGTAAGCCAAGATCGCGCCACTGCACTTCAGCCTGGGCAACAAGAGTGAAACTCCCTCTTAAAAAAAAAAAAAAGAGCTATTCTAGGAGACGAGGCAGCTGGAAGCAGAAACGCTGCTCTCTGCTTATGTGTGTGGAAATTTATTGTCTAGAGTACAGAATTCCGCTCGAGGCTCCAGTGTCAAAACAGACGCTAGGGTGAAGACCCAGCCCAGCCTCCCTCCTCAAGCCTGCTCTGCGCCCACCCTTATCCACATGGTGGCTTCCTGGAGCTCTTGCCGCCCCACTGGGTGAGGTGACAGCCTCCATTTCTTGAGGAGCACTAACTCTGCCAGTCTGATGACATCCACAGAACCTGTGAGCCTCACGCCAGGGGGCAACCCAGGCTGACAGCTGTGGTGTCCACCTGGAACCTGCCCCGGAGGGCTTGGAAGTTGTGAAGCCCATACTCCTTCCACCGGGCATGCTGCTGGTGCTGGGTGCCCCGGGGAGCGCAGCAGCACAGCTCCCACCTCCCTGACACAGAAGCCCAAGCCTGTGCTTCTGCCTGGCCTGGCCGTTTGAGAGGCCCCTTCCTTCCCCCAGAACCGGAAACTCCAGGCAATGTCAAGGTCATGCCTAGCCTGGAGGAAGTGCCTGTAAGCGGCCCAGCCCAGAGCACGGCGGGTGCAGCCCCCAGTGGAGACAGCGGGGTCCAACTTCCAGTACCCACTCATTGGCCGCATGCCTCTAGCACAAAGCTGTCTTTCACCCCACTCTGGTCTACAGAATCCTGGGAAATATATTTTCTGGTTGGAAATCCTTTGTTAGTTGGGCCTTCATGGTACTGGCATCTGTGAGCCCCTTTCGGCACCTCTGGGAATGGCCCCCCGCAAACTCGCTGGGTCCCAGGGTGGAGGGTTAGGAGGCCTGGCTGGCCTCGGAGCCTCTGCCTGGCCAGGCCTCCGCCCCTTGGCTCGCCACAGCCCGCAGCTGCTGAGGATAATGCATGCGCTGGCCCGGGCCCAGCTCCCCTAAGCCATGGAGAATTGCAGTTTAGCAAGTTCGTCAAATCCGCCTGAGGCAGGAGCCCAGAGCCACATCTGCAGCATCCAGGCATCCCAGCGGCTTCCTTATCACGTCCGCCTCCACCCAGGGCCTCTTCCCACAGGCCTGGATTAGGCCCCCGGCAGCTGGGCAGGGGTGGGGGCCAGGGGAGCAGGGGACGCTGAGCTGGGGGCCCAGGGCCCCAGCCAGAGAGGCCCCGGTCTGCTCCGCCCTAACTTCCTTGTGTGGCCCTGAGGAGGGAGATGCAGCCTTCTGGGTGGATGGATCCTCCTGCCCATCCATGGGGTCCTGGAGGTGGCAGCCACAGCTGGGCAAACCCATACCCCCAGGCCAGGAAACAGCGGCTGGGCAAGGCTCATGCCGAGGGACCCAGGGGTGGCTTGAAGGGTGCTGGGAGAGCTCGGGCTCCTCGGGAAGGGGGGTGGGTAGAGGGAGCATGGACAGTGGGCCCTGTGCCAGCAAAGCACAGCATCTGGAGGAGGGTGGAGGCAGGAATGCTGTGGGGAGGTGGCCGGCAAGGTCTTAAGAGCCACGCTATGTTGGTGACGCTGGGTCTGGTGAGCTGCTGGGCTGGAGCAGGAAAGCCAGGAGGGATCTGAGGCCTGGACAGGGGGCAAGAAGTCCCCTCCCCTGCATTCTCAGCCTGGAGCCCAAAGATGTGGCATTCAGAGGCACCTGTTTGGACCATCAAAGCATCTGTGAGGTCTACCAGGCACTTCCATGGCTGGGAAACATCAGTGGCCCCTTCCCCAAGAGGAACACTACAGGCTTCATGAACCACGGGGCCGAAGGGCCCAACCACTCCCTTTAGCCCCTCAGGGTAAGCCCAGCCAGGCTGCTGGGGCATCCACAAGGTCCCAGATGCCACCCAGAGACTTGCTTACCTCCGGGACTAGAGAGCTCACTACCTCATTGAACGTGCATTCCTTTGTGGAGGAGGTCTCATAGCTAGGAAAGGGCTTTCTAGTACTGCTCCGGGGCCACAGCGCATCTGGAGGTGGCAGTCATGACCTTCTGGGCCTCTTTCCTCCAAACCAAGTCTCAGGGCTTCTCCTATCTGTTCCTTGCAAGACCCACCGCAGTGCCCTCTCCTGAACAGGCATCAGTTGTCATTTTCTCCCAGAACTGAGTGTTAGTGCCTAGGTACAGTCTGCAGCCGACTCTCACCTCCCCAGCTATGAATACCATGCTCCTGTTAATTAAGCCCTAGGCGATCTGTGTTTTTTTTTGTTGTTTTTTTTTCTGATTGATCCATCACCCCATTGAGTCTTGCAGGGTGGTGTTGGTCCTTCTGGTGGTAATTGTGAATGAAGCAGGGGGACGACACATCCAGCTTGGGGAAACTGAGGCCCAGAGGGACAAGGCCTGGATCAAAGTTACACAGTTCATGGATGGCAGGGCTCAGGGAAGAGCCCTCCTGACCTCTGCCAGCAGCCTGCCCAGCCAGCACACGGTTCCTCCATCTAGGCCGAAAGATGGGCCTATGTCCATTCTCCCTCCTCCCTCCACCCTTCCCGAGGCCCTCTCAACCCTCAGCCAAGCCAGGGAAGGTAGAACGTGAGCGCCCCGTGGGTCCTCAGATGGTCTTGATTACCGACAGAAGGAGAAAGGCCTTTGCCCTGTGTCCTGCTAACTGTTCCAGGGAATCCAGTGCATCCAGAGGCCTGGGGGCCAAGGTCTCACACAGCTGACCGCGTCCAGCACGTTCTGCAGACTCCGGGTGTTTCCAGAGATCGCTGGGCCTGCACATTCCTTCCTGCTGAGGGAACTCCCCAGCAAGGCAGAGGAGGCGGCCAGCTCCAGGAGGGCCTTGTGGTGGGAAAGGAAAGAGCTTGTGTCCACAGGCGGCTAATGTGCACCAGGTGCTGACGAGTGTCTCTCTTGTGACATGAGAAAGTGGGCGCCACACTCTTCTTCTCTTGCAGAGGAGAATGTGACTTAGAGAGGAGATGATAATGGTGGTCCCCTTCCAGGCTGTTGACAACTGACTTGGTTCATGTGAGAGCTCAGCTCAGAGCCTGGGACCAGTGGGTGTTTACCAGGAATTCTACTGCTGTTGTCCCAAGCCACATGGCTAGGTGGCTGCAGACCAGGGATTTGAACCCGTGTCCAGGAGACAACCCAGGGTGGCTCCTTTGTGGTAAAGGCCACGCTGTTTGGGGATGGTCCTCCCTTCCTGCACTGCCACCAGCCTGATCTCCAACCCAGAGGCTCCCAAGTGGTCACAACCCTGGTTCGAGTGTCCTGAGGACCGGTGGGTGCGAGGCGACAGCCCCTCCCTCCAGTACCGGCTGAGAACGCCTGGCTGTGGGAAGCCGAGGATGACCACCCCTGAACTGGGGTCCCCTTCCCTCCGCCTCCCCCCATTGTCACAGGCCACGTGGGTGTCCTGCGGGCAGGGTTCTGCCACCACCACAGAGGGCTGGCCGGCAGCCCGCAAGTTTCCACCAACTAATAAGTTTTACAAACCTCCAGCCTCATAAAAAAGCTCACAGTGGCCTGAACAACCATGGCCAAGAGTCTTGTGGGAAAGCGGATGGCCTTGAGGCCAGGCAAAGGCGATCTCGGCCAGAGGCCACTTCCTGCCTCTACTCAGACCTTTCCTAAGGCTTCAGACGTGACCATGCCCCTGTGGCCCCCTGGATAAAGACTATGCTCCTCCCTCGAGGGACCGGAAGAGGCCCTCAGCCCCAGCTACCGTGCCCCAGCAGCCCCACGCCCTCCTGCTGCCAGTGAGCTGTCTCTGCACTCCTGCTGCTGAGCGCAGGCCTTTGCGTGGGCCTGAATGCCCTTCCTGTCCCACCATTAGGGACACAGAGATAACTGACACTTCTGTATCCCAGAGGGCCCCCGGGGGACACGGCATGTGATTGGACAGTGATATCACAGGCTCTGACTGGGACCTGAGAGGGAGCAACACGGAGTCCGCATCTGGCTTCTCGTCCGAACGTGGGCCAGGGTAGCAAGGGGGCACCCCGGCTGCAGGAAACAGCAGGCTCCAGGCAGAAGGGTCCATGATGCAAACACGTCCCTGAGCAGCCCGCTGGGGACCGGAGGGGCTGATGTGGAGAGTGCCTGGAGCAGAAGCGAGGGGGCATGGGTGGGGCAGTGGGCTGAAGGAGTGCGTGGGTTGTGGCAGAATTTTCAAGAAGGTGGGAGATGGGGGACACACACGTGGAGGCTGATGCTTTCAGGAGAGAGGGACGTTGGGTTTGTGATTCTGGGGTGGGCCTCTGGGTATGAGCTGGGATTTGGGCACGTAAGAGCCTTGGGCACATGGGGTCTTCAGTGGTAGGAGGATGAGGCCACCAGTAGCATGGCAGGAGGGGAGGGCATGGAGCCAGGACTGGCCCTCAGAGTGGCAGCTTTAGGAGGCAAGGGCAAGAGCCAGGCCTTTGGAGAAAGTCTGGGAAGGGGTCTTCAAAGAGGAGGGGGACTCGGGTCCCAAAGCCACAGGAAGAGGTGTTTCAGCAGGAGGGACCAGTCGGCTGCCTGGGGTGGCCACGACAGGAGCCGGGAGGGGTGTCATCGGCCTGGTAACCTGGGTCCTTGGCATCCTTGGGAGTGGGGGTAGAAGCTGGCGGGGGGCAGTGGCACTGGGTGTGAGCAGCTATGAGAAGATGGGGAGGACAGGCTGAGCTGAGGGGAGGGTGGGCGGGGATCTGCCTCCTGCCCCGTAACCCTGATGCTCACAGGGGCACTCCAAGGAGAGAAGGTTCACTCCGTCCCCTGCCAGGGATTGTCTGTGGGGGGCTCCGGGGGCTCTGCAGGACTTTGATGGACTCCTGGGGAGGCAGCTGTGGTTGTGGAGGGGACGCTGCTGCCCCCCGGAGCTGAGTTCATTCCCCATACCCTGCTCATCATGGTGCAAGCTGTCTGGGCCTCGGCTTGCTCATCTGCACTGTGAAAGCGCCAATGGGAACGTGCCGTGTGCTCCGGGTTGTGGAGAGGACTGGACGCCAAAGGTCCCCACAGGCAGGTTTTTCTGTCCCCGAAGTAGGTGGCCAGAGTCTCATAGCTTCTGATGGAGACTTAGCACTCAGTCTGGACGAGCCTTGGGGAGTTGAAGTATGGGCCTGCCCCTTGGCAGACTCAGAGCTGGCCCTTCTGTAAGTGTGCATTCAATCACATGAAAAGTGCCCAGGTCTGAGGAATCATCTGTTACCCAAGTCTCTTGGCAGCTGTCTCTGCTCAACGTGCTGGAGGGGCTGGGAACCACAGAGGGGCTGGCAGGGGCGGGCCAGCCTCCAGTAGGACCACGGCTTTGGTTTTCCATCTGTAAGTGGGGCTGTGGCTACGTGAAAGTGAGCCTGGAGGCCCGCGCCCCCTGAATCCTGATGAAAGGGTCTTCTGCTGCCTGACTATGGGAAGGAGGGGCCATATGGACCTGGAGCATGTTGACGCTGCCAGGGTCTTCCAACTGGACACAGAGGCCAGTCTCTCCCTTTGCAAGGGTCTTCCTTCAGCTGGCCTCAAAGAGAGGCTTCCAGGACCAGAGGGAAGGAACAGGGAGAGCCAGAGCCCACCTCCTCCTAACTCTGCCCACATTGCCCATGGCAGCTCCGTTTCTCCTCTGGAAGCCTCTCCCAAGGGTTGAAGAGAAGCTGGACCCTCCCAACTCCACACACACTCTGAAGATATGCTTCCTATCTGTGCACACATGATCATAGCAGCATCACACACAGTAGCCAGAAGGTGGACACAGCTGAGTGGCCACTGAAGGGTGGATGGAGAAACAAAATGTGGTCAGTCCACACGATGGAATACTATTCAGCCCTGAAAAGGAAGGAAATGCTGGCCCAGGCTACAACATGGGTGAACTTGAGGACATTATGTTGGGTGAAATAAGCCTGTCACAAAAAGTTAAATATGATTCCCTTTATGTGAAGGAGTCAAAATCATAGAGACAGAAAGTAGGATGGAGGCTGCCAGGGCTGGGGGACAGGGAATAGGGAGTTAGTGTTTAATCTTTTGGGGTTTCAGTTTTGCAGGACGAAAGTTGTTCTGGAGACAGACAGTGGTGATGATTGCACACCAGTGGAAATGTACTTAATACCACTGAAATGTACACTTAAAAATGGTGAAGATGGTAAAGATTCTTTTACTACAATTAAAAAATCAAGATTTAGGCTGGGTGCGGTGGTTCACGCCTGTAATCCCAGCACTTTGGGAGGCCGAGGCGGGCGGATCACCTGAGGTCGGGAGTTCGAGACCAGCCTGACCAACATGGTGAAACCCCACCCCTGCTAAAAATACAAAATTAGCCGGGCGTGGTGGTACATGCCTGTAATCCCAGCTACTCAGGAGGCTGAGGCAGAAGAATCGCTTGAACCCGGGAGGTGGAGGTTGCAGTGAGCCAAGATCGTGCCATTGCACTCCAACCTGGGCAACAAGAGTGAAACTCCATCTCAAGAAAAAAATAAAATCAAGATTTGTATTTCATTAAGAGTTCATTAAATCAGTATGGTTCACAATAACCGTCCTTTGCTGTCAAGCTATTACGAAAGATCTCATCAGAAGTCTGCATGTCACTCTTCTTCTCTTCCTTCCTTCCTCACCCTCACGCTTGTTGGTCAGAGCCCTCTCTTAAAGGAAGAAAGCCCAGGGCTCCTGGCCTCCAGCCCAGAGCTCCAGGGAAGGGGCCGGCCATGTCTGAGCTAGGGAAGAGGCTGCAGAAGATAAAGGTTCTGGGGACATGCTCCAAGTTAGAAAGCCAGGTAAGGCTCCCTGACGTCCGCCCAGCAGGACAAAAGCAGACAATTATGGGATGCACCAGAGTCGTGCAGCCCCTTTGGCCCCTGCAATATCAGACGCTTCAGAGACCTGACTGTCTTGCTGTTTGGCTGACGCCGGCCTTAGAAGAACAAGCAGGTCAGAGGATGGAATTAATTTCCTAAAATTGAATGTCATGTTGAAAAGTCATCTCAGGATTTCCTGCCAGAGGGAAGGAGAAATGGCCATTTGGTCTTTGCTCTCTCAATAGCCTGTTGTAGCCTGCCACTTACATCTTTAGTTTTGGGTTGAACCGCATGAAAGTGCCATGTGTTAGGGCAGGAATCATAGAAATAAGCACGTTTATGTAGCATAATTGAATAAAAATAACAGTGAAAAGGTGGTTCCAGAGATGAAGGGAAGAAACAAAACAGACCTCGGCTCTCTGTTTTCTGGGGAAGTACCGGTACTGAGATATCAGATCATTTTGCACGTAATGACACCCCAGTGCTGTGATGAAATTGTCACCAATGCATTAGAGGACTTGAAAATGATATAGCCTCTTTGGAAATGAATAGGCAAGCACGTAGGAAGAGTTATCAAAGGCCAGATGCCCCTTGTTAAGCAGTCCTCCTCCTCCTGGAGATATGCTTCTAAGAAAACCACCTCCAAAGAAGGGAAAAATCATTTTCCTGAAGGTGTTCCACGCGGTGTGAGTTTGACCCTGAAAATCGGAGGTGGCCTCTGCCCTGGGTAACACCAGGACAGCTAAACCCGTAATAGATGCCAGAGACGGGGCAACAGGAACCCCTCCATAGAGAAGGGAAAATCAGACCAGTATGGCGCCGAAGCCCCCTGGTGAAAATGCCACTCATGTTGACCCTGTCCCCAGAAGTTTCCTCTAGGGAATTTTACCTGGTTACTCTCACGGTAGCTAAAATCTGTCAGTTTCATCACTTGGAAGTGGAAGCTTCAGGGGTGAGACCTCTGTGTGTGTGTGTATTTGTGCATGCTTAAAAAACCTCCAACAGGCTGGGCGTGGTGGCTCACACCTGGAATCCCAGAACTTTGGGAGGCCGAGTCAGGATTGCTTGAGCCTGGGAGCTCAAGGTCAGTCTGGGCAACATAGTAAGAGACCATCACTAGCAAAAAAAAAAAAAAAAAAAAAAAAAAATTAGCTGGGCATGGTGGACCTGTAGTCCCAGCTACTCTGGAGGCTGAGGTGGGAGGATCAATTGAGCCCAGGAATTCAAGGTTTCAGTGAGCTATGATTGCACCACTGCACTCCAGCCTGTGTGGCAGAGAGAGACCCTGTTTGAAAAAAAAACAACAAACAAACTCAAAAACAATAAAACCCTCAAACACAGAGTCAGCTAATGAAACAAGACAGGGGAGCGGGCAGAGATCAAATCCGGCCGTGCCTCAGGCTGCCGCAACAGAACTGGGGGCGGCTGGGTGGGGCGTGGGGTCAGACGGGTGCTTCCCTACTTTTATCAGAATGGGCTTTAATGCTTAAGGCTCTCATCCTTTCTTTAAAGATAGAACAACAACAACAACAAGAAAGCTGGACCCAATCTGTGCTCAGACTTGCGGGGTTGGCTCACATTTCCTTCTCGGCCAGGTGTCCTCTGTTACTTTTTGCGCCCTCCCAGGACCTCGAGGGAACCAAACCCTGCTACCCCTCCACCTCAGCCCCCTCCACCTCAGCCCCCTCCACCGCAGCCCCCTCCACCACAGCCCCCTCCACCACAGCCCCCTCCACCTCAGCCCCCTCCACCTCAGTCCCCTCCACCGCAGCCCCCTCCACCGCAGCCCCCTCCACCTCAGCCCCCTCTCCACCACAGCCCCCTCTCCACCTCAGCCCCCTCCACCTCAGCCCCCTCCACCACAGCCCCCTCCACCTCAGCCCCCTCCACCTCAGCCCCCTCCACCTCAGCCCCCTCCACCTCAGCCTCCTCTCCACCTCAGCCCCCTCCACCGCAGCCCCCTCCACCGCAGCCCCCTCCACCTCAGCCCCCTCTCCACCTCAGCCCCCTCCACCTCAGCCCCCTCCACCTCAGCCCCCTCCACCTCAGCCCCCTCCACCTCAGCCCCCTCCACCTCAGCCTCCTCTCCACCTCAGCCCCCTCCACCGCAGCCCCCTCCACCGCAGCCCCCTCCACCTCAGCCCCCTCTCCACCTCAGCCCCCTCCACCGCAGCCCCCTCCACCTCAGCCCCCTCCACCTCAGCCCCCTCTCCACCTCAGCCCCCTCCACCTCAGCCCCTCCACCGCAGCCCCCTCCACCGCAGCCCCCTCCACCTCAGCCCCTCCACCGCAGCCCCCTCCACCGCAGCCCCCTCCACCTCAGCCCCCTCCACCACAGACCCCTCTCCACCTCAGCCCCCTCCACCTCAGCCCCCTCTCCACCTCAGCCCCCTCCACCTCAGCCCCTCCACCTCAGCCCCCTCCACCTCAGCCCCTCCACCTCAGCCCCCTCCACCTCAGCCCCCTCTCCACCACAGCCCCCTCTCCACCTCAGCCCCCTCCACCTCAGCCCCCTCCACCACAGCCCCCTCCACCTCAGCCCCCTCCACCTCAGCCCCCTCTCCACCTCAGCCCCCTCCACCTCAGCCCCCTCCACCTCAGCCCCTCCACCTCAGCCCCCTCCACCTCAGCCCCTCCACCTCAGCCCCCTCCACCTCAGCCTCCTCCACCTCAGCCCCCTCTCCACCACAGCCCCCTCTCCACCGCAGCCCCCCCTCCACCTCAGCCCCCTCCACCTCAGCCCCCTCCACCTCAGCCCCCTCCACCACAGCCCCCTCTCCACCGCAGCCCCCTCTCCACCGCAGCCCCCTCCACCTCAGCCCCCTCCACCTCAGCCTCCTCTCCACCTCAGCCTCTCCACCTCAGCCCCCTCCACCTCAGCCCCCTCTGCTGCCACAGTCCCTTCAGGGTCCCAGGCAGCTTCACCAGGAGTGGGTTGGGGGCTGGAGAGGCAGGAGGGGGAGGGGAAGAGGGGAATCCTCCCAGCAGGAAAGAGCCACTCAGCTGAAGGGGCCTGGGGGCTGCCCAGGGCTCACTCCCATCTGACCGCGCCCACCATCCCACTCTCTCTCCACCACCCTCCCCAGGGCTACAAACTCCTTGCACAGGGGAGGAGGGAGAGCCTCCAGAGGGAGCCCCTCTTCCTGGTCCCGGGATCCCAGGCCTCTTCCTCTCTCCCTGGTTGCCTAGGAGCGGTCATTGTTCTGAAGCCCCAGAGCAAAGGGGATCTCAAACAAATGCTCCATCCTGGGGCCTTCCTGCTGGATCTGACATTTGGGATGTTTTTAATTCCTGGAGAGACAGATTTGCCACAGGGGAGAAATGACCTCTCTGTGGGCCGCTCCTGGTTAGGCTGCCTAGGACGCAAGGGAGCGAGGCAGGAGAGACCATCTCTGTTTTACGGGGCTCTCCCGGTATCTTCAGAGAGTCCAGGTAAAGGCCTGCCTTGGTGCCAATGGCAGAAACCTTACTGGCCCAGACCAGGCCTGGGATTCCTGTGGTGCCCTCGGCTCGCTGCTAGCATGGTCTCAGAGGACTCATGTTGCCCCCATGATGGGAGCCCATGCAGAGTGGGTGGGTGGAGAGGCCAGGAGGCGGCAGGTGCAGATGCGTGTTTGAGGATTGCGTGCAGGGAGGGCGAGGCGGGGGCCCGTGGTCAGTTAGGATCTGTCCGTTGTCAAATGCAGGGAATGAAGTGGCTCTCTCTCTTTCAGGCCAGCGCCAGGCAGGTGGACAGTGTTTCCAGTGGCCTTCCTGTGGCCTCGACATGGTCAGCTCCCGGGCTGCCTCTGTGGCTAGCTCTGGGACCTTCCCAGGTGCCACATCCCTGGCTCCATGGGACCCTCTCCAGGCCTGGGGCCAGCAGGACCCCTGGAGATGTGCCCCTCTTTCTCTGGTTCACACAGCACCATCGACTTGGCCCCCAGCATGTCCTCAGCCACCGTCATCATCTCTCCATCCCTCAGCCACCGTCATCATCTCTCCATCCCTCAGCCACCGTCATCATCTCTCCACCCCTCAGCCACCGTCATCATCTCTCCATCCCTCAGCCACCGTCATCATCTCTCCATCCCTCAGCCAACGTCATCATCTCTCCATCCCTCAGCCACGATCCCAGTTGAGGTCACATCCTACCCACAGGGGCCCTACTGTGCCCCAGGTCCCTCGGCGACCAAGCTCCGGTCCTCATCTCACGTTCACTCTGAACCAAGGCAAGCTGTCTGGACTTCCACCCTGACCATGCCACTGCCCTGCTCACAGCTGGGGCCTGCCAGCCTCGGGATACAGTCCTTGGTCCCCCATTCCAGCCTCTCCACCAGGCCTGCCTCCCTCCAGTCATGTGGCAGCCGTGCATGTGGCCCCTCACTCCGGCCTTGGCATGCCTGTTCCCTGTGCTGGGATGGCCCCATCGTCCCCACCTCACCCTCTGCTTCCTGGCTACCTCCCTCCTCCTGAAGCTCCGCTTACTCCTCCTCTCCTCCAGGAAGCCCTCCCTCACTACCTCCCTCCCGGAACTTCTCCTCCACTTTGGGGCTAACTCTCCCTTCCTGGCCCCCCACCCCCAGCCCAGTCTAATTGGAGTGTGGCCGGAGCTTCAGTCAGGGCAGTGCAGGTTAGCAAATGGTTGTGGATGAGTGCCTGTGGGCATGTATGGGCTTCCAGTTGCCTCTGCAGGACTTGGGTGGGGGAGGAGGTACAGCCCCCCGGGTGCCCCCGTCCACTCCCCTTACCGTAACACCGACCTTCACCAGCCCTCCACTTCCTGGTGAAAAGCAGACCTGTGGCCTTGGGCGTCTGCAGCAAGGCCTCAGCTTGGGTCGCTTCTCTCCTGTCAGCGTGGGCCAGCGTGGGCTGCTGTGGCCCCGGCTGCTCCAGGTTGGGGGGATTAATTGGCCTGTTGCTGGAGGCAGGCAGAGGCTGGACGGCGGGTAGGCAGAGCAGGCGAGGGGGACCCAAGGCCTGAGCCCCTGTGTTTGCGGGGTGAGGGCAGTGTCCCTGGAGGGAGGGGGTGCTTCTGGCCCTAGGCGAGGGTCCCTGGTGAGCGCCTCTGCAGGGACCCATCCACAGGGCAGCCCACATTAGCATTCTCTGCACAAGAGTTTGCAAAGGAATGACTCACACTCTGGCTGACTAATTTGAAAGTAAGCTGCTTTTGCTGCAAGAAGGTTCAGTGAATCTTAAAAACTGCGTGATGGAGATTTTATTCCTTGTTCTAGACCTTTCCTTCTGCCAGGAAGGTGGCTCTGCCTCGGTTTACGCCTTTGGTTTGCTCACCTGGGGAAGTGGTTGGGGGATTGCGGGAAAACTGAGACTCCCAGGCTTGGCTTGCTTAGTGCTCACAGGTCGCATGCCCTCGGCAAATGACTGAACCTCACCGGACAGCAGGGCGCACCCACGGCACAACACACACATTTGGCGGAATGGGGACCCAAGCCCTGCTGAACCAGGATGAGGACCTCCTCCCACACGGGGTGGTGGGCTTCACAGAGAGGTACATGAGGGGAAGGATTATTTTCCCCTTTTACAGACAGGTAGCCCAACAGTGCAGAGAGGTTAAATCATCCATCTGAGGTCACACAACTGCTAGGTACAGAAGGTGGGATCACCCCACCGGGCTGGTCACTGCCCTCAGCCTTCCCAGCTTAGTTCCCCACCCTGAGTTAGAGCAGAGCCTCAAGCTTGAGGAGATGACTTCTTTTCTTTCTTTCCTTCCTTCCCTTCCCTTCCCCTCCCCTCCCCTCCCCTCCCCTCCCCTTTCATCCCCTCCCTTTCCTTCCTTCCTTCCTTCCTTCCTTCCTTCCTTCCTTCCTTCCTTCCTTCCTTCCTTCCTTTCTCTCTCTCTCTCTCTTTCTTTCTTTCTTTCTTTCTTTCTTTCTTTCTTTCTTTCTTTCTTTTTCTTTCTTTCTTTCCTTCCTTCCTTCTTTCTTTCTTTCCTTCTTTCCTTCTTTCCTTCTTTCTTTTTTTTGATGGAGTTTCGTTGTTGTTGCCCAGGCTGGAGCACAATGGGGCGATCTCGGCTCACCGCAACCTCCGCCTTCCGGGGTTCAACTGATTCTCCTGCCTTAGCCTCCTTAGTAGCTGCGATTAGAGGCATGCGCCACCATGCCCGGCTAATTTTATACTTTTAGTAGAGACGGGGTTTCTCCATGTTGGTTAGGCTGGTCTTGAACTCCCGACCTCAGGTGATCTGCCCAGCTTGGCCTCCCAAATTGCTGGGATTACAGACATGAGCCACCGCGCCCGGCCGAGGGGATGACTTTTATCTGTGTCCTACAGGAGGCGAGTTGCTCTGGAAGAGTCTCAAGCTGGGAAGTGGGAAATCGCGTCTGAGCATCCGTCACGAAGGGAGGGAGCCCTCCAGGAGGTGCTGCAGGTGGGAGGCTGAGAGTGAAAGGTGGCCTGAGCTGTGTGGGACAAAGGATGCACCTCGGAGATGGACCCTAGCTCTGGTGTTGACGGGAGAGCGGATGAGGGAAGGAGAATCCTAAAGGGAACTCCCGAGACCCTGAATTGAACAATTCATCTCCTCTAGGGCCTGACCTCCCTTGACCGCCTACTTTCTTTCTTTCTTTTTTGAGACAGGGTCTCGCTCTATCGCTCAGGCTGGAGTGCAGTGGAACCATCTTGGCTCACTGCAGCCTTGACCTCCTGGGCTCAAGCAGTCCTCCTACCTCAGACTCCCAGGTAGCTGGGACTAGAGACGTGCACCACCATGCCTGGCTAAGTTTTCAATTTTTTCTAGAGACAGGTTCTTGTGATGTTTCCCAGGCTGGTCTCAAACTCCTGAGCTCAACTGATCCTCCTGCCTCGGCCTCCCAAAGTGCTGGGATTACAAGTGTGAGCCACCGCACTTGGCTGGTCCCTGCTTTAAATTGTCCATACCGCATGGACTGGCCCCCTCCCCTCCCTAGCTTTGGTTTTCTCCTGAGCCCTTATCACCATCTGACACACTCTCTAGGTGTATTGTCCATCTGCAGCACAGACAGAGGACACTCTGGGGCTGGGTGAACAGTGTCCACCTTCCTGCAGCAAAGCGTTGCCCCCAAGTCTCCTCTTGGGCAGCTGCTCAGGGTGAGGGGGTGTGTTGAAGCCTTGAGGGAGAGTGACCTCTGCAGCATCCCCTGCGCCTTTGCCCAACTGACCTCAGGAAGGGAGGGGATGGAGGTGGTGGAGGCCACAGCATGAATTCCCTGCACCCTGAGCCCTCAGGCTGCTGAGTGCGATGGCTTGTTGGCTACATGGCTTTGGGAGAGCTAGTTGCACATCCTGTGCCTCAGTTTCCTCACCTGCACATGGGAATCATCATACGGGCTGGTCATCACGTGGTTCTTACCCTGCAGCGCTCGCAGTAGCCCGCTTTAAAGATGGACGTGATGAATGAATGGATTAGTACACACTGGGGACAGAGGGAGTGCTGGATAAAGTTTTGCTGTGATGCCTCTGTTTTTTTACTTGCTGTGTTTCTCTGGGCAAGTGGCTCGGCGTCTCTGAGACCCAGCTGCTTCACCTGCAAAGTTGTGATAACGATGGTGCCTGTTTCCCAGGGAATTCGGGAGGTCTTGATGAGGTGGCTCATAGAAGACGCTTGGCATGAGGCCTGGCACCTTTTAAGTGCTCCATTAGAGCTCACTGTGATGATTATGAAGTGGCAGCGCTGGGACTGGCGCCCAGCCCGGGCGGGCTTACCCGCCTCGCTGCACCGACCTCCTCGGCAGCGACCTCACCTTCCATGGGAAGCTGTTTCCTTCTGGCAGCAGATGATGGGCAGAAAATTGAAAAACCTAGTCAAAGTAGCATATTCGTTTCCTAGAGCCCCCGCTCCTTCCCATCACCGTAATACAAGCCAGAGATAATATCCTCCCAAATAGGTTTACTGAAGTCAACCCATTACAAGTGCGGACATGCTTGGAGATAACAGAAGCCTGCGAGTTCTTAATATCCTGCCTGGCATGCGGGAGGAATAAATGAGCGGCGAGACCAGACAGCCCCGGCTGCAAATACGCTGCCACGTCCCTCGGCCATCCATCAGCCCGCGTGTCAGGTGGTGTCTTTGGCCCCGGGTTTGGGAAATATTGTCACCATAGGGATGGAGTCAAGTGCCTCCTTTCAAAAATAGATCTGCTTAACATTTATTAACTTAGACAACTGCACCAGAAAAACAATCAATTCCTTGAACTCTATAATCACGCACCTCACATGGCTCCCTTCCTTAGTGTCAGTTCTGGTGATAAAGGTGGTTTGGGTCCAATGGGGAGGTGAATGGCCTGGAAGCGGAGGTACGAGAGGGTGCGAGGCGAGGTGTCTGGCTGTGATGTTCCGCAGCGAGCTGAGACCCAATTACTTTTTGACCTACTAGTCTCCAGAGCCAGTCATTCATCACGCTAGCTGGGGCCAGGGGCCTCCTCAGTCCCTGCCCGGCGCCGGGCTGGGGCCAAGAGCATAGAGAAAGCAAAAAGTGGTCCTGCCCCCAAAGAAGCTGCCATTAATTGAGAAGAGACAGTGACAAGTATCTGGGATCACTCTTGGTGATCTCATCCTGTCCATGGCTGTAAATTCCACTCATGCTCTGATGAGTCCTGAATTTATGTTGGCAGCCAGGACCTCTGCCTTGAACCCCGAACACTGCCATCCAAAAATCCTCTCCATACCTTCACTGGGATGTCTAATGGGCATCCTCAACATGCCCCTGCCCCAGGCTGAGTCCCCAGTCCTCCCTGCGGCTGCTGTCCTGCAGCCAGCCCCATCTCCTGCAGCCAAAGTGGGGGTCCTCTTTGACTCCTCCCCTTCCCCAACACCCCACAGCCAACCTGTGAAGAAGGCCTGTGAGACCTGCCCTCTGAGACTAGCAGGTTCCAGCCACACCAAATGGCCTCCGTGGATGGCTGGGGCAGCTCCCACCTGGCCCCGTGCTTCCACGCGTGCTGTGCCTTCCCATTCATCTCGACCTAGCGGCTGGAGGAATCCAGCACAGGCATGAGCTGCACCAAGCCCTCCTCTGTCCACAGCCCGCCAAGGGCTCCTGGGTCACCCGGCCAAACATGAGTCCCTGCCAAAACCTCTGAAGCCCTGGCGCCCTCCAGTCCCTGTGCCTCCCTGAGCTCATTTCCTACCACTCGCCACCTCTCACTCCACCACAGCCACACGCACTTCCCATGTACTCTGCAAACACGCCGGCCACACTCTTGCCCCAGGGCCCTTGCGCTCGCTGGCGCCTGGGCGTTCTTCTTCGGGTCTGCTCCCTGGGCCTGAAACTGCACCTTCCCCTGAGCACATTCCTCTAATACTAGCTCGCTCGCCTTGTTTGAGGTCTGTCTCCACCGGCAGAAAGTGAGGCTGGGGTGGCTGAGGTCTGTGCGGTCATTGCCGAGTGCCCAGGGCCTTGCTGGGCACATGCTGAGCACTCAGGAAGTGCGTGCTGAATGAGTAAACGAGTGAATCACTGATCGAATGACACATAGCTCTCCCTGAGAGGGCTGCCCACCCTCCCTGCCACTTCAGAGACTTCCGCTGCGGCTCTTTCATGGAGGCGGCGTCCTCTCCCAGTGGACAAGCTGGAGCCTGCCCCTGCCTGGCTCTGCTCTTGTCATGGACGGTGTGGATACAGGCTCAACCCCCACCTGCCCCTGCCTGAGTCTGCAGGGACAGTGATATCTCTCGAGGTCACTTCATCTCTGAAAAGACCTTCCTCCTTCCCTCTCCATGGACGGAACATCTTCCTCCCTCCCTCTCCATGGCTGCAACATGTCAGCCTCTCCCCTATGTTTCCCTTCTGGAATATTCCATTCAATAATTCCTCTTCCAACCGCCTGTCCCTCTGGAAACCTCAATTCACAATTAAAATCTCCCACTCTCTTGACCACCCCTACCTGGCTCCTCCAGCATCGGTCCCTACCCCACGACCCAAGTGGAAACCTGGGGTTCCTGGTGCCTCCCCGGCCACCCCCTGCTCCCCTCTCCCCCAGCCCCCTTCTCTGCAGCTCCTGAGTCTCCACGCCCCGTCCACCCCTTCTGCGTACCCACCCCTCCCAAGCACTGGATGGTGAGGCGAGGACTAGGCCCTGCAGCTTGTGGGGCACAGCAGGCCCCCAAGAGAGGGTGAGACTGGGCAGGGCAGCGGACAGCCCTCATGCTGGAGTAAAGAGGTGCCACTTATGCATGCGACGAACCCCTTAAAGATGAGCCGCACAGCCTCGGGCCTCTCGGAAGCTTCCAGGCTGTATGCCCTGTGTTCTCTATTGATACAGTTCAGTTCGATCCACTTAACAAACATTTACCCAGGGCACACAGAGCGGGGGCGGCCCTTGGGAGGTGCCCTTCCGCCCACCCCTCGGAGCCGACTGCCTCTGCCCCTTCTCCCCTCCTTCTGTCTCATCCTCTTCCTCTGAGCCCTCTCCTTCTCTTCTCTCCTTCCTCTCCCTCCTCCCCATCTCTTTCTTCTCCTCCTCTGCCTCTTCTGGAGGCTCCTCCAGAGACCCCTTCCCCCCACCCGACTCTCAGGGTCTCACACTCTGCCTCAGCCCCGAGCTCCTGGCTGCCCGAGCCCGGCTGGCTCTGAAGGAGGGATGGGGCGGGGAAGCGGGCTTCCTTGGGTCCACTTTGCAGATGGCTGCGAAGATGGCCAAGGAAAGGGAGACCCAGGCAGGGGGAACTGCCTGGGCAAAGGCACACGGGTGGGAGGCAGGTGGCCTTCCCCGGGACCAGAACACACGGCGGTCAGAAGGCAGCAGCAACCATGCCTACACAGCAACAGCGGCTGCGGCCAGTGCTGCGTTACACTCGCGCCTTCTTGACGGAGCATGACTAGGGCTGCTCCTTGGTGGAGGGGCCAGGGACATCTGAGTGGGCTTGCAGAGATAAGCCTGCCATGGGGGCTAAGGACTGGGCCTGGTTTGGGACTGGCTGTAGGCGCTACTTCAGGGAGGATCCTGTCCACTCACCTTTGTGTCCCCCAGTTGGGCCTGGGTCGTGGAAACGCTAGCAGTGGTCAGCTCCAGCCTGTGCTTACTATGTGTCTGGCGTAGATCCAGCACATTTGCACGGATGTAAACTCCCAAGCCCTCCCAGGGTCCCTCAGAGGAAGGCACTGCTATTATTCCTATTTTACAGATAAGGGAATGAAGGCACAGAGAGGTTTAGTAGCCTGGCCAAGGACACACAGCACAGCAGGGATTCAAACTGTGGGAGTAGGTGACCTGCAAATGCTTGTGGCATTGACGAGTGAACAGACAAGCTGAAACTGTCACCACATGCCTCTGACAAGACGGAGGGTGACCACAGCCAGGCTCTGGGCCAGCTGTGCCAGGGCAGAGACAGATGGATTTCTTCTCCCAGCTTGTTCCTTGGCCTGGTGATGGGGAGAAGTGAATTCTCTTAGCTGACTCTGTTCATTCATTTGCTCATCTGCTGATTCATTCATTCATTCATTTATTCATCAAGTACTAATCAAACACTCAGGCCCTGGGGAATGAGGGGTGACAAAGACCCAGCTCCTGTCCTCCCTGGTGTAGCCGCCTGGCCAGCAGGAAGACACTTAGATGGGGCTCCACAAGAGGCAGCGTGGTGTGGTCAGAGAGTGGTCCCCGAGGGGCCTCCGGGGATGAGGAGCTTGCAGGCTGAGCTCATGCAAGGAAAACAGGCTGGGTATCCTCTGCTCTG
Organism: Homo sapiens; assembly: GCF_000001405.40. NCBI lineage: Eukaryota > Metazoa > Chordata > Mammalia > Primates > Hominidae > Homo > Homo sapiens. Next base: position 100,695,581 of record NC_000014.9, read on the forward strand.
TCTGGGAGGCTCAGTGCTCTCCCGCTCGCTTGGCGGGGCACCGACCTCCTGCCGCCCGGAGCCCTCCTGTCTCTGACTTTGTTTTCCTTCCTCTCATCTTTCTCGCCCACTTCTAATTTATCTGTCTGCGCCGGTGTCACTTCCTAAGCCCCCCTAAAGCCTGTGCAGAATGAACTGGGGATAAATAACATGAACGCCGCCAGCGACGGCATGTTGGGACGGCCAGATCCGCCCAGAAGGTGATCAGAAAAACTTCAAGGACTTAATTGTTCCGATTGCCTTGATTTTTCTATTCTAGCCAAGAGCCTCTAAGGCCAAAATGGTGTCCCTGTCTACACCTCCCCTCTTCCACCCCCTGATATTCTCTAAACCAAATTAAAAAAAAAATGTCTGTGTGGGTCAGGGAGGAGGGGTTCCTCTGAAATTGCTGAATGAGAGTATTCGGCCTTGAGAAAGTGGCCTCCAAGTCAACCGGCTTTGTAAGTCACTCTTCATTTAAGATAAAAAGTGAATTTGTTCATCTTATCCATATTTTGTCGTTTGTTCTAAGACATTTTTTTCCCCTCAACTCTCTCTGAACAAAAATAGCCATTTGACCATGAGTTAGAAAGCCGGGGGCCCTTCCGGCCCCTGCTAGCCGCCCCCGCTTACATCTGGAGAGCACAGCCACTTTCAGCACCCCTCCCTGTTTTCATCTGGGTTTCTCTAAAAGATGAGGGTTCTAAATGCTGTCGACAAAACCGATCACCTGCTCACCCTTCCTAATGGGGCTAAGCGCTCCGGGGTGAGGTGTCTCGGAGCACCGCACTGTGGCTGCTGACAGATTCAGCACGAGCCAGGCCAGGGAGAGGGTCTCATCTTTTATGGACCTATCTCGTCCATATTCTTTTACAAAAATCTCACTCTGTTGAAAATTCCTTTCCTAGTTATTTTATCATCAGATAAATATGTCTTCAAAATCACAGCCATAAACATGACATCCAAAGACCTAAAAAAAAAAAGAATCCAAATCTCCAGCCTCCCTGTTAATCCAACATAAAGGAGCCAACCGACGTCACCACCGAACTGGTTGGTGAGGAGTTGAATGGAGGTACTCTTAGCTCTGTTCTTCTCACTGACACATTCAGCCTTATCTGATACTGAAGGCTTGAGGCAAGTTCCCTGGCTGCACCATCTTCCCCCGAGATTGTGGGAAGGCAGCTGGTCTTTGATCTGCCCGTGTGATTGTGCACAGACTGTGCTTTCCACAGGACTGATCCGAGCCAGGCGCGCTCTCCACTCAGTAGCAAAACCCTCTGGTGCTGCTCCTTTGGAACACGCATGACCAGCATGTAAATATTGCTGCCAGGGGCTGGTTTCTTGCAGCGGCGGCTCAGAGTCTTCTTGTCTGGTTCAGTGGCCTGCCAAACCCTTGTGGAGCTGGAGAGTTTGGGTGTTGTGGTAATCATGGAGACAGGGAGAGTGTTGGACTTAGTGGACACTGGAAGGTAAACCGGGGAAGTTGTGGACTTCCTAAATCCAGTCTTGTCAGTGCCCCATGTTATTTGCATGTGTCTTGTGGACAGGGTGGGGTAATGCCTGCAGCACTACTCTTTTAAATGTAGTAACCTGGGCCATGCACAGTGGCTCACGACTGTAATCCCAGCACTTTGGGAGGTAGAGGCAGGCGGATGACTTGAGGTCAAGAGTTCGAGACCAGCCTGGCCAACATGGTGAAACCCTATCTCTATTAAAATACAAAAAGTAGCTGGGCATGGTGGTGGGCACCTGTAATCCGAGCTACTCAGGAGGCTGAGGCAGGAGAATTGCTTGAATCCAGGAGGCGGAGGTTGCTGTGAGCTGAGATGGTGCCACTGCACTCCAGCCTGGGTGACAGAGCAAGACTCCACCTCAAAATAATAATAATAATAATAATAATGTAGTAACCTACCTAATCCTCCCAGTAGCCCTATGAGAGGGTGTCTCCAATGGGTTCCCACAACAGACCCTTAGCCTGGGATTTGGGTGCAAGCTGATGATTGAGGAAGGGCTTCTGGGGCCCGCCAGGGACCGGGAGGAAACCAGGCAGGGCTGTCCCAGACACACCTGGGCTCAGGGGCATGGCTCACCTGGGGGATCCACACGCCTTAGACAGGGGCTGCGGGGGACTTAACTTCCCAGGGTCTTCAGCTCCTTCCTGGGTGGGCACAGTAGGGAGTGGCCTCTGAGGAATGCTGCAGGTGCTGCCTGTTGGGAGAACAGGTTGCTGGAGGGGTGGGGGAGGGTGGTAGGAGAGCCTTTGCCATCACCCCAGCACGGGTTACACAGCTCATCCAAGGTCACACAGCTGCTGGGGGGCAGGGCTGGGAGGGGGCGGGTAAGGCTGGAATTGAGGGGCTTCGTGGAAGCCAGGGGCTTTCATGGGGAACCCCAAGTCCTAAAGACACAGGATCAGAAGATGACAATATTGTTTTTCAGGAGCCATGTGAGCCGTACAGTACTGGGGAGAGGACCGAAGGCTGGGTCCCAGGTGAAGCCCTACCGGCTACTGGAGCACTGGGCACCAGGGGCTTCACCCCTCAATGCCCGGCCACATGCACATCATCCGATCCCAATAGCCCAGGAGCTCCTAGGCCTCAACCCTTAGAAAGGCAGCATTTCACAACCTCCCTCCCCACCATGAGTCTTCATGGGTGTGGCTCCGGCTCACCCCGCGGCTCTGGGCTGCCCACCGCATGGCCCCACGGCCCCTGGCAGTGTTTCTCTCTTCTCCTGGGCTGCAGAGGGCCAGGGTCTCCCAGAAAACCTTTTCCGTCCCTGCTAGTTAAATTTGTTTTTTTCAACAGCTTTTACAGAGATGGAGTTTATACATCATAAATATCACTCCTTTTAAGTATCTAATTCAATAGTGTTTAGTGAATTTGCAGAATTGTACAACCATTATCACAATCTAATTTTAGAACGTTTCCATCACCAAAAAGAAACCTTGCGCTCTGCTGATTTGTTTTTTTCATGTCTTCACTGCGGGGCCTCCCCTCCCCACTCTATGAACAGTAATGGATACCTGTGCACTGTGTCTCCTGCCAGGTTCTGATCCAGGGCTTTCTAAGCACGTATTCACTTACCATCCGGGCAGCCAGGTGGGGCAGGTCCTCCTATGATCCGAGGCCAAAAGTGTCGAAGTACCTGCTGTAGTGGGTGAATGGTGGCCCCAAAAAGCCACGTCCACCTCCTGATTCCCAGAATCTGTGGCTGTGACCTTATTTGGAAAGAGGGTTTTTGCAGATGAAATTAAGTGAAGGATCTCAAGCTGAGATCATCCCGGATTATCTGGGAGGGCCCTAAATACAGTGACAAGTGTGGAAATAAACAAGGGCCGCTCAAACGAGAGAAGCAGAGGCCATTTATCCAGAGCTTTCTGCAGACTGGGCTCAGCTACCACTACTTGTGTTGGGCAGAGACTCAAAGGTGGGAAGAGGAGCGGAGAAGCTTCGCAGGGAAAGCTGGAGCTGCTTTGGGTGTGCTCTGACCGGAGGCTGTTGGTGTGGGGGAGCCAGAGGTGCCTACCTAGCATCGGGGCATCACCTGGGATGGGCTAGGGTGCATATTTGGCTTTCTCTGGTTGGCCGTTAGTCAGAAGTGGGACAAAAATAGGAAGCTGTCAGTTAGGAGTCAAGTCCTGGCCATTTGGGGCCAATTGTCACAGAAGCCACGGTTTAGCTTCCTGCATTGTCACTAGAGATGGCTATCGGGCCTCCTGCAAGCCTGGCTCACTGCAGGCTGGCTTCCTCCACTGTTTATGGGGGATGTGGGGTCAGTTTCCTGGCAGGTTGTTGCAGGTGTGGGTCAGCGTTCTGTTTTCAGAACAGACCCCTGTGGGAGGGGCACTGAGCTTCCTGGTGGCCAGTGGGAAGAGGGGGTCATGGCAGAGTGAGATAGAAGCAGAGAGTGGGCTTGGGGTCTGTCTGGGAGCAGGCAAGAGCACTGTTGGGTAAGAACTACTTGAAAAGGGACAGCGGCCGGGCGCGGTGGCTCACGCCTGTAATCCCAGCACTTTGGGAGGCCGAGGAGGGTGGATCATGAGGTCAGGAGATCGAGACCATCCTGGCTACCAAGGTGAAACCCCGTCTCTACTAAAAATACAAAAAATTAGCCGGGCGCGGTGGCGGGTGCCTGTAGTCCCAGCTACTCGGGAGGCTGAGGCAGGAGAATGGCGTGAACCCGGGAAGCGGAGCTTGCAGTGAGCTGAGATTGCGCCACTGCAGTCCGCAGTCCGGCCTGGGCGACAGAGCGAGACTCCGTCTCAAAAAAAAAAAAAAAAAAAAAAGAAAAGGGACAGCAAACCTCAATGGTATGGCCACTGTCCCTTTGGATATTTAGTCCCTTGCAGGTGTCCTTTGACACACAGAGACGAGACGCAGGTTGTGTGGAGACAGAGGCAGGGGTTGGAAGGAGGCTGCCACAAGCCAACGAATACCTGGAGGACCAGAAGCTGCAAGAGGCCTGAGAGGACCCTCCCCTAGAGCCTCTGGAGAGAGCACGGCCCTGCCCACACCTGAGCTGTGGACTTGTGGCCTCCGGAACAATGAAAGAATAAATTTCTGTTGTTTTTAGCCACCAAGATGTGGAAATTTGTAATGGCAGCTGACAGAAGTTTGCCCAAGGTGACACCATTGGTGGATGGAAGGACTAGGATTGGAGCCCAGGCAAGGTTCTGGTAGGGAGTGGGAGCAGGGCTTGCCCATTCCACCACAGCAAGGCAGGTGGATGGGGGCTGCGGGAGGGCAAGAAGGGCTCTGTGGTTACCAGTTTGCAGCCCCAGGAGGATCCACGCTCCTAGTGAAAGCCAGGCCATGAGGCTCTGTGCTGGTTGGAAGTGGGAAAGCTCAGGTCTCATTCATTCATCCAATCATTCATTCATTCATTCCACCTTCACCCAGATCTGAAGATGGCCTTGGTGGCTTGTGACATAGTTCTGAGCAGTGCTCTGGACCAAGCTTGTTCTTCAGATCCATCCTTGGCCTCATGAGGGGCCGGGCAGGTCAATACCCTCTGCCTATACACCTGCAGGATCCCCTTGCAGGCTGTCAATCCCGAAGCCCCAGAACCGCGCAGATTTCCTTCTGTGTTAATACCTTAAAAATTGAAGAAAAATCCAGCTGTCACACAATGTCACTGTTGAAGGCCTTGATGTTATTCTTCCTTCACTCTGCTCCAGAATGGCTTTAAAGTGGCTTATCTAGTGACACCCACATAGCAAGTAGAGGGAGGCTGGGATGAGGGCAAACCGGGCAGGGGGAAGGGAGCTGGTGAGGCACACAGAGGCCAGCATGAAGCTGTGCAGACCCTGTGGGCAGGCCACAGGGAGGGGCACTGAGCTTCCTAGTGGCCAGCAGGAAGAGGGGGTCATGGTAGTGTGAGATAGAAGCAGAGCGTGGGCTAGGGCTCTGTCCGGGGCAGGTGAAAGCACTGTCGAGTAAGAACAACTTGAGAAGGGACAGCAAACACCAGGCTGAGCCCCTGTCTCTGCTGGGCTGGCCCTAGTCTGGCTGGGAGGTGGGAGGCATATGTTCTGATTTTGTTTTCTGGCATTTTCCCCTTTGAGAAGCTCTTGCTGTCTTGTTTGGGCACACAGTCCAGCCGACCACAGTACCCCACCTCATCCACAAGGTGGGACGTGACGTGGAGCTGGGGGTGGGGTGGATGGGTGGTGGTCAGAGTCCGTTTTGGGAATTCCTATGAGCTGGAACAGAGAGATGAGCTGCCGTGCACTGGGGGATTGTGAGCTATGGTGACAATGTGAGCGGGAAGGGGCTGTCCCATCTTTCATGACATCGTAGAGATGGTCATCTGCTTCAAGAAGGAATGAGGCCAGGGCCCAAGGGAGAGCAGGACTGAGCAGAAAGAAAAGGTGGTTAGGTGAAGAGGGAACCCTGATAAGATCCATCTGCTCCTGGATCCACCCATGCCTGACATCCTGATACTTTCCCCAGACCCTTCAGTTAAGTGAGTCCACAAAGTACTAACAGATTGCTTTAAACAAATTGCTTTTGCCAGGAACGTCTCAATCACGTAGGTATCTAATCTGAAAAGGACAGAGTGGGAAGGGCCTGGGGAGGAGGAAGACAGGAAGACTCGTTAGCTGGCTTTAAATCCTCTCCTCCATGCCTTTGGTGGCCTTTGGGCTGGGGGGAGGGGGCCCGACTGTACTCCCTGAAAGTGGGATTCAGTGCGCAGGGATAACAGGGCTGGCCTTGGCGGTCCTATGCAGGCCATTCGCTGTGGCTGGCACTGTGGAGGTGCATTTTGGGGAGGGGGTGTAATGAGGACAGACAGGTACTGAGCCACAGAGCTCACAGTCTACTGGGCAGGGGTCATCAGAGGCCCCCAAAAGAACATTGCGCACCTCTTGCCCCTGGAGTCCGGCCACAGGATGCCAGCTAGTGCAGGAATAAGACTTTTTCTTTCCCCCTTAGAAAGTATTTTGTTTCTTCACCAAGACACAGAGAAGGAGCTGCTCCTGGTATTTCTGAAGCACGAATGCTTTGCTTTTAGTCATCTGGGGTCCTTCTCCTGGGGCAGGGCTTCTGACCTTGGCCTTTGGGGCCGGAGGATTCTTTGTGGGGGCCTGTCCTGTGCATCGTGGGGTGTTCAGCAGCAACTCTGGTCTCTATCCACTGGGCTCCAGCGACCCTTTCTCAATTCCGATTGAAACAACCAGAAATGCCCCCAGGCATTGCTAAATGTCCCCTGGAGGGGGACAAAAATCACCTCGATTGAGCACCAGTTTCCTGGGAACATCTACCTTCATGCTTTGGACACAGGAAGATACAGCAGAAAAGGGTAAACAAAGAAGTTAATTCTTTCTTTTTTTTTGGTGATTTAAAAAATTGTAAACTTTATATAACATAAAATTGATGATTGTAACCATTTTATAGTGGCACTAAGTACACTGACATTGTTGTAAAACCACCATTATCTATTTCCAGAATGTTTTCATCATCCTAAACAGCAACTCTGTGCCCATTAAACAACAGCTCCCTCATCTCCCCTCTCTCCAGCCCCTGGCAACTACCACTTCTACTTTCTGTCTACGAGTTTGACTACTCTGGGAACCTCGTATACTCATACGGTATTTGTCCTTTTGTGTCTGGCTGATGTCACTGAGCATAAGATCTCCGAGGTTCATCCATTTGCAGCATGTGTCAGAATGTCCTTCCTTTTCCAGGCTGAGTAATACTTCACTGTGTGCACACACCACATTTTGTTAACCCATTCATCCATCGATGGACATTTGGGTGGTTTCCACCTTTTGGTTTTCATGAATTATGCTGCATTGAATGTCTACGTTGTGAAAGGTGTACAAGTATCCACTGGAGACCCTGCTTCCCGTTCTTCTGACTGCATACTCAGCAGCGGAATTGCTGGATCATATAGCAATTTGGTGTTTAACTTTTTGAGGAGCCTCCATACTGTTTAGAAGTTAATTCTTGATGGTTTAGTTTCAAAATAGGCTTGTGAGCTCCTGTGCTGAGGTGGAAGGAGTGCTATGGGTGGGTGAGGAGGGCACGGGTACCCTGGGTCTCTGAGATAACACCAAGAGCCTGTTGCCCCCAGCAGCTGCCTGCTGTGCTAGCCCAATGCCGGGAAGAGGAGTGTAGGGAGTGAGGACAGGGGACCAAGAGTCAGCTCTTGCCACCCCCAGGACGGTCCTTAGAGGAGCTGAGTTGTAGAAAAACAAAGTCATGTATCCGGCACCTGAGGCTCTGCTCGAGACTGGTCCTGTTTGCTGGGCCCCAGCACTCCTCACCATGGAGTGTGACCACGGTAGTTTTAGCCTGGAAATATCAGCAGGATGGGAGTGGCCCAGCACCTACACGGACCATAAAATTATTTCCATAAAGCAGCCACAGAACACCTCTCTGGGAACACCACGAGGGCCTGTGAGCCCTCCAAGATCAACACAGCCCCCCGCACCCGCCAAGGCCCCAAACAAGGAGGGCTGCTGTTGAGGCCAGACGGGGCAGCCGTTCGGAGCTGTGCGTGTCTACCTGGAACAAGGCCTGCAGTCTCAGCCTGTCCATCTGCAGCCTTGTCTCCTGGGGCTGGTCAGTAGCAGGACCAGGTGTCGGGGAGGGGTTGATAAAGGCCGTCTGTCTGTCTGTTTCGGCCCGTGTTGACCATGGCTGGACTTCAGTAGTGCCCGAATAAGGGATCTGGTCTCGAATACTCTTGAGTCTCCCTCAAGGGTGGGGCCTGCACAGTCTATGCTCCTTCCCAGAACCCTCCTTGCCTGCGTCTCTCGACAGCTGGGCACAGAAGGCAGTACGCTGCCCAGTTTATGGATGAGGAGTCTGGGCTTAGAGGCCAAGACTGAGGCAGCAGTACCCGTGATCTGAATCCTGGATCTCCAGACCCAGCCCAGCTCCCGGCCCTCCCCAGCTCGGTTCCTGAACTCGGGGAACCTGTTTGCTTACTTCTGGGTTGATTTCTATCAGTGTCACCACTGCACAAAGAGGACAGGGCAGACCAGGATGGAGGAACAGGCGACTAAGGCTGTGGAGGGGTGGATGCCAGCTCCTGAAGACCACAGGCCACCTGACCTCTTAGGCGGGTGGGTGTGTGGTGAGAATCGGCTGTCTTTCTCCTGGCAGCATGACTTGAAAGGGAGATGTCGATGCAGGAATAACTCCCCTGCAGCTGTGGGTTTTAGTCTGGGCTCCCCACTGGACTAGCCTGCGTACCCTTGGGCAAAGTCCTTAACCCCTCTGAGCCTTTTGCCTTTGGACAAATGGGGACGAGTCTATAAGGTGGAGTGGTTGTGAGATAAAATATGGTAATACAGGTACAGTCCACAGCACAGTGCCTGGCGCAAGGTTCAGGTGTGCAATAAATGTTCACTGCTGCTGGTGGAGGTGGCAGCCACTGTCAACATCGAGGGTGTGAGTCTGGTGCTGGGTTGACAAAGGGCGGAAAGGATTCTGTGTGGCTCACCAAGAGGAGAAGTAGGACCCTCAACAGTTTTCCAGAGCCAGACCTCACCAGAGAGAAGGGACAGGATGTGGAGTGGGCACTGTGAATCCCAGTGGGGGCCCTGACATTGCGGCTCCTGTCCCATGTGGGTGCCCCCTCCAGTCACCCTCTTCTGATGGCATCTGGTGGGTATTGAGCCACCTGAGCTGGTCCAAGGGACAATGGGAGCAGGAGTGGCGAGCACATGTCCACCCTGGAGCCCAGATGTGAGACAGGTGGAGGGCAGGTGGTGCCAACTAGAGGCAGAGCCAGTCTTGGTCCAAGTGAGTGAATCCAACCCACGTGAGCACTGACCCGGCTGAGGAGCTAAAAATTCCAAAGTGGACTGGAGATGCAGAGGGCTGGCTGGGTGTGGTGATGGAGGTACTTGGTCTGGATGGATTTCAGGGGTCCGGGCCAATGTCCGTGGCAGGGCTTTCCTCACCACAGGGTGAAGCCACACGGTTGGGTCGAGTCTGTTTAAAAAGGCGAGGTGGGGACCTCAGGGAGCTGGAGGTACATAACAGTTTCCTGCCAGTCCCTGGCTCTCAGATGCCCACACAGTTCCTGGCACCTATACCAGGGTAGGGAAGGAGGAGGTTTTGAAATAGCATTCGCAGGGCTGATTGGGGTGTGGCTACCCTGGCCTTCTGGAATGCCCCCAGCTACTACAGAGTCTCTGGGAAACAGACTCAGTGACAGAATCTCTTTCTTCTTATACAAAATGGACCAGCTTGGACAACAAAGAGAGACCCCATCTCTACAAAAAACGAAAACCTTAGTGGGCGTGGTGGTGCTTGCCTGTGGTCCCAGCTCCTCCAGAGCCTGAGGCTTGGGGGTCACTCAAGCCCAGGAAGTTGAGGCTGCAGTGAGCCTTCGTCATGCCACTGCACTCCAGCCTAGGTGACAGAGCGAGACTGTTTTAAAACAAAGCCAAACCAAACAAAATGGGGACCAAGAGAGGACCTGGCACATGGCGGGCACCCAGTCCGAGCCGGATCCCTCCCTCCTTCCTGGGAAGTGAGGACAACCCACTGCTATGCCCGCTAATAGAGGGTTACGGGCATCGACTAGTGCAGAGGCTTTATTAGCGGTCAAGTGCTATTAATAAATAAATCCCTAAATCATTTTATAAGCTACAAGTGCTTGAAGAAAAATAAAGCGGGAATGGGGATAGGGATACAGGGATGGGCTGGCGGGAGGGGAGGGCAGTAGAAGACCTCGCTGAGAAGGTGAATTTGACCAAGACCTGAAGGAGGTGAAGGAGTGAGCCCCGGGCCACTGGAGAGGACTGAGCAGGCTGTGCACCGGGCTCGGGGCTGCAGCAAGGGGGCCAGAGGACTGAGCAGGCTGTGCACCGGGCTCGGGGCTGCAGCAAGGGGGCCAGAGGACTGAGCAGGCTGTGCACTGGGCTCGGGGCTGCAGCAAGGGGGCCAGAGGACTGAGCAGGCTGTACACCGGGCTCGGGGCTGCAGCAAGGGGGCCAGAGGACTGAGCAGGCTGTGCACCGGGCTCGGGCCAGCAGCAAGGGGGCTAGAGGACTGAGCAGGCTGTGCACCGGGCTCGGGGCTGCAGCAAGGGGGCCAGTGTGGCTACTAGGGAGGCACCAGAGAGTGAGCGACGAGAGAAGGGGCGTCAGGCAACAGCCAGGGGCTCGGGGGCAAGATAAGGAAGAGGGAGGCTCCATGGCAAAGGCCCCATGGTGAGGCGTGAGGTGGCCTGGCTTGGAAAGGCTTGCCCTGCACAGGAGAAGCAGGGCGGCCAGCTGCGAGATGGTCGCCACGATCCAGGCTAGAGCAGCTGTGGGCCTCGAGGGTGGTGGCATGGAGAGACAAAGTGGTGGGATTCCAAACACGTTTTGAAGATAAAATCAGCAAGTCCTGCGGGAGAAGGAGAGTGCTCCGGAGGCCTCCAGGGTTTCTGGCCTGAGCCACGGATGCACTGAGGGGGATGCTCTCCTCCTGGGCCTGTGAAGGTGATGGGGCTTGGGGGAGCAGGGTGTGGAGACACAGTGTCAGTAGGGACCGGGGCCCAGGTGACCTCCAGCTTTGGGGGCAACAGCAGCTCTCACGGCTGCAGTCGGCGTGTCCCCCCACCTCCAAACCACGAGGCACTGTCAGGCTTGGGGAAGGAGAGCTGCTTCCGGGCCAGAAGTAAAAGAGGGCAGGGTCGACTTTCGGGCACACAGAGGGCGGCTGGGTCCCGGGGAGCACTTAAGAAATGTTGGCGAATGAAGCTTGAGACAGTTTCCTGTCTCCATAGATGCGTGTGTGCACACACTGATACACACACGGACACACACTCTCTCACACCCTCACACACTGACACACACTCACACCCTCACACACACGCACTCTCACACCCTCACACACTCACTGACACACACACCGACACACCTACACTCTCACACCCTCACACACTCACTGACACACACACTGACACACCTACACTCTCACACCCTCACACACTGACACACACATTCACACCCTCACACACACAATGACACACACCCTCATACAGTCAGTCACTGTCACACATAACCTCAGACACAGTCACTGACACACACACTCACACCCTCATGTACACACTCGCACAATGACATACACTCACACTCATACACACAGTCACTGACACACGCACACTCTCATACACACACTGACACACTGACACACTGACACACACCCTCATACACACTCACTGACACACACACACAGACACTGACTCTTATACACTCACATCTGGATCATAAATATACCCATATTCATGAGTTTATTGGCAACTTGTGTTTTTCTCTTTATACTTGTCTCTAAGTTTTCTAAAATAAATACATATTACTTATGTTTAACAAACAAAATCCCTTTTTTCTGTTGTAAGATTTCTATTATCTTAGAAACAGAGATTCTACTTTTAAAAAACTGTTGAAGGGCCAGGTGCAGTGGCTCACGCCTGTAGTCCCAGCACTTTGGGAGGCCGAGGCGGGCGGATCACAAGGTCAGGAGATCGAGACCATCCTGGCTAACACAGTGAAACCCAGTCTCTACTAAAAATACAAAAAATTAGCCAGGCGTGGTGGTGGGCGCCTGTAGTCCTAGCTACTCAGGAGGCTGAGGCAGGAGGATGGTATGAACCCGGGAGGCGGAGCTTGCAGTGAGCCGAGATTGTGCCGCTGCACTCTAGCATGGGCGACACAGCGAGACGCCGTCTCAAAAAAAAACTGTTGAAAAGCGATTAACCTGAAATAAGGGAAAATCGTTAGACAACAATGACACCATGACAGACCTGCTTCTCCTAATCAAAAGTAAAATTTTAAATCCTAAATATCCCAAGTAAAAGATTAGCAGCCAGCTGTGGTACCAACCACTCCACGAACTGTTATGCAGCCATTTATACTTTGTCTCTTCTGAATTTAGATAAACATAGGGAATGTCTCCTGTATAAGAACCAACAAGAAACAAGATCACAGAGACAGCATGATCTCTGGCATGTAAAACAAAACTGAAGGGAAATGAACAGAAAAAAGACTGGAAGGAAATACCTCCATGTCAATGTTTCCTATGCAGAGGAACGATGGATGATTTATTATTTGGATTTTTCAGCCTCCCCTACATTTTCTTTAAATAACATCTATTGTTTTCAGAAAGAAAAACAACTCCATTTACCTTTCATTTTTAAAAATTCTACCCGGCCTTAAAATCCCACTTGAAAGACCAGCAGCTTGGCGGGGTGTCTTCACCCCCTGCTCAGGGGCACCCCTTAGCCAGCAGGCGTTGCTCACCGCCCTCAAGGGGCTTTGGGTTCAGATGGGCAGCCAGGGGAAGCGAATGCGATACCACCCTGGGCTTCCTCTGACGGCCATGGACCTGCTGGGCATAGACAGGAGGTGGGAGGGGCAGAGTTGGCCTCACCTGGCCCTCCAGGTGAGGGCTGGCGTCAGTTACCGGCCAAGGCCTCTGGGTGGCTCCTGCTGCCCTTGGCTGGGACACCACCCCTCTCCTGCCCCACACCCTCCCTGCTCCTTCTCAAATGTCCGCCTTCCTGGCAGCTGAGGGCCAGCGAGCAACTGGGCCAGGAGGGCCTGGAAACGCCTCTTCTCCTCATTCTACTCAAGATGGCTCTGGGGACAGAAAAGGACCCCTCTGTGCCCCAAATGTTGGGAACAAGGGCAGTGCTGGTAATAGGCTCACATTTGCACAAGGCGGGTCAAAGTTCCGGGCCGTGTGTCACCTGGGGGCTGGGCCAAAGGGGGCGCATCTTGCTGTGACATGGTGAAGGTGGGCAGGGTAGACCCGACGCTGAGGTAGGGGAGCGGGGCAGCGGGCTCCTCCTTCCTCACGTCCTATACTGTGCGGCGGCCCCTGACTTGGCCCCCTCTCCCTGGCTCTGTACTCCCAAACGTCACGTTGCGCCCCTCCCGTGCGCCCTCCAGCCAGGGTGGCCCGGCCTTGGCCGTTATGACGCCAGGGGAGCCGTTTGGCCGGCTCGGCCTCGGGTGATGGGAAGTTTCACTGCCCGGCCCTGTGGCCTGCGTTCTGTCTAACGCAGCTGTCTGTGCAGCTCCCGGGAGGGGTGAGAACAGCCAGCCACCTGGCTGAACTTGCTGGGAACCGACGTCAGGAGCAGGAGCTAGGCTGCAGTGGGCCTCACGGGGGCCTGGACGGGGAGAGCGGCTCCGTGGGCTCTGGGGCCTTCCCTCTCCACGCAATTGCGATCCCAGTGATGGGTGGGACAGAGATCCCCGTTGTCCCTGTCACCGCTCCCGCCTCCACTTGCCGGGCCTGAGGACAATTGAGGGGCTCTGCGAGCCCTGGGCGCCCCCCCAGCCCAACCCTCCTCCCTGGGGCCCCGCCGGCCCCCAGGCCTCCCCTGGCCTGGCCTTCCTTGCTGAGGGGGCGGGCCAGCGGGAGGAAGTCATCCGCTGTATTGTCGTCTTAATGCCTGTGCGATGAGGTGTGAAATTCTATGTTCCCAAAATTTGTTATCAGCCTCGCTCCTGTCCTCCGGAGCGGGCTGTGCGGAGGCAGCCGGGAGAACAGTCGGCTCCGAGGACAAGAGTGATGGGAGCGCCCCGGCCCCGCGGAATCCATCATTCCGGAGGGAACCTTCGGCAGGCTTCATTAGGCTCGAAACGATCATGAATATCCTCCCCTCACCTGTTCTCATTAATAATGGCTCCCCTCTTATCTTTTTTTTGCCACACGTATCATTCTTTTAAGAAACATACACAACCCAGGGAGAAAGCCCGGCGCCTGCCCGGGAGCCCAGCCGCAGCCTCTGCGTCCCGCCCCTCCTCCCCAACGCGCGCCGGCAGGGGGCGCGGCGGGCTCGCCACGGAGAGCGGGAGCTGGGGCCGCGCAGGGCGGGAGTCCTGCCCCTGGGTGGGGGGGACATGGGGCTGGGACTGCGGGCCGGGTAGACCACCAGGTGGGGAAAGTCAAGCCTTCTGGAACCTTCCAGCCCCGCGAAGCCTCCCCGATCCCCTCTGGCTGTGCTTTCCCCTGAGACAAATGCTGGCCTTCTCTAACCGTTTGCCTGTTTCGGTTCGTTTTATAATTTATTTTATTTTATTTTAATTAATTAATTTATTTATTTTTGAGATGGAGTCTCTCTCTTTCACCCAGGTTGGAGTGCAGTGGTGCAATCTTAACTCACTGCAACCTCCGCCTCCCGGGTTCAAGCGATTCTCCTGCCTCAATATCCCAAGTAGCTGGGATTACAGGTGCCGGCCACCATGTGTGGATAATTTTTGGGTTTTTAGTAGAGACGGGGTTTCCTCATGTTGGCCAGGCTGGTCTCAAACTCCTGACCTCAGGGGATCCACCTGCCTCGGCCTCCCAAAGTGCTGGGATTACATGCGTGAACCGCTGCGCCCCCGCCAGTTTCTTTTTATGTTAAAAGTGGTTTCAATTATAAAATAGATGGCCCTCTCTTTTGAAGTGCAAAGCAGGTAGTCCTCCCGTTGGGGTTCCCCAGCCACTCCCAAAGCCCAGCGCCAGTCAGTTTCTCCTGTGATCCCCGGAAGCGTCTAGGCATGTGCAAACAGATCAATAGGAAAGGGGATCTTGTATATATTCTTTTTCACTTTACATACATGAGTTCGTTTTACACACACTGTTCTGCAACTCCTTTTTGTTAACCTCACGATGTAGGAGATATTCCAAGCGTAATTTTCCCTGTTTTATACAAGAGCCTAGGGGAGTGAGGCTTTGGGGAGCTTCTCCTCCTGGCTTCTCCTCATGGCTTTCTTCCTCCTGCCCCTCCTCCACGTCCCCAGCCCCCCATTTCTGCCTTCCTTGCTGCTCCACTTGGCCTAGCCATGACCTCTGTGTGGTCGTCACTGTCTTGTGTTCTTGCTTCTGTCGTGGCCGCCAGAGTGACCGCACTGCAGCTTTTTAAAGCTCTGACCTTGTCTTTCGTCTTCTCAGAGCCTGTCTGAGGCTCCCCAAAGACATTGCCCAGCGGCCTGGCATTCAGGACCCCAGCTGGGCAGCCCTGCCGACCTTCGGCCTCCTCAGGGACAGCTGCTCCCCTCACTCTGCCGGGCCTTGGACTCGTCTCCCAGAATAGCCAGGCACACTGGCGCCCTAACCTTCCCTGGCTCAAGCTTGTCCTACTGCCGGGAAGGCCTCCCCCTCCCCTGCATTTGGCAAACTCATGTGTACCCTTCAAGGCCCATCCCCAAGGTCACCTCCACTGGGAAGCCTTCCAAGGGCTCTCAGGCCCTGCCTGGTTCGCCTTAGCACTCCTGCAGCTCGGCTGGAAGGAGAGGCCCCCTGGGACCTGCCTGGGCTCTGTCCGGCTCTGGGCAGCTGTGCTTGGACCTGGGGCTTTTGGTCAGATGTGCTGTCCCGTCCTTCCTCCTGTGCCTGCTAGCTTCCACCGGGCACTTACTAGGGCCTGGTGGACCTAGGAAGCTGGTCCTATATAATTCCCATGCTACAGGCACCACTCCGAAGCTCAGAGAGGCGTAGGCAGTGTGCCCTGGGCCCACAGGCCATCTGTCCGTCTGCTCTTCCACATTAGCCTCCTTTCACTAAATCCCAGCTTCCTCCAGCAGCAAGAAGCCTGCTCGCTCCCCAGGGGCAGTACTGAAGGAAGGCATGCCTGCCTGAAATCTGTCCTCAAGGTCCCAGGCCGGCTGGGGCCCCAGGGAGAAGTCTCGGGTTTGGTAATCGTGTTCCGGCCTTGAGCTGCCGCTCTTCCTGTGAGCGTGCCAAGGGGCCTCTGCCTTCCTGAGGAGAAAGAGGTGGCCTGGACCTCTCGGTACCCAGACGGCCCTGGAGGACAGGCTTGTGTTTTGACAAGTGACAGGGCTGAGGAAGCTCCTTGGGTAGAGGGAACAATAGGAACTGAGGCCTCGAGGCCTAGAGGGGAGTGGGAAATTGGGAAGTGATCAGCCCCAGAGGCAGGAGGGCTCTGAGACTGAGAGAGCACATGGAGAGGGGACGGAGGTCCTCACTGCAGGACGCTTGGCTTGGGCAGACAGGGAGTGGGCATATGTGACCCAGGTGTTAGAACTGGGTTGTGGGAGGGGAGCAGGCACCAGGATCCAGGCCGCCTTTAGGTTTGTGATAATCACCTCCAGAGCCAGAGGGGGAAACCGAGGCCTGGGCGGGAGGGAGGTGCAGTGATGTCCCCAGCAGTGGGCCGGAGCATCTGGGTGTCCCACAGGCCTGCTCCCCGCTGGCCCATGGGTTCCCGGTGGGCTGTCCCCAGACTTCGTCCCCTGCCTCAGGGCCACAGAGGCAATGTGCCGGTAGGCAACAGCATCTGGGCCCTCCAGGGCCCTCGTGTCACTTGTTCCGCAGTCGTGGTCTCCAGACTTGCTAATTAGTTGGTAACTACACACCCCGAAAAATGTGCCTGTCTCGATGACACGGTCCGCCCTCCAGCACTCCCTGTTGCCTCTTTCCCGGCAAAGCTGGGGGAAGAAAAAACCAGCGGCCTCCCTTTTCTGGAGGAAGAGTCACCTGCAGGTGTTTTTACAAAGTCGGGGCCAGAGACCATAGGAATAAATGCCATGATTCATGTTTGCAAACCCCTCCTGCCAGCTTCTGTCTTGACAAGCCAGGAGGGCTGGGGAGGAGGCAGGCAGAGGTGGAACCTGGGAATGCCGCCAAGGGCTTGCTTCGAGGCAGTGTTCCCTATCACAGGTAGAACCGTGCAGGCCTCAGGACAATTGGGTGGAGGGGGAGGGGCTCCGGATAGCCACAGGTGGTCCAACTGGCCACTCATCGCCTGGCCACCCCCAAGTAGGTGGTCTGGGTCCCCAGGGCCACCCAGCAGGGAGGCACCTCCACCCTTGAGAGAGGCTTGATGACCTTAAAGGCCAGCGGGAACGTTCTTAATTCTTGTAATAACCACGACTGGGACAAATGGTGATAACCGAGGTGTCGCTGCTCTGCTCCCAGGCTCTCCTTCCAGCCCCAGCTCACCACGGCCATGCCAGAGCTCTGAGGGGGTTCTTCTCAGGGCAAGAGTCCTTAACCCCATCTTACAAATGTGCTCACCGCAGTCGGGAGAAGTTCAAGACACCCCTTCAATCAAAGGCACCAGCCAGGTGGCGTGGGCAGGACTGGGTACTGGGTTTCCCACCGCTGACTTGGACTGAGGCTTGGCATGGGGGTCGGTGGGACAGGGAGTAGGTATTTTTAGGGTTGGGGGATCTCTGAGGTCACATGTAAAGGATAATCATCTCCTCTGGTTTCTGGCAAAACCCAACCCTGTCCAAGGAGGTCTGCCCACCTCCCCTCCTGTGTGTGTGTGTGTGTGTGTGTGTGTGTGTGTGTGGAGTCTCTCTGATATTTATTAAGCATCTACTGCTTGCCCTGTGGAATACTCTGCAGCTCCTCCCCCACAGACTCCTGCTGAGGAGAGGAGCACTCATCCTCGGGAGCACCCAGCCGCCTCCAGGGACCCTCCCAGGGCAGAGGCAGGAGGAACAGTGCAGGTCCAGGAGGGGCTGGATGGAGCCTGGGGGGTTGCGGAGAAGTGAGGGCAGAAGGCAGGCCTGGGGCATGATTTTCTCACGACCTTCTCCCGGATGAGGAGCCGATGGAGAGGTTCATGCTGGGGCTCCGAAGGGGGACCAAGATCATGGAGTAAAGACAGCACTGATGGGGAGACGGAGGGAGATGCAGAGGGAGAGCCTGCTGACCCCTCCCAGGGCCCCGGATGAATGGCCGCAGTGCCCTCGGTACAGGAGCAGGAGAGAGAGAAAGTGGAGCTGGGCATGTGGAAGCAGGAGAGAGAGGACGGAGCAAGGGACAGGTGGAGATCCAGGCTGAGCAGCTGTCCCTGGGGGTGGGCAGGAAAGGACCCTGGCCTGCTCCCAGGCACCACAAGGAGCACAGTGCTGCACATCTGTGAGGGGGACTTCCTGGAGGAGGTGGCAGGGTCTGGGATGGGGCCAGGCTCCGGGGAGGTGCGTGTGGGGTCCCTGCTGCAGCTCCTCCATGCTGCATCATGGATTCCCTCGTTTCCAGGTCTGGATGCGTTGCTGCGCTTGGCTTGCAGCGTGGAGCCTGCTAGTGACCCCCGGGGGAAGGGCCCTCCCTCGGGATGGAGCCGGCTTCCCTCTGCAACCACAGAGTGGTGTTTTAATTAGTCAAGTCTTCAAATCATTGTTTACTGCTCTCCACTCATGAAGGGTTTATTAAAAGCTGGGCCAAGTTAAAAATACTGGCAACAGGGACATGCAGGCCATCGGAGCCGCCGAAACAGGCGCCCTGAACCACGAGGAAGCCGTGGTGGCTCCTCCCCAGGGAATCCCTGCCCACGTCCTGTCGGTGGCCCAGCTGGCAGACAACCCGTCAGCCATGTGGAGGGAGACAGGGTGGCCCCTTGCAGCTGTGCCAGCACTGCTCAGCCTGTGCCGAGCACCAGCGCGTGACCAGGTCTCACACCCCTGGGTATTGAAAAGGCCTGGCAGGGTGGAGGTGGGGCCCCTCCTCACTCCACTCCACCCCTCCAGGAGCTTCCAGTCCCTGGGAAGCGTGTGTGGTTAGCCACACCCAATCACCCAGCCACCAGCCTCAGAAGCCCTTGGGGCCTGACAGCAGCAAGGATCGTGGTGGACGGCTCTGCCTGGCAGGGGTGTTCAGGGAAGCCCTCCAGGAGGAGGTGGCACTCGGCATGGGGTGGGCTCGCCATTGGTGGACAGGGGAGATGGCATTTCAGGTGAGTCACAGAAAGGTCGCCTAGGCCTTGGAGGCAGGGAGGTGCCGTCCTTGTCCTTCATGCTACCGTTGTGAGGAGGGTGGTGGAGTCGGGGAGCCCTGTGGGAGGAGCCTTCGGTACCCTGCCTGGAAATGCGCCCTGCAGACCTGCTGTGCCCGGATCTCCAAGAAGACTCTAGAGTCAACAGGTCCATAGGGAAGGGTGGGCCACAGAGCCCACAGCCACCAGCTGCCACTGCCTTTCTCAGAAGGAGCCAGGGGGAGGGCTGCTGTGACTCTTGTGGGGGCCCTCAATGTTTGAACAGTGGCAAAAACTGAACTGCGACAAGCATTAGGGCTTCCAAAGATCAGCTATCATGCACAGCTCTGGGTAAGAGTCCTTTGCTGGGCCTCAGTTTACCCATATGTACAACAATGAGAGAGACAGCTTTCCTACAGCACCACTTCCATCCATCCATCATATACTGACTCAACAAACACTCCCTGGACCCTTACTGCATGGCTGGGGCACAGAGGGGAACCCGACATAAGCTGGGGCCTTCGGAGTCTTCCTTCCACCCTGCACAGCGCAGAGTGTCTCCCTGGCCACTAAGGGCAGAGCCTGATGAATTTGGGGTTCTGAGGAGTAAATAAAATCAATGTGAAATCACTTTGAAAGTTTAAAGGCACAATTAAGGCCTGTGCTCCTCCTGTGAGGACAGTGGTGTCGTCCTACGGCCTGGGCTGCTCAGAGCCTTTCTCTTTGCTGACGTGCAGGAAGGGGAAGCAGAGTCACAGAGCACCTGCTGTGTCCCAGACGGCTGCAGGCCACCTCACCCACACGGGCGCAGCTAACTCAATTTTATGCATACAGATTAGTGGAGGTGTCGGTTCAAATCCTCGTCTCCCTAGCAGACCAGGAACCACAGAGGATGGAGACTGTGTTCTCCTCATTCAATTAATCAATTATGCTCTCGCTCAGCATCTGCAGCCTCTCAGGCTGTAAACACCCTAGAGTTGCTCCTATATTTAAATGAAGACACACGCACATGCTCACACTCACACACTCACACTCATACACACTGTCACACACACTCATATACACAGACACACTCACCCATATACACACAATCATACACACACACACACACACACACTCTCTCTCTCTCTCTCTCTCACTTTTGCATCCTGAAGCCCTTTGCTAGTGAACGACCCCTCTCCCTGTTGCCTCCAACCCAGGCCCCCTGCTCACTCCCTGGCCTGTCACTCTGCCTGTGACTCCTCCTCCCACTTGCCCTGGGGACATCCCGCTAAGGCCCCAGTGACTAATCTCAATCTTTATCTTAACTGATGTCCCTGTGGGCATTTTGGACCCATGGCCACTCCCTCACTCTTTCTTTCTTGGAGTCTGGGATTCCTCTCTGTTTCTATAAAGACAAGAGTTTTCAGAGTGTTTATGGGCATTGAGGAAGGAGCCAGTGCAGTGACGGGCTGGAAATGCAGGACCAAGAGAGGACAATGGGGCAGTTGACCGAGAGGAGATCCCCCAACCTCTGCACCCACCTGTCTCTGGGCAGCTTCTTCTGTCTCCCTTGTGCATTCTTCTTCTGTTTGCTTTGTGCATTCTTCTTTCCCAGTCCCATTGCCGTTGCATTGCAGGGTTTCATTCCCTCAGTCTCTCGACTCACCATCTTCCTGGTCACCCTTCCATCACCACCATCGTGGTCTCACCCTAAATCATGGTCTTCTGACTGCAGACTGTCCCCCAGTCTTTCTCCCACCTGGTCCAGGGCTACCCCACCCACTAAGGCCATTACAGCAACAAGCCTATGTCTCTGCCCCATCCCAGCAGCCAGGTGTTGGGCACAGGTAAGAAGTCAGAGTCAAGGAAGATTAAGTGGGGAAACTGAGGCCCAGAGATGGGAAAGGCTTTGCCCAAAATTACCCAGGACTTTACCCAAATCCTGACATGGGGCCTATAGTGGTTCTTCTGCCCACTTTTAGCTCTTGCAGATGTCACCCCCCACTGAGTGTGGATCTCTGTTGTCTAGTGGCTGAGGTGCTACCCACCTTCATGGTCCAGTAAGGTTCCTCTCATCACAGGAGGCCGTGTGGCTGTGGCCACACCTGGCACTCAGCAGCCCTGGCTCCTGGCAGGCCTGCCTGAGGGAGGCCCTGGAGGAGAAAGGAGCCCCCACCCCAGACTGGCAGCCTCCTGGCTGAGCAGTTCACCAGCACAGCTAACTCTGGCTGCCCACCCAGTGTGAATGTCATTAAGCCAACCGTTGCCGAGGGGGGAGTTGGAACCTCTTCCACGGCCCGGCACTGCCTCAAACTGCCATACACACGAGAGCAGCGAGGGTCAGGAGCCTGAGGCCTGGGCTCAAATCCCAGCTCTGCCATGGAAAGGCTTCTCTAGCTTCAGTTTCCCCTACTGAGAAGGAGGCCACTGGATTCAGTGAAGCTCTGGGTTGCTCATGTGCTTTTCCTCGGGTCCCTTGCAGAACCACCCTCTGTCTTCCACCCCTGTCTGTGCATGGGGTGGCCTGCCTAGATGGTCTGTATCAGCTGGCTACAGCCAGGTGGGGCCACAGGATCCCCAACAGATCAGGGGAGGGAGGAGAGCAAGGTCAGGTTCCCTGCACAGAGACTGGGGGCTCCCCAACCAAAGGCCACACTCATCCACCCTCTCCACCTGACTCCCGCGGTTTCTGGTTCAGGTAATTCCACTCTTCTCTCTAGCTGCAGGCCTATGGGGTAACGGGGCCTGCTGTTACCCCTCCGGCTTCCTTACACCCTGCCCACATCTCTGTAAGTAGGCCCTTTATTCAACGTTCTTCAAATTAACCATCTTGTGTGCACCATCTGTTTCCTGCGGGGACCCTGTCTGAATCACATAGGCCTCACCGTTCCTGGTCTCCTTGTTAACTCAAGCTGTCAAGGGGGGAGAGGAGAGGCTGGGTGCAGCTCCCCAGGAGCGGTCCATGACGAACTGTGGAAACCATTCCTGCCCAGGGCAGCGGCAAGGCCTCGGGCAAGCCTAACGGGCTGCAGCTACAAGCCCCAGATCCAGACAACAGCTGGCCTGAGCACCCCTCTGCAGGTCTCCCAGCCCTTCCCCATCCTGCCAGTGTCACCAGCGTCCTTGTCAGGACCAGGAGCAGATACTGAACACATACGAAGCAACTAGGACCGGGCAGGAGTGTCCCGTCCAGGCTCTCAGCTCCCCTGCATAGCTCCTCCAGGCCAGGTGGTCGTCCCACAGGGAAAGAAGCCGAGAGTTTGAACCATTTCCCCAAACCCACCTGCCACCCACCTACTCCCCCCCTTCACCCGCCCTTACTCCTTCTCTTGCTACCCTGCCTTGCACAGAAAAAAATACTGAATATACTGAAAATACTTCTCTAGTGAGTAGAACTCCCCCCACCCAAAGAAACCATGGTGAAGACGTGCTAGCTGGGTTTCCACCGTGGCATGTGTGGATCACTGGGGACCTTGTTGCTGGCCACAGACAGCTAAGGCTGTTGCCCAGCACTCATGGAGAGAGGGAAGAATTAGGTAAAACACAATCAGAGATAATTGGCTCATCCGAGAGAGGCAGGAAAAAGCCACTGAAAGGGAGCAGGGTCTAAAGGCTGAGGGCAAATCTTTGCAAGGAAGAGCGTCTCCCCAGGCTTTAAGGGACCATTTCCCATCTCCATGTCCCTATCCCGGCCAAATGCTTCCTTATCGATTCCTTGATAGGACGGTGCAATTCAATCCCATGAATACTTAATGAGAACCTACTGTGCACCTAATTCTGAGCTTGGAGCCCAGGGAGAGCTGAAGTGAATTTGAGGAGGCACCCTTCCCTGCTCTTCCTTCCTCTCCCCTCCCCTTCCTTCCTTCTTTCCTGCCCCCTTTCTCTCTCTTTTCCTTCTGCGAAGGGTTTAAGTAGCAGGTTGCTCGGGATAGTGGTGCGTCTAGAAAACCTCCCTCTGACCCCTGGCCTGTAGCCGAGAGGATGGGGGTGACAGGCAGGCCCAGGGTTGATACAGCCATTAGGGAGAGAGGCTTGGACCAGGGTGGCGGTGAAAAGAATGGGGCTATGGAGATGGACTGGAGAGCGACTGGGGAGTGACAGTGCCTGGAGCTTGGGGCCCATTTGCACAGAGAAAGGGCAAAGCTATAGGAGCCAGGAGTCTAAGCCCTCACTCGCTGGGCCAACTGCAGGGTGGCGGAGGCCCTGGAGGAGGTTTGAGGGGGACAAATGGGAGATGCTCGTTTCAGAGAGACCTCCAGAGGGGACACCTGGGAGGCTGTGGGGCTCTAACCCCGGCCCCAGCTCTGGAGCGATGAAGGTAGAGAGAGCTGGACCTTAGTGTGCACATCTGCAGGCAGACTGGCAGACCAGCATCCGGTGCAGGGAGAAGGAAGGAAGGAGAAAATGAAGGTGGGGAGAGGACGTGACCAGCCCAGGAGACAGTCCTGCTGTTTCCCCAAATTCTCTGAAGCAGTGAAGTGACAGCCCCTGCTGGGCTCCAACTGGACCTCTATTCTTGTGACGCGGTTTCTTCTGTTTTCAGTCTGTGGGCTTTTTGGCCAGACCTTGGAGAGACCCATTTAAATGAAGGAATCTGAGGGTTCCTCAAAGGACATTTTATGGTCAACTTTTATAGTCCTCCCGCCTGGGCACCACTCCCCAACATTCTAGTCTTGCTCTGCCAATTCCTTGCTCTGTGACCCATGGAGAATTGCTCAGCCTCTCTGCGCTCCAGCATCCAGCTCTCTGGCTGAGAGGAGAGCCCCCACTGCTAGAGGGGGAGGAGAAACACACACACCTGGGCAGGGATCAAACTAAGGCTCATTACAAACAGAGCAAACTTGAATTTGGGTACTAAGCAACCCCGGGTGGGGTGAGGAGGTGAGGGGGTGAGGGGAATGGGGTTCCACTCACACTGGGCATCCCCTGCGCTCCGTCCCTAGCTGGATCCTGGCTGCAGACAGCCAGCTTGGGCCTCTGGAGGTGCAGTGTTGCCATAGGAACAGGCTCATGGAGAGCGTCTCAGAGGAACCAGGTGCTTGCGGGTGGTGGGCAGGGGCAGGTGGCAGCAGGGGGTGCTGGAGATGGTCCCGACACAGCTACTCCCCACATTCCTAGTGAAGGAACTGAGGGCTCTGGTGGGGAAAGAACCAGGTGGAGGCATCGCTGCAACCCTGAGGGCTCTCCTGTTTGCAAGTCCAAGGGGGTCAGTAACCCCCTGGAACCCAGAGATCAGAGGTGGCAAGAGGACGGGTGGTTGGGGAGGGCCACCAGGCCGTGGACAGTTGCTAGGACACAGGATCTTTCCGAGGGGCCCATGGTAACCTTCAGAGAACACTTTGTGCCTCATTCATTTATTCATTAATTCACTTAATCCATAAACACCTCGAGGGCAGCGCCGCAGGCCTCTGGCTGCGGGGTGCCTGGCTGAGCAAGAAGCATCTGGCCTTGCTGGGGTCAGACACACGTGCAAAATCCATTAACACCAGGCAGGAAGACGTGTTCAGGGCTGAGATGATGCCCAGGGTGGCTGGGAGGGCCAGGACCCTCGGTGGGCGGGTGAGTGGGTGGGAGCCAGGGGACTTGGCAGGCATGGGATTGGGGGAAAGGCCTTGGAGGAGGAGGTGAGACAGGAACAAACCTCTGTCCCTCTCACCTCCCACCTGTGCCTGCCCCCTCCTTGGGGACTGGGCAATGTCTTCCTTCGCAGGAAATCCCTAGCGCCTGGAACACAGTAGGATACCAAAATCTTTTTTTTAAAAAATATAATTGAATGAAAATGCTAATGCTTCCTTACAAATAAGAGAATAAATATAGTACGGGAACATCTTAAATTCCTCGAGAGCTGTGTGTTTTCACGTCCCTAAACTTGACAGAGCTGCCTGCGAACAGGTGTGGAGGGCTGTGCCGCGCCGCTCATCCTCCCTTTCACAGGCTCAGCGCGCAGTGAGGTTATGATTCCGCCACAGTGACCCCACAGACTCTTAAGCAGGGGCTGGGATGAGGGCTCTCCCCAGGGGATCCAGGCTTGAGAAAAGGATTTCTTCTGTGGCTAAAGGAAGTATCCTCTTTATACGTCATCACAGGGTGTGTTGCCTGTGCCTCTGAAGGTCTCCACGAGCTGGGCCCTACTGGGGAGGTAGGTGGTGGGGGCTGGTGCCTCACTGGATGGGAAGGGTCGGGTGGCCCAGCCTGATTCCCAAGACTTAGCATCAAGTCTGGGCATGACATGTGCGAAGGTTGACTCTGGTATGACAAAAGAGGGCTTCTTGTTCCGTGGACTGTTTGCCAGGGCAAAGGAGGCTGCAGAATGTTGGAGAATAGTTAAGAGATTTATGTCCGAAATGTTGAAAGTTTTGCAACATTCTGCCTCATTCTTCACCATGCTAACTTTGCCCTCACTAACAGAACAGCCAACACTTCCTCGCCATCTCATGTGCATGCATACACACACTCATGTCTCGTTCACACATCTGTGCCTGTACAGCTCTCTCTGCCTGGAAGGGCCTCCCCATACCCTCCTGGAGAACTTCTGTGTACTCTGCACACACAGCTGAGGACTAACCCTCTGAGAGATGCATGATCGCCCTTCCCATGTGTGGCCAGTCCCAGTATCCACAACCCTGCATCTCAGAGGGTGTCTAAGCACTGGGTCCGCACTTGAACTCTCTGAGATGAGAAACCACCTTCAAATCCATCATTGCACCCTCCTTCCAGGGACCCCGCCGAGCCTCGGCACCCAGTAGGAGCTCAGTCAATACCAGGCAGATGAAAGGCTACATTTAAAGAGGTGAGCCTCTGTTTTATGGAAAATTAACTTCTGGGAATTTTTGATGAATGAATTCCTGCATTTTTGGCCAAAGCCTGCGTGGACAAGCTGAGTGATGAAAAGGCCCCTTTTTCCTCCGGCCCCTGATTTCCTCCCTCCTGAGTGGGAGTGAGTCTATCTACAAGCTCTGGGGTGGGGTGGGGAGTTGTTATTAACCCCTCCAAGCCCCTGGGAGCACCCCACGCACAGCATGACTCAGTGGTGCTCTGTAAGAGGATCATGTGATTGATGATGTGGACAATTACATTGTGGACTTACATCCCTGTTGATTCCAATGGCAAGGAAGGAAACGAGAAGTCTGTTTTTAAATCCTATCAGCAATGACGAGAAACTGGTTCTGTCTGGGGGAGAGGTGAGACCCCACAGAAGCCAACTCTAAATATAGACCCAAACCAATGAGTCCCCTCTGCACCCCAGCTCTCTGGTATTTTTCCTTCCCAGAAGCTTGCTGTGGGGCCTGGGGGAGTGATACGCAGGCCTGTTTTGGGGACTCGGGGATACGGGCTGGCTCTGCGCCCCCACCCACAGCACCCTGCCGCCCTGGAGAACCCTGGAGTGGGCCTGGAACTGTCATACGCCTCTTCAGGCGCCAAGCACAAGGCCAGGCTCAGCATGTGTCCCTCTGCAGCCGTACTCCCAGCTCGGCTGAGCACGATGCCACTTCACACTGAAGACCTTTTCTCTGATTAAACTTGAAACCAAACCTTCATGTTCTGGAAAATGTATCAGGTTATGTCTTTCATTTCCCTCCACCCTCTGCCCCCAGGTCCCCTCTCCTCGGTAGAAGAAAAGAGAATTTGTCTCCAAAGATGAGCTTCAGGTTTGGAAAAATACTCCGAGAGGTGGCAGCTGCGTGTCTCCTTGGTGTTTGCATGAAACCCTCACAGCCTCCCAGGTTGTGAAGCTTCCCCCTCCCACCCAAGGAGGGGAGGGCAGGCTTCTGGGGGAGCCCACTTTCCTCCAGGCTCCATGCACTCTAACCACCCCGCTGGGCTGGGCAGAGAGCCTTGCACTGGGATTTTGAGTAGACCCGGGTTCAAATTCCAGCTCTGCCACTGGTTAGCCATGCACCTCTCTTGGGGTCCCCCAGCCTCAGTGTGCTCAGCCACTGCCCAGTGGACTCTGGGCAGTCCCCACCTAGCCCAGGCCGTGAGGAGGCTCTGATGAGACAGGGTTAAATTAGAGTCTAAATCCGAGGGAGAAGTGAGGGAGATGCAGAAAGGGCAATGCCTGCTTGCCTGTAAGCCCTCAACACAGGGATGGTGGCTTCTTGGCGGGGGAGCCTCCTGCCCAGCTGTCTCCTGGATGTTCCGGTTCTAGGACTCTAACTAGGCCACCTGAGTCTCTGGGCACTGGTCCTCGCCTTGGTCAGTCCCTTGGGGAGGAAGAGCAGGCAGATCTGGGGGAGCCCACCCTCCTTCTCTCTTGGAGGGAGGATGGAGAACGTTGGGTGTGGGGACAGGGGACAAAGGCATCTCTTGTCTGTAGGATGCCCACTAGGACTGGATCAGTGGGGGCTCAGATCCCCCCACCCCGGCAAAAAAAAAAAACAAAAAAAACCAAAAAAAAAACCTAGTCTAGGCAGAAGCAAAGCCTCAAGGCATGGAGATCCCCACCGAGGCTGTGGGGGTGGTGAGCAGAGCAGAATGTGAAGGTGGGGTGAAGCCCCCTCGCCGGCCACCCCTGCTCTTGCCCTCCCATCCCCGCTGGTGCCCGGGACTAGTAAGTCTCAGAGGCCCCTCTAGCTCCACCCAGCTGAGCTGCCCTGATCAGTGTTTCTGCCTTTAATCAGGGGCGAAGTGGTCTGGGGCTGGCTGGAGGAAGAGTTAGTGTTTAGAAAAGGAGGAGGGGGAGCAGACAGGAGGGGAGAGCAGAGGAGCGGGGAGGAAAAAGGGCTGGAGACAACACTTCTTTCCTTCCCTCGGAAAACTTTTGCTCATCACCAGCTCCTCTGCTGCCCCGGCAAAGCCCAGCAACACTGCCTCCGGACAGGTTCCCCTTGCTTTCGGCTCTTGCCTGCGGGGTGCGGGGCCATAGGCAGAGCCTTCGGCTTGGCTACAGGGAGGGAGTCCAGCTCATGCATCTCGATCTGGCCCCAGAGTTGGCAGGTCCAGTCCCTGCAACCTGTGTAGATCGCCTGCCACGCCATGCTATGAGGACCTGCGGGCTGCTGGCCTCATCTCTGTAATCCCGGGGGCCTGTACACGGAGCATGGCTCTCGAGAGAAGGGGAGGGGGGAGGAGGGGAGGGATGCGCAGATAGAGGAGGGGGCGTCCAGCTCCTCCAGCCTGCCGTTCCACAGCCCCCAGGATCTGCTTGCAAATGGCAGACTGTACCGCTTCTCCCCAAGGGACTACATTGGCATTTTCGCGCCTTCTGTGCAGACTTAAAGTCTGTGACAGTCACCAACCTCCCCTCCCTACCGCTCCTAAGCTACCCTTTCTCAGTGTCTGCTTGCTGAAAAGAAAGCTCCGGCCTCCTGAATTTACAAACGCTTTATTAAGATTAGAGCAAGCCAACAGAAATCTTCCTGGCTTGTAGGTCCTGTGAGACAAGAAAGTCCCCTCCCATCCCTCAAGTGTCCCTGCATGGGGCTCTTGAAGAGGGCCCGGGTCCAGTGGAGCCTGGGTGCCCGCCTTGGAGATCCTCTAGCTGGCGGGGGCAAGGGCTCTGGGGTGCAGCTGTTGGAGGAATGGCTGGAAGGGGTTGTGACCAGGCCCTGTCAGCACAGTGCTTTTCTGCTTACAAAAACCGGAGTTCCTTTCAGAGACAGGTGGGACATTCCTGTTTATGGGCTAAGAAACAGGGCTCACAGATGGAAGAGACTGGGCCCTTGGTGGGCACGAAATGGAGATAGGATTAGAGAGCAGGTGCCCCCCAAGCCAAGGCAGTGCCCTTTCAGCGTAAGCCTGTGACATTTTGACAGACTCCCTTGGGCGAGAATACCCTCCTCTGGCCTCCCTCCCTTTCCTAAACTGGGGAGGGCTGTGGTGGGGCTGGGGGCGGGGGTGGGAAGGGGGAAGAACCTGGATGGGGAAGGGAGGAGTCTAGGTATGTGTGTGGGTGGGGACACTGGGGCCCCCTAAGTGCTCCATGCAGTCCAGGGAGTCTCCTCTCTGCGGGACTTTGGCAAGAGCCTGGGAGGCCCTTGCCCCAGGGCTACCCAGCCCTGAGATCCTCCACCCCTCCTTGGCTTCTGGCTGAGAACTCAGCTCTTCCAGGTCTGCCTGCTGTTGGGATAATTTTGGAGGCTGAAGTCAGGGGCCTCGAAGGGAGGGAAGAGAGGAACCCTGGTCAGGAAGACCTTGGCGATCACCATGCAGTGGACATTGGCACCCAGGGTTGGGCCTGTCAGCCAGACACTCTCGTTCTAGGCCAAGGGCCTTGGGCAAAGGACCTTCCATCACTGAAGTTGGTTTCTTGACTTGAGGAAAGAGTCCACGGAAGAAAGTAGGGTCACAGGAATGCAAGGGCATGTGGCAGGCACACAGTGGGCACCCCAACTGCTCCCTACAGCCTGTCCCCAAAGCCGTTCCCAGCAGCCCCTACCTATCTGGGCATTCTGCAGATAACATCAGGGAAGGGATATCTTCCACCAGGGGCTGGGAGTTTCCCTCCAGCCTCCTTGGAGCCAGCCCAGAGCAGCTCTGGTCTCTGTCCATCCCTGTACCCATCCCGAGTGCCTTACTGGAGCACTGACTTAGGGGTGGTGGGCCTGGGGATGCCCATGGGCCTGCCTTCCCACATCTATGGCTAAGATGGGAAATCTGTGCTCAGACCTGCCAGGGCTGGACTAGAGGGCCAGGAGGTCAAAGCATCCAGCCTCCAGGTTCACAGTGGTGAGATCACACCCCCCTGCAGCACTGTGAAGAAGGGGAGGCCGCGAGCTGGGTGGGCACCCACTCCCTGCATCTAGGATATGTATGCAAATTAATATATGCAAATTAAGTATCCTAAACGACCCACCCAAAGATTGGGACGCCTGGGACCCTTCCCCCAGGAGGTGAAATATCTTTAATCCCCTCCTACCCCTCTCCCTCCCTATCTTTCTGAGCCTCCCCCATCCAGACTGGGTGCAGGGGTGCAGAGCTTTCCTCTCCAGCAGGGCTCTAAGCCTAAGCCGGGGGCAATGGGGAGGAGGGGTGTCTGAGGAGCACTCCCTCTCCCTGGGAGCTCTGCAGAGGAAGAGGGTCTCTGGCAATCAGCATCCTCTACCTCCACCTCTCCAGCGGGCGACCCCTCAGAGAAGGTCTCCCAGTGAGTCTGGAATACGTGCCGAGTGCCTGGAGTGCTATTGTGTGTATGTGAGAGCACATTGGTGAGGCTGCCCATGCATGCCACTGTGGACAAAGACAGATGCGATCGTGTGTGTGTGGGGACTGCGTATATGTTTTTGTCAGTGTGTGTGACCACGAGTCAGCTGGGTATGTGTGCTTGTGGGTATCAGGTGCATGGCTGTGCGTACATGTGTGCGTAAGAGTCGGTGCATTTGTGTTTCAGCGCGGCTAAGGCCCTGACTGAGATGCTGTGTGTGCGGGGGTGGGTGTGACTGAATGCGGGCACGGGTGTCCGTCTGTTTATACGTGTGTTTGCGTGTTTGGGTGTGCAGGTGGCTCTGCGTAAGCGTCTGTGTGCAGGGGGTCGGCACATGGGGGAGGATGCCCATGGTTGGGTAACCGCAGGTCCGCTTGACCCTCTGCCACCTAGGACTGTGTCTATACGGCGTCTGGGCTACAGTGTGTTTGAGTTGCCGTGTGCGTTTCCGTTGCGGGGTGTGGGTTGCCACGGGGCAACTGCATTTTTCTGCGTCTTCATGGCCAGGGGTACAGGGGGCGTCGGGCTTTTCCTGGGGGTTTTTCTGTGTGCGTGTGTAATTATGTGCTTAGTTCACATCTTCATAGTGCGCCTTTGTGTTTTCCTGGGTATCTAACCATTGCACGTGTGCCCGGGACTTCAGCGATAAGTGTTTCGGTGTTCCTGCGTGCGGATTTGTGCTCTCCGGGGAGGTCTGCGGCCCAGGTTCGATTCCTGCGACTTGTCCTAGGCAGGCCTGTATGTGCGCGGCGGCCGCGTGCTGTACAGTGTGAGGGAACGTGTACCAAACGCTCGCGGGATACCTGTGCCCGTCTAGCCAAGAGTGCACCCGTGTGCGCGAGCGGGCTTCTGGGACGCCGCCGTGGTCGGGGGCGGCCCTGCGAGGGGAGGGGGTCACAGGGACTGGCCGGCGCCGGCCCCGTGCGCACGGAGGCGGGGGCGGGGGGCGGGGGCCGCGAGGGGGGAGGCGGTACGAAAAGGGCGGCGCGCGCGGCGGCGGCGGCAGCTCCCCGGCAGCGGCGGTGGAGAGCGCAGCGCGCAGCCCGGTGCAGCCCTGGCTTTCCCCTCGCTGCGCGCCCGCGCCCCCTTTCGCGTCCGCAACCAGAAGCCCAGTGCGGCGCCAGGAGCCGGACCCGCGCCCGCACCGCTCCCGGGACCGCGACCCCGGCCGCCCAGAGATGACCGCGACCGAAGCCCTCCTGCGCGTCCTCTTGCTCCTGCTGGCTTTCGGCCACAGCACCTATGGTGAGTTCCCCGGCGGCCCGGCTCGCGCCCCCTCTGGGGAAGCCTGCGACTCCCCGCCGGCCGCCCGGTGCCCCGCACGCCCCGTCTCGTGAGCCCCAACTCCGCCCGTCCCGCCTAGCCCTAAGCCCCGCGCTGTGCCTGTCTCGCCCTACCCACCACGCTCGCATGCCAAGGCCCGTCCCAGGGGTCCCAGGGCGCAGGGGATGTGTGAGACCCCCAGCCCCTTCCCGCCCTGCAGAAGTGGCGCCAGAGGGGTGTCGGTGCGCTGAGCAAGGAGGTATGGAAAAATGGGGTGCTGTTGTGGAGTCTTCTATGAAAATACTCTGGGGTGCAACTTTGGGGTGTCCCTGTGTGAGCGTTCTGGAACAGGTCTCGGGGCGGGAGTGGGGGACGACTTTGCCGTCTTAGCCCCCAATTCCCAGAGAAGCCCAGCCTGAGCCCTTCCTGCGTGGCGCGTTTCTGTAGGTGAGGGGCTGCGACACTTCTGTCTGCAGCGGCCATCTGTCTCTGACAGCGAGAGAGTTGCCCCCTTCCTGCAGCGCCCCCCCACTCATTGCACCAGTGGTTGTAAGGGGGCTGTCTAGAAAGCTGGGGAGCTGGTTGAGTAAATGCACACAGTAGGTGCCTGTTAAAGTGTCAGAATCTCTAAGCAGTGTTGTTGCAACCTCAGCCCGCTAAGCAAAACCCTGTGT
Source organism: Homo sapiens (assembly GCF_000001405.40). Lineage (NCBI taxonomy): Eukaryota > Metazoa > Chordata > Mammalia > Primates > Hominidae > Homo > Homo sapiens. The sequence goes on from NC_000014.9 coordinate 100,727,828, forward strand.
CGTCATCGTTTTTTTAATGCGAAGAGTCTGGGGTAGGGGAAAGAGGGAAGATTTGACCTGGGTGCCCGGCTTAATAGGGATGAACCTTAAAAAGAATGCAGACGCCTTACTGGGGCGCCCACCAGGTGAACCTGTCTGGGCTTTCCCGGAGTTGAACACCTCAAAATCTGCTCCTCTTTTCAGCTCAGGTTGCAAAAGTGACGGTCAGGCTGCATGCCCAGGGCTCAACATATTTCCCTCCACGGTCCCCGTCCCCGCTGTTAGGAGGACTTGAGGTGTCGTATTTGCTTTTGGGAGTCCGAGGAGAAGGTGTTTCTCCTGCTCCTAAGAACGAGGGAGAGTGTACTGTGGTCATTTCATTGCTGGGAACGTGGCAGAGATGTTTTTCCTGAGTGCACTGAGCCCCATCCATGCTCGGATAGGAAGTGCCTACTGTGTGCCAGGCTGGTAGGACCCAAGAGGGCTGTTGGTGCCCTCGAGGGCAGTGGTGGGCTGTGTGGGCGAAGACAGCCTTTGCCTTGGCCTGGGGCCTGGTGGGGTGAATTGTATAACCTTTCTTGTACCTCAGGGGCTGAATGCTTCCCGGCCTGCAACCCCCAAAATGGATTCTGCGAGGATGACAATGTTTGCAGGTAATAGAGTGGCTCCTCAGAGGCAGCTTGTAGGGGCCACGCAGAAGCCTGGGGAGTCGTGAAGTCAGGCAGAAAAAAATAGGGGGCTTGGCCACTACGCTGCAGCAAACAGCTTCCGGGCCCCTGCAGAAAACTGGTGGGGCGAGCTGGGGAGATGGGGGGGGCGGGGGGGGGGCAGCCACAGCTCCTGTCTGCGTTCTCAGAGGTGGGGGGGCAGGTGGGACCACTGCAGGCCACTGCGGCAAAACGCAGCACTCCCCCGGGATCTCGGGGCCCCTCCAAGTCGGCCCCCTCAGCTTGGCATGTTTTCTCTTTAAGTTTTCCCATTCAGGTGGCTGGTGTTTACTTCCCAGGACCACCGGCTGCCACTGTGCAAAGACCCCCAAGGGTCCTTGGTTCCACAGAAAGTAGCCTGAGCTGCCTCTCTACCCCTGCCCTCTTCATATGTCCCCACCTTTCTCCCCCACCCATTGCAGGTGCCAGCCTGGCTGGCAGGGTCCCCTTTGTGACCAGTGCGTGACCTCTCCCGGCTGCCTTCACGGACTCTGTGGAGAACCCGGGCAGTGCATTTGCACCGACGGCTGGGACGGGGAGCTCTGTGATAGAGGTTGGCACTCGCCTTTGTTCACCTCAGCTCTGCGTCCTTACCTGCCTGCCCTAGCCCCTACCACCTCCTCCCAGTCTCCTGTTGCTGGTGTTCCTCACTTCCTCATTCCTGCACACTCCGTGCCCTGTATTCTAAAGATCTGTTTATAAATTTCCTGTGGGTACCGAATGCCTCCTCAGAGGTAGGGACTTTATTTTGCTCTTCTCTGCGCCATCAGCACCCAGCACCTAGAGGGAACATGGCGTGGGGGCCAGGGAGCTGCCTGTTGAATAAAGAGTCACAAAATACACATACAGCTGGGCCGGTGGGACCACAGACCCCAGGCTGCCTGTCCAGGTCATGGAAGCCCAGTGATGGACAGGGCTCTGGGGATCTCAGAGCTAAGACTCCCTAGAAAAGCACACGCAAGACTGTAAAGAGGCTGCAAACAAACAAACGGGGTGGGGGGTGGCCAGCACTGCTCAGTGGTTGAGGGGCAGGTGCTGAGTCAGGGCCAGGAGGACAGGGCTGGGGGGCCTGGACTGAGTGGGTCAGGTGTAGGGGGAGGCTGCAGTTGGGAAAAGCTGAGAAAGGGTTAAAGTGAAGATGGGTGTTATCTGTTGATTTCATTAATTTATGCAATCTTTGCCTCCATTACCCCAAGCAATTGAGAGTTGGCTGTCACTGCATTTTCAGGCTGCGAAATGTTCGTCTAAGCCCATTTTCATTTGGCAAAACCAGCCCTAACGTTTGAGCAAACTGAAGTCCACAAAAAAACTCCCAGCTGTGTAGCAGCCTGCCCTCAGGGCCCCTGTCCCTCAGTCCCCAACATTAGTAAAGACGGTACAGATAGGGAAACTGAGGATCAGAGAAGCACAAGTGTCTGCTAAGGAATATGAAAGAAGTTGGGCAAAAAGCCAGCTACAACCCTTTCCCCCAGCCCCAGAAAGAGAGTTAATTTTTATCTTCGATTGCATCTAACATCCTTCCTTAAGGAACACCTAAGAGCATTTTGTTGTGGCCCCTGCCCTGTACAGCCAGGGCAGCCGTGGTTCTGAAGCTGAGCTCCCTCCCACCCCAAATTGTCTCTGGTCCTTAATTCCAGCCCCTGCAATATGGTGCAAGGTTTACCCGCAGCTGACTCATGCTCTGGCCAGCATCTCTGCTGCCCCTCACAGAAGCAGCGGCAGCAGCTCTGAGTCGTTTGAGGATCTGGGGGATTCCAGCAAAGCCACCATTTGGGATCAGGGTTAGGCTTTTAGCTTGGAGCCCATCTTTTTGGTATCTAAATGCCGTACACCCTTGCTGAAATTTTCCGGACAAATGCCTCCCTTCTCATGGGCCCTTGGTATGTCCCCTCCCCACCAAGTTGACAAAGGCAGCCAGCTTGGGGATGGCCAGAGAGTCTGGGGTCCCAGAGAAGACATAGCCCTCCCTCTCCCTTTTTGCCCATCTTTGAGGCTGTCGTGGCCACAGCTGCTGTCCCAGCAGAGACCCCCAAGCAGCCTTTTCCTCAGAGCAGCTTAATTCACCCCTGTCTTGGGGTTGGAGGCTCAGGAGGGCTGATCCAGGATTGGCATAGCAGGGAGAGCTGCAGGGACAAGCTGGGGGTGGTCGCCAGCTTTTTAGCTTAAATTTAAGATTCTGAGTGACAGGAGAGTCGGGTGCAGAGAATAAGGAGCCTGACGCGGAGGCGCCACGTGCTAATGCCTTGCCGGTGCCGTCCCGTAAAGATAAATCCTCTTTATGTGTCCTTGCACCAAGCCGGGCTTCCATGGAACACCACGGGGTAGTCCATCAACACAACGTTCAGGCTCTTCCTCCTTGATTGATTGCAGTCTCCCCTCCACGAGGGTGTGGGTCTCTCTGAGAGGGGGAAAAAATACGCACATGTGTGGCCTCAGCACGGGGGATTTCCCCTCCCCCCACCCCCTCCAGCCTGCCTTAGCTTGCTGTGTCTCTCACTGGCCCTGGCTTTCTGTTTGGCAGGTACAGCAGCTCAAATTATAGAAAATCAAAGCTGAAGAGTCCCTCAGAGATTGGCCAGGGAAAGACCCTCTTTTTATAAGTAGGGAAACTGAGGCCCAGAATGGGTAGGAGCTGAACTCTGCTGCCACATGGCAGCAGGCCGGATACAGGGCAGGACAGGGGTCCCTTCCTGGCCCCACTGGGGAGCTGGGGTCTCCATCATCAGAGAGCCCCTGACTCAGGCCCTTGTGTTCAGCTCATCCCTGGCTTGCTGAACCTGAATAATGAAGTGTGCGTGATGGAAGGTGTTAAAAGATGGTGGGAATATACCAGTGCTCATGGAAACCTGTGCTGATAGGAGAGCGCTCAATAGTTCTAATTTCCCTGGCTTTAAAAGATGAAGCCTTTTTACCAGGGACCCCTTGAGTTCAGAGCCTGAGTGCAGAAAGAGAGACCACAGGGACACGTGGTAGTGCTGGGGTTAACAGGTTTCTTGATTCCTGACGGAGGGGGGTCGTTACATCTCCATCCCCCCCACTGCCCCTCTTTGATGGAAAAGTATGAAGAGCTGGTGGTTTTTCTGAGGGTTGGGCTGTATTCATCCCCCGGCTGGCCAGGACCCCTCCCCTAACAGGAGAGGGTGGAGATGCAGTCTTGTCTGGTGGAGACAGGCCTTAGGGAATCTCAGCTAGGCACGCTGTTGCAGGGAGGGGCATGATGTCCACAGTGAACGTCACGGACATGTCGCTGGATATGGGGTGACCTGGTGCCAGGCAAAGGGAACAGCTATCCTGGCCTGAATATCAGTGGCCACGACTTTCTGATCTGTGACCTTAGGCAAGGAAACCCCTTCAGCTTCCTGAGCCTCAGCTTACTCACTTCATGGGTTTTTTTGAGGGGGCTCCCTAAACCCTCTTACTCCAGACCCCACTCGGTGGCCATAGAGCCATTTTAAAGCCCACTGGGGCCCGCATCACGCTCGTGTATGGAGAGGAAGCTAAGTTCTCGTCTTCCCCGTCACCCCGCAGATGTTCGGGCCTGCTCCTCGGCCCCCTGTGCCAACAACAGGACCTGCGTGAGCCTGGACGATGGCCTCTATGAATGCTCCTGTGCCCCCGGGTACTCGGGAAAGGACTGCCAGAAAAAGGACGGGCCCTGTGTGATCAACGGGTAAATATCCTTCCTGTGTGTGATCTAATGAATGCTGCTTTTCATGCGGCCACCAAAGACCCTTTCAGCCTAACCCTGCTGGACCTGTCGTCTGACAAAAGATGAAGTAAGCGCTCATCCTGGCAGCCCCGTAGGGGACCGCCCTGGATGGGAGTATTCACGGGGGAATGTGTCATTGCCATAATTTTTTCAAATGATCCTGAAGGCGATTTCATATTCCCCTGATGTTCTCAAGTCCCGATGCGTGTGAGTGACAGTCGATCGGAATGATGAACTGACACTCGGAGCTGCGTAATTTTCTAAAGGCAACGTAGTAAAAGATTGGAGCTCCGCGGGGCTGAGGCTGTTTGTGAAACCCACTTGCTGTATCTCAGGGGGTGGTTTTGGGGAACTGGTGGGCTCTGCAATTGGATTTTCTGGGATGTCTGTGGAGGGAGTTGCCAGGCTGAGAGGTGAAGAGATTGGGCTTCTGCCAGCACGAGAGGAGGTGGGCCAGCTGTCGGCTATCCTCAGTGGGGAAGGGGGCTTTGGGACTCCTGGGCAGCGGACATAACAGACAGAGTGGCCACTGTCTTCACTTGGACCTCCCTGAACAATGCTTCCCAGCAGCTCAGCCTCTGCCCACCCATTATCTCTTTGGCGGCCCTGAGCCATCCCTCCCCGCTGGATGGGGCTTAGCCTGAAGCCAAGGGAGATCTTGACAGAGGCAGGGTCCGAATGTAAGAATCCAAACTTGAACCCAGTCCTGGGCCTGTAGTTGGGGGGCAGGGGTGTCCCTTTCCTCTGAAGAAACAGAAGCTAACATGCAAATAAGCTTATCTTGACCGGACATCGCAGGGTGGCACAGAGACCCCAGTAGTCTGTAAGAGCTGTAAACAGACATTAACGGGGCTTCCAAAGATCAGTCTTCAGACGGGGTCAGAGTGGGGGCTGGTGAAGACTGAACTCCATTTCTGCTTATTAGCAGGAAGGAGAAAAACAGAGCGAGACCTTTAAAATATTTTGCTTTTCTCGCGAATGGACTTAAACCAGTGTGTCAAAATAGAGCCTAAGGCCCTTGAAATTCCTTCAGAGCCCAGCTCCCATGCAGCCCACACCCTGAAGCAGCAGTGCTGATTTCTTGTGTTTACTGCCCCTTCTTCCCCGGAGTTTTGCCATTTATCGGATGACAAAGGGCTCGCTCGTTTAAAAGCACTTACATTAAATGCTCCTTGTACTCCACTTTGAGCAAACAGCTTTGGTTTGCAAGCTGCACTTGGGTGAATGGACCACTATTAAACAGCCTGGTACAGACGCTGGCTTGTGCCACCGTAGACAGACCTCGTATTGCTTTCTCTTTGAGAGTCCCCAAGCGCTTCCTGCACAATAGCCTGTGGATCCACACCGCTAATAATAATAATAATAATAATGAGGGTTGGCGGCAACAGTGGACATAGGCATGAAGGACGACAGCGGGTCCCGGGATAGAGTGAGGGGCGCCCCTTGCTTGGTTCTTCTGCCCCAGCAGTCCAGGGATGGAGCTAAGGGAAGGGGGCTTGCTCCAGTCCTGGGCTGTCACTGACTTTTCCTCTCCTAGCCTCAGTTTCCCCAGTTGGCTAGTGACTAACCGGTTGGAGACTAACCTCTGGTTGGAGAGGTGCAGTAAGAGGTGGGAGAGGACGTGGGCATCCTGGCATGGGAGGTCGGGTGTGTCCCAGGTTAGCATCGAGATGGGGGTGAGGTGGGCACCCACCCACCCACCCCCAGAGCTACTGGTGAGCTTCTCGCAGACAGGGGTCACGGCCCCGGGCACCTCTCTGTGCCTCCCTGGCTGGCGTTCCCTCCCTCGCTCCCTCATTCACCTGATGTGTTTTAAGCACCTGCCCCTTAGTCAGGCCAGGGACCTTCTGCCCTGAGCCCCGTGCCCTGCAGCGCTGTTGTAGCCTAGCCCCTGAGGCCGTTTACTATGTCCCTGTTGTGTTGCAGCTCCCCCTGCCAGCACGGAGGCACCTGCGTGGATGATGAGGGCCGGGCCTCCCATGCCTCCTGCCTGTGCCCCCCTGGCTTCTCAGGCAATTTCTGCGAGATCGTGGCCAACAGCTGCACCCCCAACCCATGCGAGAACGACGGCGTCTGCACTGACATTGGGGGCGACTTCCGCTGCCGGTGCCCAGCCGGCTTCATCGACAAGACCTGCAGCCGCCCGGTGACCAACTGCGCCAGCAGCCCGTGCCAGAACGGGGGCACCTGCCTGCAGCACACCCAGGTGAGCTACGAGTGTCTGTGCAAGCCCGAGTTCACAGGTCTCACCTGTGTCAAGAAGCGCGCGCTGAGCCCCCAGCAGGTCACCCGTCTGCCCAGCGGCTATGGGCTGGCCTACCGCCTGACCCCTGGGGTGCACGAGCTGCCGGTGCAGCAGCCGGAGCACCGCATCCTGAAGGTGTCCATGAAAGAGCTCAACAAGAAAACCCCTCTCCTCACCGAGGGCCAGGCCATCTGCTTCACCATCCTGGGCGTGCTCACCAGCCTGGTGGTGCTGGGCACTGTGGGTATCGTCTTCCTCAACAAGTGCGAGACCTGGGTGTCCAACCTGCGCTACAACCACATGCTGCGGAAGAAGAAGAACCTGCTGCTTCAGTACAACAGCGGGGAGGACCTGGCCGTCAACATCATCTTCCCCGAGAAGATCGACATGACCACCTTCAGCAAGGAGGCCGGCGACGAGGAGATCTAAGCAGCGTTCCCACAGCCCCCTCTAGATTCTTGGAGTTCCGCAGAGCTTACTATACGCGGTCTGTCCTAATCTTTGTGGTGTTCGCTATCTCTTGTGTCAAATCTGGTGAACGCTACGCTTACATATATTGTCTTTGTGCTGCTGTGTGACAAACGCAATGCAAAAACAATCCTCTTTCTCTCTCTTAATGCATGATACAGAATAATAATAAGAATTTCATCTTTAAATGAGTAAGAGAAATAAGTATGTTATTCTAAAATCTAAACTCAAATGAAATTTCAAAAAAGACCAAAAAAAAACAAGGCAACAGAACCAGGGCTCAGTGCCGACGCCCCTACCCTGGGGGTCTCGGCCACATGGTCCTCGTGAAACCGTTACGAGTGCTGTACATGACCACCCACTGTGCAAAGAGCTACGATTGCTTTCGTTCGTTAATTCTCACACACCACATCCGACTCGCACTCACATCCAGCTCAACATCGCTACCTTTAGATCTTTCCGATTGATTTGAGATTTAGCGGAGTGCAGCGGCTGTGTGTCAGTCAGAGAGAGCCCCAGGTTGGCTGCTGGGGGGCCGGGCCTCTGTGCCAGCCCTGCCACTAACTCGCTGTGTGATCCTTGGCGAGTCCCTATCCCAATCCTGGGCCCACTTTCTCGCCCCTCTCGAGGGAGGGGTTTGAACACCGACCACCATGGTCCTCTCTGGCTCTAAAACTCTGAATTAGGAACGAGGGGGTATGAACCAAAACACTTCCTGACCCCAACAATTGGGATCTGATGAAGACGAATTCTCATCCTGGGATCCGAAAGGTTTTGGCCTATCCTGGATGAACGCTTGATGTTGAAATTTATCCTAACTGTGTTTCTCAAAGTGGGGAGCCTCCTGGCCCACTTCCCTTTTGGGAAAAAATAGCCCCTTTGAGTCATAATGTGCCATCTGGAGTTGCCACTTAGGCAGCCAGCCCTCCCCCACCCCTCTTTGCCCACCCAGAACCCCAACACTATACCTGCCTCTACCCTATAGAGACATCCCTTGAGACTTGAATGTACTTTGAGCCGCAAGTGCCCCTGGCAGAATCTGAGCAGCAACACAGCCCTCACCAAGGTTTTCACAGGGATTAGTGGAAATTGTCACTTGTGGGGCGCTTACTAGTTTTGTGGCAAATGTGGTCCAAGACCTGGCCCACACAGCCATGGGTTTACATTTGTGTTGCTGAGTTAATAATCCTCAGATCTCAAAAGACCTAGCCAGCTTCTGAATTTTGAATTTGACTTTTTTTTTTTTTTTAACAAAGAGCATCTATCTTTTTTGCAAAAATAGAAAGAAATGGGACAGAGCTCTGTTTAGCTTTTCAGCTTTTGGGGTTGGACAGCTAAACAGCCCTTGGGTACCAGATAGGAATATTTTGCTTCTTAGATTATTTGGATAAGAATCTATACTCTTAGCTTTATTGAGCATTGCCTGCCGTGTTTACCTTGCTCCAGGTGTTTATTTCTAAGTCATCATCACCTTCGTCATCTACAGTCAGTCACATCAGTCACCCACACACAACTCACAGTCACCCATCCATTGGTCACCTGCGCCATCGTCATGACACAATATCGACCTCATCACCTCATCGTCCTCCAGCCACTACCCAAGCCCCCTCATCCTGACTCAAAGCCCGACCAGCATCTGCCCAAACTCCCAACACCCCACTCTCCCCACCAAGCCATTGGTCTCCTCACTCCCGGTCCTTTGTCATCCTGATTCCAAGCCCCGCCCCACCCTCACCGCCTCCTCCGCATCATCTGCACTCTGCAGAGCCCCTCCTACCCGCCTCTGTCCCCACCAGGCCCCTCCCTACCGTCAGCCCTGAGTCCCACAGCACGCGTCCCCAGCCCCTCCCAGCCTCACCCCAAAAACCCTGTCACCCCACCGACCACCATCATCACTGGCAAGCCCCTTCCCCTTCTCCAGCTCCCGTCCCCACTACCCCTCCCGTCCCCCAATCCTTCCCCTCCTGTTAGCCCACCCCTCCTTTCCTATCACCCCCACCTTTCCCTTCCCATTCTCCCCACCCTTCCCCTCCGATCCCACCACCCTTCCCTTCCGATCCCCGTCATCCTTCCCCTCTGATCCCCCACCCTTCCCCTCCTGTCCTCCCCAGCCCTCCCTTCCTATCACCCTCACCCTTCCCCTCCCGTTCTCCCCACCCTTCCCCTCCTGTCTCCACCAGCCCTCCCTTCCTATCACCCCCACCCTTCTCCTCCCTTCCCTCACCCCAAACCCCTGGGTCCTCCACCCCAATCTCTGACAACCGCCCCAAGTCCCTCTTCCTTCCCCACGAAGTCATTCATAAGTCACCATCTCATCTCATTTTGAGTTTGTTTTAAGAAATAAAAAAATTAAAAAGACAAAAAAAAGAATTGTTGGCATGTGTCAGGCGGGCGTCTGGTACCCTGCCTGGCCTCTCTCAGCGTGAGACCTGGACTGAGCCTGCTAACGATTCTGTTCCTCAGTTTCCCCAAATAGAAAATTCTAAGATTGGTCAGATGATCAAATTATCTATGTTTTCGATCTTGATGCTATAGAGAACAGCCATGTTCCCCTGATAACAAGAAAAAGACGTCCCACGGTCGAGGTATCCTTGACCAACTCCCCATCCATTCATTTGTTCACCGTCCACAACCCATCTGATCAGGAAGCATTTCCAGGCACCTGCGGAGCACTAGGCAGTGTGCGGAAGCTGCAGGGCAGGCAGGACGAGGGGGCAGTCTGGAGGGGGGTGGACACACAGCTGTCCCCAGGGAGCCCAGCGCGGTGCCGGTCACATGCCGTGGGAGTGGAGGGTCTTGAGCAGACGCCTCCCTTGGAGAAGAGCCACCATCTCACCTTCCCACGCAACAAATTATCTATTACCAGCACCCGATGAGGCCGTCCCTCCCAAATTCCACAGTGCCCACCACTCGCACTACCCCCCCCGTGCCACAGAAGCAGTGTCAGCAGCCTCGCCACGGTCTTCACGTCATGCAGAAATGGTCATTCCATGTTCTATGGCCACCAGATTCTGCTGAGAGTGTCGGGATCCTTGACTGCCCAGCCACACCTTGTGTGTGTCTGGTGTAGTGTGTAGTTTACGAAACAAACGGAAAAGCTCAAAGACAGCGATCCAAGACATGATCAGCAATTTGGTCCCAAATTAGGAGAGGAGGAAGAGGAGTATCAATTTTGTCACCAAAATGTTAAAAAAAATGTCCTTGGCGCTCTTTTTAGCTTTCCCGTTTACTACCAGTCCAGACATGCAAAAAAACCTTGTTTATTGAAAAATAAACAACAAGGGCTAGACTTGTGTCTGCGTCTTTGATTTTGCGTGTGCCAGGCTACACTGGTCCCCTCCCATAGGGGCCTCAGGCCCCGGGCAGGGTGGGCAGGGGTTCATGCTTTCCAGGGCCCTGCTTTGGCCTAACACCCAGCACCTCTCATGTGGCCAGGAGGCCGCAGGGCTAAGGGGTGAGCCCGCCCGGGCCTGTGCACACCCCTTCTAGACCACACTCTTGGAACCTGGGAGTCTCCTGTCCAGAGGGTCCTGAGAAGACCTCCAAGGCCCACATGGACCTTGTCCCTGTCTGTTTCCCAAGGTGGCTCATTGTGGGTGGCCTGGATGGAGCTGGGACATGAAGGTGACAGGTGCAGGGAGGGGGGTCCATGTGGGAGCATGAGAGTTACCGTGCTCAGGGCCAGTTCCCCCCATGCTCTGAGGTCCAGCAAAGAACTTGGGAGTCAAAGTCTCCCACGCTGGTGTGGGGCCTTCCGGGGCTTAGTGAAGGGGCAGTCGCCCAAGAGAGGGGCTAGGACACAGTCTATGTGCTACTTAGTGAGGGGGACTTGCAGCCTTTCAACACTTCCCATGGCAGGTGGACGGGCTTCCCTGGGCTCCTCAGGCAGGCCCTGCACATCCCTCCCAGGCCCAGCCCCGGCCACACGCAAGTGCGCTCAGCGCAGGATTCCAGTCCCAGAATGCCAGAGCCAGAGCGGCCAGCTGAACCCAGGACAGAGGAGCCCAGGTCTTATTCCTTGGCCCTGGTGGCCTGGGAGGCAGCCCTTGGTTTGGGTCCCCTCTCCCCTTCCGCAGGGCCCGTCCTTCCTCTCTCAGACTTTCCCTGGCCAGGCTGCTACCACCCCTTCCAGCTCTCCAACCTCAGGTCCTGGGATCCCCTGATACCCGCCTCCTCCCTTGGCCACCACAGCAGCCACGGTTCTGCCTCCTCCCCATCTCCTTCCACCCTCAGCCCTCACAGCTAGGGCTCAGGCCCACTCAGTCCCTCGGTGTCCCTCTGGTCTCCCCACCCAAGGTCCTCTCTGGCTCTAAAACCCTGAATTAGGAACCAGGAGGTATGACCCAAAACACTTCCTGACCCCAACAATTAGGACTGATGAAGACGAAGTGTCATCCCGGGATCCGAAAGGTTTGGCCTCTCCTGGATGAACACTGGACATTGAAATTCATCCTAACTGCATTTCTCAAAGTGGGGGGCTTCCTGGCCCACCTCCTGTTTCAGAAAAATCAGCCCATTTGAGTCATAATGTGCCATCTGGAGTTGCCACTTAGGCAGTCAGCCCCATAGCCCTCGATCTCACCCACCTACCCTCACCCACCCGGGGCCCCGACTCCACACCTGCCTGCTGCTCTCAATGCGGCAGAGCACACAAGACGGACAGGCAGGAGCTAAATGCCAGACACGGACGCTGTCCTGAAACCTCTAGGGAAATAACATGACCACACTGAAGGTTCCCAAGTTAATAAATGCAGAAACGTTGATGAAAGGGGCGAGTTTTCTAGGAAAATATTAATCCTCCAAATTCCTCAATGCAGCCAGCAGGAACAGAGTGATCCTCTGGGGGAAGACCCCATGGCAGGCAAGGCCGACCTGGTTTGGAGGCCACATTTGACCCTTCGAGGGAGGGGGAAGGCTCAGGCTAGAGGAACTGTTCCACAGAAGAGAAAAGGAAAAGATGAAGACTTTCCAATTCCATTTCCAGAGCTAGGAGAACCTCTAGGCTGAAACCTGACAAAGATCACAAAACTTGAAAAGAAAAGTCACTGTCCTCACCCCTGAACAGAGAAACAAAATTTCCAATGAAATAACAACACAGCAAAGCAGCCACATTTTTTGTTTGTTTGTTTGTGGGTTTTTTTTGTTTTGTTTTGTTTTGTTTGAGACAGAGTCTCACTTTGTCACCCAGGCTGCAGTGCAGTGGGGCGATATTGGCTCACTGCAAACTCCACCTCCCGGGTTCAAGCGATTCTTGTGCCTCAGCTGGGCGCCACGATGCCCAGCTAATTTTTGTATTTCCAGTAGAGATGGGGTTTTGCCATGTTGCCCAAGCTGGTCTCGAACTCCTGACCTCAGGTAATCCGCCTGCCTCAGCCTCCCAAAGTGCTGGGATTACAGATGGGAGCCACCATGTGTGGCCTGCAGCCAGGTTTTTGTTTTTTTTTTTTTTAATGTGTGATCATGTGTAGCATTTTCTAGAAAAGCAGGTTTAATTTAACATTAGGACATGCAGCAGTTGTGTTGAGCCTGGAGTGGTCGTAGAAGGAGGGGAGAATGATGGTCACCTAGAGTCCCTACTAGACAACCCTGGAGCCAGGCTTGGACCTGGGAGAGGAAACCCCGATTATAGGCCCAGTGGCCAAAAAGAGCCCAGGGGTGGGGATGGTCCAGAGGCAGAGGGCGGGCTTGGGGCCTGAGGGATTACTGCTGTGAGCAGCCTTTGCACAGTGCTCTGGGCTAGGGAGCAGCATCAGAAAAATCCCCAGTGAACTCCACGTAGAGGAAGAGGCCCCGTGCAGCACCTGGAGCAGGTGCATGGAAGGTTCCTGAAGGAGATCTGAGAAGGAGGGAGTAGGGAGGGGCTGTGGAGACTGGGGATAAGACAGAGAGGGGGCTCTGTGGGCAGCCTATGTGGTCAGGACCCAGTCCAGGACCCTGACACAGGCTAACAGCTGGGCAGCTTAAGGAAGGAGCTCAACTAACTGGGCCCCTGGGCCTGGAGGTGATAGGCTTTGGGTCTTAGGCCCTGTGGCTTTCTTTCTTCAGTGACTCTCTCCCACAGCTGAGAAAGAAGAAAGCCTTAGCTCTCCACGTCACCCAGCCAAGACCCTCACTCAGTGAATCCCACATATCCTGTTCACAGGAAGGAGAGGGCCCAGCCCCGACTCACAGCTGGGGAGGAGACATGAAGATCCCAGCTCACTCAGACTGGCCGGTGGCTCAGCTGCACCCGGAAGTGCGTCTGGCTGTGGTCACTGGGGCGCCATGGCCATGACAAAGATGCGAACACTGGAGTTGACCAAATTTCAACTTCAGCACAGGTCATAGGAAAAAATATATGATACCAATGCAATAGGTTCCAGAAGGAATCTGATAAAATCAAAATAAATCCCAGCAAACTAGGAAACAAGTACATATCTCCTTAATGTCAGAAAGAACATCTGTCTTAAACTAATGTTTACTATCCTATCAGTCAGTAAAACCGAAAGGCAAGTAAGGCCATGGGTTATACAGCAGTTAAGGGCACTGGCTTTACCTTTTGGCTCTGTCCCTTGGGCCCATAATATCTTCATGTTTGCTTCCTCACCTGCAAATGAGTAGTCATGGAGAGCAATGAGTATCACTGTTGCTCTAGGACTTCTAGCCCATGTAATAAGACAAGAAAAAGCAAAACATGGAAAGGAGACTAAATGATGATGATGATTGTCTACCAAAAACCTCAAGAGAATGACCTGAAGGAAAAATATGAGAAGTCAGTTAGTAGGACACATATGCTACCTATACAAAAACCTAAATATCAATAGCAACTCATTGCTAAAAAAATAAGGATTTGAGTAATTAAAATTTACTATTATAAAGTTGTCAATTATCCCCAACATTAATTTATAAAAGTTTAATGCTATCTATTTGCATTAGGTCCTTAGACAATAGAATTCTGAAGTTTATCTGAACAAATAAGATAAAGAGAACAAGCAAGGAAAAAAAGTAACCAAGGGGCAACTTGCACCATTGGATTTTAAAACAGAGAACTAAAAAAAAAATTGTGTGTCTCAGGACTGATACAGAGTTAATATTGGTTTTCTAGGAATGAGGGGATAAATGAAGGAATGCAAGAGTGATAGCTTTTGAAGTCATCTAGATCCTCTGCTTCAACTACTTATTTACAAATGTGGAAACTGAAACCAAAAGAATGACCAGCCTAAGCTTCCCAACTGAGGACATTTTTTCCCCCCAGGAGACATTTGGCAATGTCTGGAGACATTTTTCTTTTTTCTTTCTTTCTTTTTTTTTTGACATGGAGTCAAAAACTCCATGACACAGAGTCAGAGACTCGCTCTGTCACCCAGGCTGGAGTGTAGTGGCATGATCTCAGCTCACTGCAACCTCCACCTCCTGGGTTTGAGTGATTCTCCCGCCTCGGCCTTTCAAGTAGCTGGGATTACAGGCACACGCCATCATGCCCGGCTAATTTTTGTATTTTTTAGTAGAGATGGGGTTTCGCCATGTTGGCCAGGCTGGTCTTGAACTCCTGACCTCAAGTGATCTGCCCACCTCAGCCTCCCAGAGTGCTAGGATTACAGGCGTGAGCCACCACGCCCATCCTTGGAGACATTTTTCATTGTAAAAACTGGGTGGCATCCAAAGGATAGAGGCCGGGGATGCTGCTAACCAGCCTGCAAAGCACAGGACGTCTCTGCAACAAAGAATTATTTGGCCCCAAATGTCAGTAATGCCCAGGTTGCAAAACCCTGGTGTAAGGTGGGTGATAGGGCAGCAGTGGAGCCATTAAGAACAACCGTACACAACTGTGTCAGGCTCTGTGCCAAGTACTCCAAATGCATAATCTCAGGCAGTTCATTCAATAACCTACGGGGTGAATAATATCATCTTCTACTGTTACCGATGATGAAATTGAGGCTCAGAGAAGTGAAACGCATGTTCACGCTCACCTGGCTAGAGAGTGGTAGGGCTGAGCCCAGTGTCCAGACCTCTAGAAGGTACATGCCAATTTTCTCTCCACTACCTGACGCTGCCTTCTGATTTTTAAACATACCTTATTCCAAATTTTCTTAGAATTAGCAACCGTGCTTCACTGGGAGCTTCAGGGAAACAGACCATCTCAGGCCGCATCACTTCCGGCAGGTCACCAGTAAGAATCCCAGGAGAATGAGGTTGCATCCTTGGCCACTTCAGGGTGGAGCTTCTGTGAGTACTTCCTTTTCCATCCATCCACTCACTGTGGAGTAACCCACTCTACCCCGAATGCCCCCATCCCCTGCCTAGGGGAGTTAAGATGTCACTTTGCCAAGCTGAAGATAAGGATGGAATCAAGACCCTTTGCTGCAATTAATATCAATCATAACAATACCCAGTTTTGTTTTGTTTTTTTGAGATGAGATCTGGCTCTGTCACCCAGGCTGGAGTACAGTGGCTCCATCACAGCTCACTGCAACCTCCACTTTCCAGGCTCAGGTGATCCTCCTCACCTCAGTCTCCCCAGTAGCTGGGACTACAGGTGCATGCCACCACATGTGGCTAATTTTTGTATTTTTTGTAGAGACAGGGTTTCACTATGTTGTCCAAGCTGGTCTCAAACTCGCAGGCTCAAGCAATCCACCTGCCTTGGCCTCCCAAAGTGCTGGGATTACAACCACGAGCCACCGCACCTGGCCCCAGTATTTTTTTTAATGCCAAGGCACTGCAGTTAGCATTTTGTTTTTATTTTATTTTATTTATTTTTGAGACGGAGTCTCGTTCTGTCACCCAGGCTGGAGTGCAGTGGTGTGATCTTGGCTCACTGCAAGCTCCTCCTCCTGGGTCCACGCCGTTCTCCTGCCTCAGCCTCCCGAGAAGCTGGGACTACAGGCGCCCGCCACCATGCCCGGCTAACGTTTTGTATTTTCCGCAGAGAAGGGGTTTCACCGCGTTAGCCAGGATGGTCTCCATCTCCTGACCTCATGATCCGCCCGCCTCAGCCTCCCAAAGTGCTGGGATTACAGGCATGAGCCACTGTGTGCCGCCAGCACTTTATTTTTATCTTTTCAGACTTTTCAGGGATTATTAGGTACTGGCTCTGAATTAACACACTGATTTCTGAAGACCTAAAGCATCACTGTGGTCCAGCAGTCAGAAAAGGGGCTTTTGGAAGTCATCAGTGAAGTGAGCAATAGAGTTTTATTCCGATCTCTCTCACCATGGGCCTGGTGGGTCCCTAAACCCACCCTGTGGTTGTCTCCCCAGCTCTAGAATTCAAAATTAGGATAGACACACTCAACAGCTGGCAGAATCTTCACATTGACTCTTTAACCCATGGAGTGGGGGCTATTATGATAGGAAAGGCCAAATGGAAGAAGCTACTAGAACTGCTCGACCTATGAAAATAGTACACCGGAAGTAATACTGTATTCTTGGAGGGATGGCAGAGATTAGTGCCCTCATCAAGGAACCTGAAAAATGAAAGGGTGGTGATTCCTGTAATATCTTCATCCAACCCACCTATTTGGGCTGAGTAGAAAACAGATGGATCATAGAGAAATTAGAGTCAATTATTATACATTTAATCAGATGGCAATTCTAATTTGCAGCTGCTGTTCCAGATGTGGTTCCGTTGCTGGAGCAAATCAACACATCATCAGACACTGGGAAGGCAGCTGTTGAGTTGGTGGGTGTCTCTTTTTCTCTATACCTGTTAGTAAAGAGCAGCAAAATAAGTTTGCTTCCCAGTTGTATTGTTGGTAAGGCCAGCAGCTCATCATCACCATCCTACCTGAGGGGCAAACCATCTCTCCAACTCTATGGCATAATCTACTCCCCAGGAACTTTGATTGTCTTTCCTTTATGAGAGCATCACACTGCTTCATTTCTTTGAAGTTATTCTGCCGACTGGACCTGGTTAGCAGGACGCATTGGTAAGACACTTGCATGCCAGAGGGTGGGAAATAAATCTCACAAAAATTCGGGGACTTCCCAGCTTAGGGAAAATTCTAGGAGTCCAGTAGTTTTGGAGCATGTTGAAAGATTCTTTCCAAGGTGAAAGGAAAGTTGCTTCATCTGGTATCTCCTATCGGCATGAAAGAGACACAGCTTCCAGTGCAGCTCTCTGGATTTCGGAGGCGGCATATACATAGCCATGCATCGCAGGATGATGTCTCCATCAGCCACAGACTGTGCATATGAAGGTGGTCCCATAAGATTAGAATGGAGCTGAAACGTTCTCTTGCCTAGTGACATCATAGCTGTTGTAATGAGGTGGTGCTGTAATGCATTACTCGCATGTTTGTGTGATGTTTGTGTAAACAAACCTACTGCACCGTCAGTTCTATCAGTCTACCACATGCAGCTATGGACGGTACAAAATACTTGATAATGAGAATAAATAACTATGTTATGGGTTTATGCATTTACTCTATTATACTTCAATTTTTATTTATTTATTTTTCCCGAGACTGAGTCTTGCTCTGTCACCCAGGCTGGAGTATAGTGGCACGATTTTGGCTCACTGCAACCTCCACCTCCCAGGTTCAAGCGATTCTCCTGCTTCAGCCTCTCCAGTAGCTGGGATTACAGGTGACCGCCACTGTGCCCAGCTAATTTTTTGTGTTTTTAGTAAAGACGGGGTTTCATCATGTTGGCCAAGCTGGTCACAAACTCCTGACCTCATGATCCTCTCAACTTGGCCTCCCAAAGTGTTGGGATTACAGGCATGAGGCACCACACCCGGCTCTATTATACTTTTAACTGTTTAGAGTGTACTACTTTTACTTATAAAAAAACAAAGTGGGGCCAGGCACAGTGGCTCAATCCTGTAATCCCAGCACTTTGGGAGGCCAAGGTGGGCAGATCATGAGGTCAGGAGATCGAGACCAGCCTGGCTAACACGGTGAAACCCCGTCTCTACTAAAAATACAAAAAATTAGCTGGACATGGTGGCGTGCACCTGTAGTCCCAGCTACTTGGGAGGCTGAGGCAGGAGGATCGCTTGAACCCAGGAGGTGGAGGTTGCAGTGTGCCGAGATCACACCATTGCACTCAAGTCTGGGTGACACAGCGAGATTCCATCTCAAAAAAAAACACAAAACAACAACAAAACAAAAAACAAAAAACAAAAAACAAAGTGAACGGTGAAACATCCTCAGGCAGGTCCTTCAGGAGGCATCCAGAAGAAGGCATGGTTATCACAGGAGATGGCAGCTCCATGCTTTCCGCCCCTGAGGATCTTCCAGAGGGAAAAGCTGCGGAGGTGGAAGGCAGTGATACTGATGATCCCGACCGTGGGTAGTCCTAGGCTTATGTGTGTGTTTGGGTTTTAGTTTTTAAGAAAAAAGTTTAAAAAGTAAGAAAAAATTTAATAGAAAAAAGCTTATAGAATAAGGATATAAAGAAAGAAATATTTTTGTACAGCTATACAATGTTTGTGTTTCAAGCTAAGTGTTAGTACTAAAGAGTCAAGAAGTTAAAAGTGACTAAAATGTTTACAAAGTTAAAGAGTTACAGTAAGCTAAGGCTGATTTATTATTGAAGGAAAAAAGCATTTTAAAATAAATTTAGTGTGGCCTAAGTGCTCAGTGTGTATAAAGTCTACAGTAGTGTGCAGGAATGTCCTAGGCCTTCCCATTCACTCACCCAGAGCAACTTCCAGTGCTGCAAGCTCCACTTATGGTAAGTGCTCTAGACAGGTGGACCAGGTTTTATTTAATTTAATTTAATTTATTTATTTATTTATTTATTTATTTATTTATTTACTTACTTAATTAGAGACAGGGTCTTGCTCTGTTGTTGCCCAGGCTGGAATGCAGTGGCGTGATCTTGGCTCACTGCAACCTCCACCTCCCAGGTTCAAGTGATTCTCCTGTCTCAGCCTCCCGAGTAGCTGGGATTACAGGCATGTACCACCAGGCCTGGCTAATTTTTGTATTTTTAATAGAGGTGGGGTTTCGCCAAGTTGGCCAGGCTGGTCTCAAACTTCTGACGTCAGGTGATCCACCCGCCTCGGCCTCCCAAAGTGCTGGGATTACAGGCATAAGCCACCCCGCCTGGCCAGTTTTTATTTTTTTATACTGTATTTTTACTGTACCTTTTCTATGTTTAGATACACAGATACTTACATTTTGTTACAATTGCCTGTAGTGGTCAGTACAGTCACATGCAGTACAGGTCTGTAGCCTAGGAGCAATAGACCATACCACCTCGCTCCGGTGTGCAGTAGGCTGTACCATTTAAGTGTCTGTGAGTACACTCTATGATGTTTGCACAACAACGCAATTGCCTAATGATGCGTTTCTCAGAACATACCTCTTTGATTAAGTGAGGTATGACTGTGCTTGGGCGTGCTATTCTGACTCATTTACTGAGTGATGTGAAAATCTGCCAATTTTGAGAGAGACCCAGAACAAGAGAAGGCTGCACAGCAGATCCAGGCTGCCGTGCCAGTGGCTCTGCCTCTTGGGCCATATGAACCAGCAGATCCAGTGGTGTCTGCAGTGTCAGAGGCACTTCCCTGGGGAGTTGTTCCGAGCTTTTGGCACCCCCTCCCAGGTGAATCACAGCACAGACCATTCACATTTTGGAGTGAGGTGCTGCCCTCCTTTGTGGAGAACCACTCTCCGCTCGGGTGTCATTGAGAAACCACTTTTGACTTGCTCCTGGGCTTCCACAGAGATTGAACTCTTTTTTTTTTTTTTTTTTTTTAAGACAAAGTCTTGCTCTGTTTCCCAGGCTGGAGTGCGGTAGCGTGATCACAGCTCACTGCAACCAACTCCCCGGTTCAAGCAATTCTCCTACCTCAGCCTTCCAAGTAGCTGGGATTACAGGTTCCCAACACCACGCCTGGCTAATTTTTGTATTTTTAGTAGGGATGAGGTTTCACCATGTTGGCCAGGCTGGTCTTGAACTCCTGACCTCAGGTGATGTCCCCATCTTGGCCTCCCAAAGTGCTGGGATTACAGACATGAGCCAGTGCGTCCGGCTGAGAATGAGCTCTTGACCATGGGCAGCCAAGTTACTAGGTGACCCGAGACACTCACTGTGGACTAAGTACAGTCAGACCCACACAGCCAAAAGGTTGGTCGTGCACAGTGGTACTCCTGTGTCGCATGGAAACGAATGTATAGGCTCAGGCTGGAGCAAATGCTTTAGGCAAAAGCAAGTTGAGTGAGAAGCAACTCAAGGCCCTGCGTGGTGGCTCACTCCTGTAATCCCAGCACTTTGGGAGGCCAAGGTAGGTGGATCATCTGAGGTCAGGAGTACGAGACCAGCCTGGGCAACATGGTGAAACCCCAACTCTACTAAAAGAAGAATTAGCCGGGCGTGGTGGTGGGCGCCTGTAATCCCAGCTACTCAGGAGGCTGCGGCAGGAGAATCACTTGAACCTGGAAGGCAGAGGTTGCGGTGAGCTGAGATAGCACCACTGCACTCCAGCTTGGGTGACAGAGTGAGACTTTGTCTCAAAAAAGGGGGAAAAAAAAAAAGAAGAAGAAGTGACTCTGATACTCTGAAGCTTGCAGCCCCTATTCTCAGCTGTGCCACCTTCTCTCTATCAATCTGTATTGATGGCCTCAGGGGAGGTCCCCATGATCAGGTCACTGAGGAAGGCATTTCCATCCTGGTTTATAGATGGTTCTGTGTGACACACAGATACTACCCCAGCGCAGACAGCTGCAACAGGTGGCCCCGCTCTGAAATGGCCCTGAAGGCCTGTGGTGAGGGGACATCCTACCAATTCGCAGAATCTGGGTTGTTCATTTTGTTGGAAAAGAGAGCTGGCCAGAGATACGGGTCTGTATTGATTTGTGGGCTCTGGCTAATGGTTTGGCTAAGCGGTTAGAGAACTGGAATTGGAATACAATTGAGAAACCAGTGAGAAGAAGGTCTGAGGAAGTGGGTAAGTGGATAGACCTCTCCAAATCAGCATAGAGTGTGAAGATATTTGTGTCTCATGCGAAAGTTCAGTGAAAGTCATCAAAGGGTGATCTCAGCAGAGGAAGATTTTATTAACCAGGTGGATGGGATGACCTGTTTTGGGGATGGCAGTCTCCTCTCTGGCCTATGCTTGGGTTTGTCATATAGGCTCCTGAGCAAAGCAGGAAGGAGTGGAGGTTGCACACTCTCAGCCACGTCTGCTTCCATTGCACAAAGCCAATCATCTACAGCCACTGCTGAGAGCCCGATGGGCCACCAGCAGAGACCGGCACTGAATCCTGCCATGGTCCGCTTCCCAGGGACCGGCCAGCCACCTAGAGGCAGACGACTGCACTGGGCCACTTCATCATGGAAAGGGGTAGCACTTTGTTCTCGCTGGAATAGATATTGACTCTGGATGAAATTTGCCTTCCCTGCCCTCAATGCTTCTGCCAAAATGTACACACATGGGCCTACCAAGTCCTTTCGGCATTGACACAGCAATGACTACCTTGAGCTTGTCTCAGTCCATTTAGCATTCCCATGAGGACTATGAGAGACTGGATAATTTATAAAGCAAGAGATTTATTTGGCTCATAATTCTGCACACCATACAAGAAGCATGGTGCTGGCCAGGCACGGTGGCTCAAGCCTATAATCCCAACACTCTGGGAAGCTGAGGTGGGTGGATCACCTGAGGTCAGGAGTTCGAGATCAGCCTGGCCAACATGGCGAAACCCTCCCTTTACTAAAAATACAAAAATTAGCTGGACGTGGTGGCATGTGCCTGTAATCCCAGCTACTCAGGAGGCTGAGAGGCAGGAGAATCACTTGAACCCGGGGGGCGGAGGTTGCAGTGAGCCGAGATTGCACCACTGCACTCCAGCCTGGGAGACAGAGCAAGACTCCACCTCAAAAAAAATAAATAAATAAAAATAGAAGCATGGTGCTGGCACCTGCATCTGATGAGGGCCTCATGGTTCTTCCACTCCTGGTGGAAGGTGAGGAGGAGCCAGCATATGCAGAGATCACATAGCAGCAAGTAAGGCAGAAGGAAGGTGCCAGCCAGGTGTGGTGGCTCACGCCTATAATCCCAGCACTTTGGGAGGTCAAGGTGGGAGGTTCACTTGACCCCAGGACTTTAAGACCAGCCTGGGCAACATGGTGAAACTTCGTCTTTATAAAAAAAAAAAAAAAAAAAATTCAGCCAGGCATGGGAGCTGTGCCTGTGGTTCCTGCTACTTGGGAGGCTGAGGCAGGAGGATCGCCTGAGCTGGGGAGATTGAAGCAGCAGTGAGGTGAGCCGTGATCACGCCACTGCACCCCAGCCTGGGCAACAGAGCAAGACACTCTCTCAAAAGAATGAAAAATAAAATAAAAAATAAAAAAGAAGGAGGGTGCCAGGCTCTTTTCAACCGCCAGTTCCCGTGGAAACTAAGAGCCTGTTCATGAGGGATCTGCTCCTCTGAGCAAAACACCCCCCCACCAGGCCTCCACGGCTAACACCCAGGGCCAAATTTCAAGAAGAGACTTGATGGAGCCAAACAAACCCTATGCAAACTATAGCAAAGCTGGATGTTGAAACTGCCATCCGGTCACTTTGAGCTCCTCATACTGCTGAGTCAACAAGCGAAGAAGGGGGGTCACTGTACTGGCTGGGGTGATTGATCCTGATCAATCCCGATCAAGGAGAGATTGGATTGCCAATGCACCCATGAATTGCAGGAGACCCTTGGGTGTTTTCTATTCCTCCCCTGCCCTGTGATTAAAACCAATGAAAATCTTTACCAGCCCAATTCAGGCAGAACCTCCAATGGCCCAAAGTCTTCATGAATCAATGCTTGGGGCACTCTACAAAGCAAAAAACCATGAGTAGCTGGAATGCTCGCTAAAGCCAAAGGGAATATGAAATGGCCATTGGAAGGAGTTAGTTATCAATGCCTGTTAGGACGATGTAACCAGTGGCAGAAATGAGGACTGTAATAACCATGGGTCTTTCTTCCTTATTTTGAATATGTTTATATGTATGTGTATTTTTTGTTTTCTTTTCTTATCTCATCATCTAGCATAAGATGCGGAACCAGTAGTTAGCTTCGTATCTCAGTATCTAGGCTGCAGAATTTAAAACAGGCAGTGTGAGTGAGCTAGAAGAATCAACCTTGTCCAAAGGGGAAAAAAGGACTTTCTATCCTCTTCTGGGGAAAGGTTAGTGTATTTGTAGGTATAGGCAGGGCTGTTGTGTAATGTGTAGCTGTAAGATAGTTGTGTAATCCAGAAGGATGACTTTGTGAGTCTCATTCATACTTTGGAGAGGAGATGGGGCCTGGGTGTCAAGTTGACAAGAGGTGGACTTTGGTGTATGGGTAATGTATCAGCTTAGCGAGGCTGAGTTATGTTACCCAGAACTTCCTTTCCTGTGTATTTTTGGTGAGAGTGGGCCACAGTATTGACTCCGGGGAGACTGAGAAGGCAGGGTGAAGGAACAGCCGTTGTGTAACTCACCTATGAGGTTGCTGATATTCCGATCACCTCATTGACATGAGACTGGCTGGGCCCATGGCTGCACCACACCCCCGGATCCTCCTTCTGCTTCCCTGGCTCCTGGGCCAGGCATGTGTGTTTCGCTCTGCGATGAAAGCCCTGGGATCCTGTGGGCTACTCATACCAATTTTAGAGGCAAAAAGAATTGAGCCGGGTGTGCTTGTCCTTGTGGGGCCCGCTCTGCTATGGACCCCGGCTCGCTCTCGATCTGCCCACTTTACATTTCTCTTGCCTTCCCCACTGCCTTCTGTTCTCCGAGCTCCAGCCTCGGATGCAAAGACAACAGACTTACAGAGACTGCCTAGCCAGGCCCCACAGTTGTGTGAGGTCAACTCCCTGCAATGGATCCCTTTCTCTCCCTCTCTGTCTGAGTGGCTCGGCTCCGCTGATGGGGTCCTGGCTTGTACAGTTTCCAAGCCATGGCTCTCAACTACTATGTGACTCAAACCCACCATTGCAGTGGGTGTTGGAAGAGACCAGTGCGACAAGACACATGCGAAAGGGTTTTCACCTTCGTTCACTTAGGAAATGCGTCCCAGCCTCTTCTAGGAGCAGTGCCCAATGTGGGTACTGCGGACACATCAGACTCAGTCCCTCATTTGAAGTTGTTTCCAGCTTAGGCCTTGTAAATTCTATATAATTGTCAGAAGTTATTATAAAAATCCCAGAGGTGGCAGTTCTTCTGCAAGCAACATTTTTCATCATTGGTATACAATGATGAGACATTGGCATACAAAAAGATTTAATTACCTATTCATAAAACAGTTGCCCTCAATTTTAGCATCTGTCAATTAGACTTTTTTGTGTGTGCCACCCTTTTCTCCCTGTCTGCTGCCAGAAAAATAGAGGAGGAGGATTCATTCATGTTAATTGTTGGGCTTAATTATGGTTTTTTTTTTTTTTTTTTGAGAAAGGGCTTCATTCTGTTGTCCAGGCTAGAGCGCAGTGGCACGATCATAACTTACTGCAGCCTCAAACTTCTGGGCTCAAGTGATCTTGTCTCAGCCTCCTGAGTAGCTAGGACTACAGGTGTGTGCCGCCATACCTGGCTAATGTTTAAAATTTCTTTCTATTTTTTTTTTTTGTAGAGGCAGAGGTCTAATTATGTTGCCCGGGCTGGTCTCAAACTCCTGGCCTCAAGGGATCCTCTTGCCTCAACCTCCAAGTAGCTGGCACAACAAGTGTGTGCCACCACGCCTGACTAATTTTTACATTTTTTGTAGAGATGAGTTATCGCTGTGTTGCCTGGGCTTAATTATGCATGATTGAAACAAGAGAGTGAGATACCAATTGTTGCAGGTGGGGTTCCCCTGGAAGTATACACTGAGTGGAAATTTATGTACAAGAGATTTTTTGAGAAATGTTCTCCTGATCAACACCTCCCGAGGAGGGTGGGGGTGAAGGAACCAAGAAGGGCGGTGGGATGAGTTTAATTGCTCTGCAGTTGCGACAAAGTCTCAGACAATCCCCATGGAGCTTTAGACATCCTCTCAGAGTTGTCCCACATTGGGGTGGGGGTTGGGGAGGAGTCTTTGTATCTCCATATTGACCTATCTTTGGATATGGATTGCCACAGGAGAGGGCCTTTGACCGTGGGCAGTGAGGCTTTCTTCAGCCAAAGGCATGGCACCAGGGAGAGGTGGACCCAGCTGAGTGCTGTCAGCCACCAACCATTCCAGCAGCTGGGGAAATTAATGCTTCAGTCCCAAATAGCACAGGTTACAGTCCACACCTCATGCCACTTGACTCCCCTTATTTCATATGATAATTCCTGAGAGCGACTCCTCCTGGATTCTATGGGCCTCTTTTCCTGGGGACAAGTTGCGAGAGGAGCATTGCTGGGATGAACCGACTGCCCCGACCACAGCAGCTGATCTTTAGGCCGTGACTGATGCTCATTGTCTCCCACCTCCACCACCCATTCCAGGTTTTTCTCATCCCATTGTAGTACCTGTAATGATCTAGGCGGCTCATAGGGTTGAGTGACTCAGACCCTCATTTCTGAGGGGTCTGAAACCTTCGTCACCATGCACTGGCTTTGGTCATGACTGTGGCACTTGCCCACTTATGATCAAATTGGGCCAAACTGTGCCAAGAAATGCCCAGAAAATAACCTGGGTGCCAAATGTGTTCCTTCCTGGCTCCATAATGTAATAGAAACCCTATCTCTTTCTGATGATCAGGGTTGATTTCTCCTGCCAGAATGGTGACCCCTTTCCTTGCCTACTGGTCTCTTGATAGGAGGAGCCTGAAGTGACTGGCAGTAGTGGAGCTTAAAGTTAAATGGGGAGAAAGGTGGAAGGAGGACCACAGCAAATCCTGTCCCTATAAGAACAATGATAAAATTGGACAAAATTGCCAAAAACAACCATTTCGGAACTCTGGACATTAACCAAAGACAAATAACAAATGGAAAGACATTTATTTAATAAAAACAGCTGAGCCTTTGTTGACAGTGGCGGGGTCTGTGCCATTTCAACACAGGGCTGCTCCCACCCACCTCTCTCTGAACTCTGTGGTGTGGCAACCATAAACCCAGAAGTCTTGCTGCTGCTAGAGGGGGCTGATCTAATTTGGAGCTCCATAGAAAAGCACAATGTCCAGAAACACTGTCAAAACAGAGGCCATCTCTATAGCAGACAATCAAAGAAGGCCAATGTCACAGCTACCTAAGTCTGTGACACTGACTTGGGAAAGCAGCAACCAGCCAAAAATTTACAAGAAAGAGCTGGGAAATAAGACAACCATAGGGGCTTTGATAAACCTGACACATTTCTAAGAATCTGGAATGCTGTGCACTTGCCCAAGGTGTAGGAATGTGCAGGAGAGAGTGGAGAGGGCCCAGTTATCTGTTTGTTCCTGGCTGACCACGAGGCCCTGCACAAACAGCAAGTGAAGGTGGGCACACTTGTAAACTGCCTGCCCTCTGAGTGTGTGCCTCACCACACCAAAGGGCAGAAATCTTACTGGCTGAAGGTGTTTAAGCAAAACCTCTGACCAATCATTGGCTGCCTATTAAGGATGCTTACCCAGATTATGCTTAATCTATAGAAAAGGTTTAAAATGAAGGCAGGAATTAAGCAAACAAACAAATAAGATTTCCATGTTTGCACACTGGAGGGGAGACCGGCTCTAAATAATTTATCCAGGCAAGTCACTAAACACACAAATAAATGCAGCAATAGCCTCTAGGGGAGACAAATCAGAACTCAGATTTGTTATAATATTTATCCAAAGCTTCTAGTTTCCAAAAACATGGTGAAACATACAAATAAATAGAAAAATGTGGTCATACACAGAAAAGAAGCAGTGCATACAAGCTATCTCTGAGCAAGCTCAGATATTGGACTTGGTAGACAATGACTTAAAATAATTTACTATAAACATGTTCAAAGGTCTAAAGGAATCTATGTTTAAATAATTAAAGCAGCTGGGTGTGGTGGTACATGCCTGTAATCCTAGCTCCTCAGGAGGCTGAGGTGGGAGGATCACCTGAGGCCAGGAGTTTGAGACAAGGCTGGAGAACACAGCAAAACCCTATTTCAAAAAAAAAAACAAAAAACAGAAAACAAAGAAATAATGTAAAGTATGAGACAACAATGTCTAACCAACAGAGAAAGTCAACAAAAAGATACAAAGTATTAATGAGAACTATATAGAAACTTTGGAATTGAAAAGTATAATACCTGAAATGAAAATTTACTAGAGGTGCTCGACAGCAGGTTTGAGCTAGAGGAAGAAGGACTCAGCAAACTTGAAGACAAGCAATAGAAACCATTTAGTCTAAAGAACAGAAAGAAAAAAGAACAGAATAAAATGAACAGCACTTCTCAGAGACCTGTGGGACAACATCAAGTGAAAGGGGTAAAACCTTTTTTTTTCTTTTAAAGAATAGCTGAAAATGTCCCAAATTTGCTTAAAAATATTAGTATGTAAATACAATAAGCTTAACAAACTCCAAGTGGAATGTCTTAGTCTGTTTGGACTGCTTTAACAAAATTCCATCAACTAGGTGGCTTAGATACAACAGAAATTTATTTCTTACAGTTCCAGAGACTGGGAAGTCTAAGATCAAGGTGCCAGCAGATTCAGTGTCTTGTGAGGGCTGGCTTTCTGGTTCACAGATGGTGCCTTCTCACTGTGTCCTCACATGGCAGAAGGGGTGAAGAAGCTCTCTTGGGCCTATTTTATAAGGACACTGATCCCATTCACAAAGGCTCTGCCCTCATAGCTTAATCTACAAAAGGCCCACCTCCTACTACCATTGGGGTTAGGATTTCAGCATATGAATTTCAGCATATAAATTTTGTGACACAAACCTTCAGATCATAGCATAGAATAAACTCAAAGAAATCCACACCTAGACACACCATAGGCAAAGACTGTGACTATAACATATGTCATCAAAGACAAAGTCTTCAAGGGAACAACAGTAAAATGACTCATCATGTATAAGAGAACCACAATCAGATTACAGCTAATTTATCTTCAGAAACAATGGAAGCTGGAAGGCAGTAGGATATTCAAAGTGTTGAAAGAAGAAACCAATCAATCAAGAATTTATATCCATCAAAATTATCTTTCAAACCTGAAGGCAAAATAAGGACATCCCAAGATAAACAGACGGGAAGGATTCTTTGCTAGCAGACCTGCCTTACAAAAAATGCTAAAGGAAGTCCTTCAGGCTAAAGAAAATCACATCATACGATAACTTGAATCTCCATGAAGAAATAAAGAGCACTTGTGAAGGTAAATGTAAATGTTAGCATAAATATGTTTTTTTACTTGTTTATTCTCTTAATTGATGTAAAACATAACTGAATAAAGCAATAATTATAAAACTGTATTGTTAGGCTTGTAATATATCAAGATGCATTTTATAAGACAGTATTAGCACAAAGAAATGAGAAAAGAAGGAAGATATATTGGAGCAAAATTTCTATATCTTATTGGAATAAAGTTAGTTTTAATCCCATACAGATTATTTTAAATTAAAGTGCATATTGTAATGTTCAGAATAACTTTTAAGAAAATAAAATTTAAAATATAGTGAAAATAAGGCATTAAAATGGTACACTGTGAAATATCTATTTAACACAAAAGAATGCACTAACAGGAAGAGAGAAGCAAAAGACATCAGAAATATAGAAAACAAATAGCAAAATGTCAGATGTAAATTAAACCATATCAATAATTACACCAAATATAAACACTCAGATCCAAAGACAGATTGTCACATTGTACAAATAGCAAAATGTCAGATGTAAATTAAACCATATCAATAATTACATCAAATATAAGCACTCAAATCAAAAGATAGAGATTGTCAGATTGTACGAAAAACCAGAATCCAACTATATACTATTTACAAAAAAAAGACACTTTATTAGATTCAGAAAATAGGTTGAAAGTAAAAGAATAGAAAAAACATACCAAGAAAACAGTAACTATAAGAGAACTGGGGTGGCTATATATATGTATCTATATATAAATGTATATGTATTTTTTTGAGGTGGAGTCTCGCTCTGTCGCCCAGGCTGGAGTGCAGTGGTGTGATCTCGGCTCACTGCAACCTCCGCCTCCTGGGTTCAAGCGATTCTCCTGCCTCAGCCTCCTGAGGAGCTGGGATTACACATGTGCCACCACACCCGGCTAATTTTTGTATTTTCAGTAGAGACAGGGTTTCACCATGTTGATCAGGCTGGTCTTGAACTCCTGACCTCATGATCCATGAGTGGCTATATTAATATCAGGAAAATAGACCTTTAAGACAAAAAGAAGTTACCAAAAAAAAAAAAAAAAAAAAAAGGAGGAGACGTTTTGTAATGATGAAAGAGTCAGTCAAGAGGACACAAAAATCCTAAACCTTTATGTGCCTAATAAGAGTTTCAAAATACATGAAACAAAAACTGATATAAATACAAAGAGAAATAGATAACTTTCCACTTGTAGAAGATTTCAATACTCCTTTGCTATGGTCCAAAATTCATGTTAAAACTTAATTGCCTAGCCAGGTGCATTGGCTCACGCCTGTAATCCCAGCACTTTGGGAGGCCGAGGTGGGTGGATCACAAGGTCAGGAGATCGAGACCATCCTGGCTAACACGGTGAAACCCCGTCTCTACTAAAAATACAAAAAATTAGCAGGGTGCGGTGGTGGGCGCCTATAGTCCCAGCTACTCGGGAGGCTGAGGCAGGAGAATGGCGCGAACCCGGGAGGTGGAGCCTGCAGTGAGCCGAGATTTCGCCGCTGCACTCCAGCCTGGGCGACAGAGCGAGACTCCATCTCAAAAAAAAAAAAAACCAAAAAAAAAAAAACCCAAACTTAATTGCCAATGGGATATTAAGAGGTGGATCCTGTAGGCGGTGATTAAATCATGGGAGTGGAGCTGTTAGGAATGGGATTAGTGACCTTATGAAAAAGAGGCTGCCCCTTTGGCCATGTGAGGATCCTCCAGCCCACCGGAGAGGATGCCACCTATGGAACAGGCCCTTGACAGACACCAAATCTGTGGCTCCGTAATCTTGGACTTCCCAGCCTCCAAAACTGTGAGAAACAAATTTCTATTGTTTATAAATTACCCTGTCTAAGGTATTTTGTTAATAGGGCAGGTATACAGAAAATTAGTAAGGTTATAGAAGCCTTGAACCACCCTATCAATCAACTTCCCCAAACCAATCTCTATAGAACACTCCACTCAGCAGCAGCAGAACAGCCACTCTTTCCAAGGGTACATGATACATTCTCCAGGGTGGACCAAAGTCTAGGTCACAAAACATGTCTCAGCAAATTAAAAAAGATGAAATCATAAAAAGTATGTGCTTTAATCACAACGGAATTAAATGAGAAAACAACAACAGAAAGAAATTTAGGGAATCCAAAGTATTTTGAACTGAATGAGAACAAAAACATGACATGTCAACATTTCTTGATTCGGCTAATGGAGTGCTTAAAAGAGAATACACAGTCTATGTTAGGAAAGAAGGAGGATCTCAAATCAGCAGTCTAACCTTTCACCTTACCAATTTATGTAAGAAAGAACACACTAAATCCAAGGCAAGCAGAATGAAGGAAATAAAGATGAGAATGGAAAGCAAGTTTGTAGAAAAGGGATAGACCACAGAGAAAACCAAAGAAACCAAAAGTATGTTTTTTGGAAAAGATCAACAAAATTAAAAAAAAACCCTTTAGCTAACGTGATCAAGAAAAGCGGGAGACTGCTCAGATAACCAAAATCAGTAATGAAAGAGAGACATAACCTCTGACCCCATAGAATTCATAAAAAATTATAACAGAATACTGTGGACAACTTTACCCCAACAAATTAGGCAATTGAGTAAATGGATAAACTTCTAGCAAAACACAAATCCCCAAAATTCACTCTAGAAGAAGTAGAAAATCTGAATATACTTAGAACAAGCCAAAAAATTGATACTTTTAAAAGTCTGTCCACAAAGGAAAGCCTGAGCCTAGGGAGCCTCACTAATGAATTCTACCAAATGTTTAAAGAAGAAATAATGTCAGGTCAGGCGTGGTGGCTCACGCCTGTAATCCCAGCACTTTGGGAGGCCAAGGTGGGCAGATCACGAGGTCAGGAGTTTGAGACCAGCCTCACCAACATAGTGAAACCCCGTCTGTACTAAAAATACAAAAGTTAGCTGGGCATGGTGGTGCATGCCTGTAATCCCAGCTACTCAGGAGGATGAGGCAGGAGGATTCCTTGAACCCGCGAGGAGGAGCTTGCAGTGAGCCGAGATGGCGCCACTGCACTCCAGCCTGGGCAAAAGAGCGAGACTCTGTCTCAAAAAATGAAAAAAGAAGTTAAAAAAAAGAAGAATTAATGTCACTATTCCACAAACTCTTCCCAAAGATAGAGGACAAAGGGATATTTTTGTCCTTCTTTGAGGCTGGTATTACCCTGGTCCCAAAGCTAGACAAAGACATCACAAAAAAATAATATTACAGACCAATCCCCTCATGAATATAGAGGAAAAAAAACCCTCAATGAAATATCAAAGTGAATTCACCACTATAGAAACAGGATTACATATCATGACCAAATGGAATTTGTCTGAAAAATAAAAGGCTGGATTAACATCCAAAAATCAATTCATGTAATGCACTGTGTTAATACAATAAGGAGCAAAACCCACAAGACCATCTCAATAGACAGAGAAAAACTCATTTGACAAAATTCAGCGAGTATTCACAATTAAAAAAGAAAAAAAAAAAAACCCTCCCAGCAAACCTGGAATAGATGGGAACTTTATTAACCTGATAAAGAGAGGCTATAAAAATCCTATACCTAACGTCAGACTTAATGGTGACAGACTAAATGCTTTCTCCTTAACAGGAGTTGCAAGGCAAAGATTTTCACTCTTGCGCCTTCTATTTAATGTTGCACCGGAGGTTTTAGACAGTGCAGTCAGATGTAATAAATAAAGACATCCAGATTGGAAAGGAAACTGTCTTTATTTAGATGACATGATCTTGTATGGAGAAAATCCTAAGGAATTCACAAAAATACTATGACAATAAATAAAGAAACTCAGCAAGGACACAAGATCAATATACAAAAATCAACTGCATTTCTTTATATTAGCAATGAACAATTGCTAATCTGGAAATGAAATTGAGAAAGTGACTCCATTCAACAGCATCACAAAGAATAAAAGCCTTAGGAATAAATTTAATAAAAGAAGTGTAAGATTTGTACACTGAAAACTATAAAACATTGCCAAGGGAAATGAAAGAATATCTAAATAAATGGAGGCGTTTCATATTCATGAATTAGAAGAATCAATACTGTTAAGATGGCAATTCTCCCCAAATTGATCTGTAGAGTCAACACAATCCCTATCAAAATCCCAGAAGGCTTTTTCACAGAAATTGACAAGCTGATTTTAAAATTTATATGGAAATGAAAAGACCCAGAATAGCAAAAACAATTTTAAAAAAACAAAACAAAACAAGAGGGCTTTCATTTCCCACTTCCAAAATGCATTTTACAGCTTTGGTAACGGAGGCAGCGTTACCTGGTGTAAGAGTGGGCATGCTGCGTAGATAAATGAAACAAAGCTGAGAGTCCAGTGAGAAGCTGTTACATTTACGGTCAATTGAGTTTTGATAAAGGTGTCAATGTCTTTCAATGGGAAAGGCTAGGTTTTTAACAAATGGTGCTGGGACAGCTGACTATCCACATGCAGAAAGGCAAACTTCATACCATTCACAAAAGAAATCGCCCAAAACGACTGTAGGCCTAAATATAAGTGCTTACACTATAAAACTTTCCTTTTAATTTTAATGTTTTTGAGACAGGGTGTCACTCTGTCACCCAAGCTGGAGCACAGTGGCATGAACACGGCTCACTGCAGCCTCAACATCCTGGACTGAAGTGATCCTCCCACCTCAGCCTCCTGAGTAGCTGGGACCACAGGTATGTGCCACTATGCCCAGCTAATTTTTTAATTTTTTTTTTTTTTTTAGGTGGAGTTTCGCTCTTGTTGCCCAGGCTGGAGTGCAATGGCACGATCTCGGCTCACTGCAACCTCTGCTTCCCCAGTTCAAGTGATTCTCCTGCCTCAGCCTCCCGGGTAGCTGGGATTACAGGCATGGGCCACCACGTCCGGCTAATTTTGTATTTTTAGCAGAGACGGGGTTTCTCCATGTTGGTCAGGCTAGTCTCGAACTCCTGACCTCAAGTGATCTGTCCACCTCGGCTTCCCAAAGTGTTGGGATTACAGGCGTGAGCCACTGTGCCCAGCCATTTTTAAATTTTTTGTAGAGACAGGATCTCACTATGCTGCCCAGGCTGGTCTTGAACTCCTGGGCTCAAGTAATCCCCCTTCATCGGCTTACCAAAGTGCTGGGATTACAGGCGTGAGCAACCACACCAGGCCTATAAAACTTCCAGAGGAACACACAGCAGAAAATCATTATAAGCTTGGGTTAACAAAGCTTTCTCAGATTCAACATTAAAAGCATACTGTATAAAGTAAAAAATTGATGAATCGGTCTTCACCAAAATAATAAAATGTTTGCAATTCAAAAGACATCATTAGGAAAATGAAAAGACAAGCCATAGACTGAAAAATATTTGTAAATCGTATATTTGATAAAGGACTTGTGTCGAGAACATACAGATAACTCAACAAGAAGACAAACATCCAATTAAAAAATGGGGAAAGGATTTTAATAGATATTTCACCAAAAAAATAAACAAATGACTAATAAGCGCTTGAAGAGATGCTCAACACCATTAGTCATGAGGGAAATGCAAATGTGAGTCACAATGAGATACCACTTCATACACACTAGAATGGCTATAATTAAATAGGCAGACAATAATAAATGCTAGTTAGAGTGTGTGGAAATGGGCTTTCTCATACATGGCTGGAGGAAATGTAAAACAGTACAGCTACTTGGGAAAGTGTTTTGGCTTTTTCTTTAAAAGTTAAACATTTACCTATTGGGTACAATATTCAATATTTGGGCTACGTGTACATGAAAAGCCCAGTCTTCACCACTGCGCAATATATCCATGGACCAAAACTGCACTCAATACCCCCTGAATCTATGCAAAAAAAAGTTAAACATAAATTTGCTAAACGACCCAACTGTTCCTCTCCAAAATAGCTACTCGAGAGAAATGAAAACATAAGTTCACACAAAACTTGCATGTAAATGTTCATGGTAGCTTAATTTCTAATAGCCAAAAAAAAAAAAAAAGGTAGAAATAACTCAAATGTCCGTCAACTGGTGAACTGACAAACGAAATGTGGTCTATCCATCCAATGGAATACTCTTCATCAAGAGAAAGGGAGGAAGTGCTGATGCAGGCTACAACATGGAGGAACCTCCGAAGACCACATACTGTATGATGCAATGTGTATGAAATGTCCAGAAAGAGCAAATAGAGACAGACGGAAAGTACATAGGCATTTGCCTCCGGCTGGGGGTTGAATGAAGATTAACTGTAAATGGGGCTGAGGGATCTTCTTGAGGTGATGGAAAGGTTCTAAATCTGGATTACAAGGATGGTTGTAAAACACAGCAAATTTATTGAAAATCATTGACTTGCATACTTAAAATGGGTGAACTTTATGATGCAATGAAGCTGTAAAAATAAAGTTTAATGAGACTATTTCTGTGTTCCCTGGCAGAAGAATTTCCCCTTTGAGAACCAGGACCTCCCTGATCACAGGGCTTTGAGTTGCAGGAATAAGAATAACAAACTCTTCAAATAGGTTGTAGGAGGGATTATTACAAGCAGGGCCATTCCTGCTTCTGCCCCTTCGTTCCTGGACCTATATAGGTATACAGGTTAACATTTCTATTTGATCTACCAGGGGCAGAACACCATATCATGGCCATTCATTTAGGGAATTTGCACCTTGGAGGACATGGGCTCATCTTCAGACTGGCATCTCAGCTTTGCCTAAAACAAACCATTCTGCTTCCTATCAGTCCACAGCATTTGGATGGCAGGGTCTGTAACTGATGGTGTGTCCTGTGGTTATGTGCACATGGTCACACCTCTTTTGCTGTGATTTTATGTGGGAGTCCATATTGGTGGATCAAGCACTGTAAATCTTCAGATGGGGTGAGGTGGGTGGGGGGACGGGGTTGAGGGTGAGGTGGGAGCTCTCTGTGACTTTCTGGCCAGGAAAAGCAAACCACTTCCTGGATGTGATGGGGAATTTTATGTGTCAGCTTGGAAGAGGTTAACATTCCAGCCAGGGGCCTTGGGTACAGCGGATTGCCTTCCGCAATGCGGTGAGTGGCATCCTATAGGTGAAGGCTTGAGTAGGGCGAGCCTGAGCAAGGGGAATCCTCCAGAACAGCGGTCCCTAGACTTTTTGGCACCAGGGACCGGTTTCGTGGAAGACAATTTTTCCATGGACCAGGGTTGGGGGATGGTTTGGGGATGATTCAATCTCATTACATTTATTGTGCACTTTATTTTTGTTATTATTACATTGTAATATACAATGAACTAATTATACAACTCACCATAATGTAGAATCAGTGGGAGCCCTGAGCTTGTTTTCCTGCAGCTAGACAGTCCCATCTGGGGGTGATGGGAGACAGTGACAGATCATCAGGCATTAGATTCTCATAAGCAGCGCTCAACCTAGATCCCTCCCATGCGCAGTTCACAGTAGGGTTTGTGCTCCTAAGAGAATCTGATGCCATCGCTGATCTGACAGGAGGCAGAGCTCAGCAGGTAATGCAAGCCATGGGGAAAAGCTTGCTCACCTGCCCGCCGCTCTCACTCCTGCTCCAGAAGGCTGCCTTCAGACTCCATCTGCACCGGCAGCTCTCCTGGGACTCCAGGCTGTCAGCCTCCTGAGCACATGAGCCAATTCCATATACTAAATCTCTCTGTCTATACAGTTGGCCCTTGAATAACATGGGGGTTTGGTACACCGACCCCACCCCTCCGTGTGGTAGAAAATCCACTAGTAACTTTTGACTCCCCCCAAAACTTAATTACCAATAAACAACATACTGTTGATGGGCAGCCTTCCTGATAACACAATTATCACATACTTTGTATGTTATATGTATTATATACTGTATTCTTACAATAAAGTAAGCTAGAGCAAAGAAAATGTTACTAAGAAAAATCATAAGAAAGAGAAAATATATTTACTATTCGTTAAGTGGAAGTGGTCATCAGGATCTTCATTTTCATCTTCATGTTGGGTAGGCTGAGGAGGAGGAGGAAGAGGTGGGATTGGTCTTGCTGTCTCAGAGAGGGCAGAGGCAGGAGAAAATCTTCATAGGAGTGAACCCTTGGGCTGGGTGTGGTGGCTCACCCTGGAATTCTAATGCTTTGGGAGTCCGAAGTGAGAGGATTGCTTGAGGCCAGGATTTTGAGACCAGCCTGGGCAACACAGCAAGATCTCATTTCTACAAAATAATAATAATAATAACAATAATTAGCTGGGTGTGGTTGCATGCACCTGTAGTCCCAGCTACTCAGCAGACTGAGGTGGGAGGATTGCTTGAGTCCAGGAGTTTGAGGCTGCTGTGAGCTGTGATGGTGCCACTGCACTCCAGCCTGGGTGATAGAGGGAGACCCTGTCTCTAAAAACAACAACAACAAAAACCCCCAAAACCCAAAAGCGGACCCATGCAGTTCAGCCCCTTGCTGTTCAAGGATGAACCGTATATACTTGTCCTATTGGTTCTGTTTCTCTAGAGAACTGACTAGTCCCCTGGGTATGTGTCAATTCTGGTCATGATGAATGGCTGCCTTTTCCAGGGTGGAAGGGTGCAGTGTAGGCTCTGCTGTTGCTGGGAGCTCTGGGAGCTCACAATAGGGTTTGTGCTCCTAAGAGAATCTGATGCCATCACTGATCTGACAGGAGGCAGAGCTCAGCAGGTAATGCAAGCCATGGGGAAAGGCTGTAAATATGGATGAAGCTCAAAGGCTCTGCTGCTGCTGGGAGCTCACTGTTGGTTTCTGTTGCTGGCAGGTGGGACATTCAGCCTCAGGAGCTCCTGGGGCTGTAGCAGCCTACGTCAATGGGAGGCCATGTGGCCAGGCCCACGGCTATGGTCACAGCACGGGGTGGCCGATGACAGAGGCAGGCTGACATCAGCTGGCCAAGTCATTCTGTCTCCTAAGGTCTGCATTGCCTCTTCCTTTGTATTGTGCTCAGCGGGCATTCACATGAATAGACCTTCCTCTGGCCACATGATACCCTTTCTCAAAGCACTCCCACCTGCCTCTTCCACAGACCTCCCCCTCCCTGATCTGCCACTCTTTTCTTTCTAGTCTCTGAGAAGTCAATCAAACTATTCTTCACTGGTCAAGAATCCTATATGCGCCATCCTTGAGCCAGGATGCTTTTCATACAAAGTGGATCACGGGGAGCCCCACCTGAAGCTCTGCCCAGTGGGAAGATTTGCCCTCACCATTGCATTCATAGAGCATGGTTCAGTCAAAAAGGCTGCACTCACTTCTGCTCCCTCTCTCTTGGGACACTTGGTTTGGATCCTGGGCCCACCATGTAGAAAATCCAGCTGCTCTGAAGCTTCCTCCTTGGACAGACCCACAGAGACACCCACATAGAGACAGATGTCCAAGGAGCACCAGCTCTTCCAGCTCCCAGCCGCTTGCCTTCCCTGCGCAGGTGCTAATAGGCATCTGAGTGAGTGAGCTTTCAGGTGATTCCAGCCCCAGCCCTAACCCAGATATGTCAGATTTGCCTAGGTTTTGGGAATCCAACCTCTTTGCCAGCTCTGTAATACTTAGAATTAAGTCCTGGGCCAGATCCTCAGCTTTTCTGCCCTCCAGCTGCAGGAGATGAGAGTCTCTAATTTATATGGTACTAAGGAGACCCTCTGGTTATCGTAATTGGCCTTTAATTGGTGATTAACCACCCTCAGTCTTTGATTGTCTTTCTCCGATGCTGCAGTTGCCCCCAGCAACAGCCATCCAACTCCACAGCCCTGTGATGAGTATTTCCCTCGTTCTCCTCAGATACTTGATCCATTGTGTTAGCTGTGCATTCCTTTCTGCTGGTCTTCATTGCACCTCTACCCCACACCGCGGACCATCAATGCTCCCCTATCGCTGATGATAGAGTCCTCATTGCCAGCCATCTGGTGACTGAGCCAACTCCAAAATCCCATTTCAGAGATCCCTGGACCACTCCTGGTGCCATCTGTTGCAGGTTGGGTTCCCTGGCATTTGGTCTTCGAGATGAAACTTGCAGGCAGTGTCCTTTGGACCAACCTGCTGGGACAGGTGCTAAAGTAATGAGGATAGAGCAGAAGCAGCTGAGTTGCGGGGCCATCACAACAAGGGCCTGGTCAATCCCACGGGGCCTCTGAACGGGATGGCCCACCAGAGTCGGCCACCCTGGGGGAAAGGGTGCAGAGTTTTTTGACCCCCATACCTACTGGTCATTATACGTGGACCGCCCTGGCAAGGGGGTATGACCTTGGGTGAGGCAAGTCTGTTAGGATGAGGGCAACCCCCAGAGAAGACTCAGCTGAGAGCTATAAGCTATAAGCCAACTGCACACTTAGCATCTGGGAGTGAGCGCCTCCATCCTGGGTGGTGAGCGTGAAGCTGGGCAGTGTGTCACAGCATCAAGCACATCAACGGAAGCTTTCTCAGTCCATCTGATATTGGGTTAGAACCCAAGCTTGGAATCTGGCATAGAGACTTAAGATACATTTGGGTAACTTCCAGGAAATCCTAGAAAAACAGTCATGAGATCACCATTTTGGTAATCAAAATTTTTTTAGAGACGGGGGTCTGGCTATGTTGCCCAAGCTGGTCTTGAACTCCTGGGCTCAAGGGATCCTCCCACCTCAGCCTCCTGAGTAGCTGGGATTACAGGCACGTACCACTATCCCCTGCTTTGGTCATCAGTTTTGATGGGCTTTGTATGCCATGTTCTGAAAGAATGAAGTTTGCAGTGGTAAAGGTGGTAACTTTGTTTTAATGCTGGGAAAATAAGATGCCTCAAAGCCACACAAAAACACACATAAAGTTACGCATCCAGGTGTAACTGAGCGGAAAGAAGCAGGAATGTTCTTTTTAAAAATAGCACTGTATACTGTATAAAAATAGCATTTATCCAACTCTATATTCATTGATTTGTTTATTAGCAAACTCTCGTGAGCACCCTCTCATGTGCCAGACCCTGTACTAAGAGTTGAAAATCCGCTCATCAGGGTGTTGTTTGGACAATCTAACGTCCTTGCTTTGGAGATCCACTCGGTGAGGTCTTGGGAGGGCTCAAGCGCAGACCTCTGCTTCCTCTTCGTCTAGCCAATCACAGAACACTCCCCACCAGAGGTGGCTCAAGGGGTGGGCATGTGTCCTAAACTGGAGTAATCCATGCCCATATGTTGGCATATGGATGTACAGAGGAAACACACCCTTTCCATCGGCGCTGTGAAACTGGTGGTACATTCTCAGCACAGAGATCCTAGAGGAAGGATCTAGGGCAGGAGGGAAAATGAGGTCAACCAAGAGGGAAGCAGAGATAAAAAGGAGGCAGAGAAAGGATAGAAAGAGAGAGAAGAATAGAGGAGAAAAGAGAAACAGTGTTTGAGCCCCTTTATGTTACAATTCTCAATTCTTACATTCTCTTTCTATCTGCAGCTAGTCTGAGTTGTGTTTCTGTCGCTTGCAACCCCAAGGACCCTCACTGAAGTTCCACACTGGGGTCTGCAGCGGGTCGCGGCTGTTGGTTCCCTGCAAGGCAAACATGTTCCGATTTACCAAGAGCGCCCAGGCACATGGTCCCTTCAGCCTGTGGCTAGGGCTATAGTGCCTTTGTCTCCTTTTACAGAGGATACAGGCTCCATGAGTTTTGGCGAGATTTTTTAAATGTGACAGATGGGAAAGTGTGTTGTAAGCTAAAAAGTACTGTTCTTATGGGACCTTTTATTGCTACTGATGGTGACTCCCCAAGGTCACCTGCAAAACTGGGCACCTCACTCAAGATGCCCTCGAGTCTTTAAGAGCATGGCATTGGGTGCCCTGCAAAGGCAGGGGTAGGTTTTTCACTCGCCAGAGTCCAAGAGCCCAGCCCAGGGATGGCACAGAGCAGGTGCCCATCAAAATCT
The DNA here is from genome assembly GCF_000001405.40 of Homo sapiens. Classification (NCBI taxonomy): domain Eukaryota; kingdom Metazoa; phylum Chordata; class Mammalia; order Primates; family Hominidae; genus Homo; species Homo sapiens. The sequence continues at coordinate 100,767,973 of NC_000014.9, forward strand.
TTCTGATTGTCCTAAGTAGTTGGAGTCCAGTCCCTGCCCAGAGGAGACTGCAGTTTAGTAGCGGTCACCAAATTTGCAGAGATGCAGGCAAGAAGGAGAATGCTGCATGCTGGGGTGTCAGCCAGGATGCCTGGTCTGGATCCGGGGCTGCCATGAATCCTCTGTGTGACTGCCTGTCCTTTTGCTGTCCTGGGCCTTTGTTCCTCCCCCTGTAAAATGAAAAGGGTGACCAATGATGCTGGTTCTGCCCAGATCCCCTGGGCTCTCACCACTTCCATGGACACTGAGGGAAGGCTCTTGACTCTGCTGGACATGTTTTCTGGCTGGTGGAGAGTGTGGCAGGTTGGACGTGCGGGGAGTTAACGCCCTCAGAGCCGCCCTCCTTGCTCCTCTGGCAGGACACCACCGAGGCGATTCCAGGCTGTCTCCCATGGGTCTGCAGTGGGATTGAGCCCCGGTTCCCCACAGGGGAAGCTGTTCCGTAGCTCTCCCTATGCCGGCTCCTTCCCTTACCAGGCTCAGGTCTCCACACCTCTCCAGTGCTTCTGGGAATCGCTTCCTAAATAAACCAGCCCTGCTTGTTCAAGGCGGTTTGTAATGGTGAGGACCCCCTCACTAGCTGATAAAGGAACCCAACCCAAATGGCTTCAGTAGAAAGAAAGGGAGGGCTGGGCACGGTGGCTCACACCTGTAATCCCAGCACCTCGGGAGGCAGAGGTGGGCAGATCGCCCGAGCCCAGGAGTTCGAAACCAGCTTGGTCAACATGGTGAAACCCCATCTCTCCTAAAAATATAAAAAATTAGCCGGGTGTGGTGGCATGCACCTGTAGTCCTAGCTACTCGGGAGGCTGAGGCGGGAGGATCACTTGAGCCTGGGAGGCGGAGGTTGCCGTGAGCCAAGATCACACCACTGTGCTCCAGCCTGGGTGACAGAGTGAGACTCTGTCTCAAGATAAATACATAGATGAAAGAAAGACGACTGACCGACTCCTGTGCAGAGGAGCACAGGAATGGCCACACCAGTTTTTCTCTCCCATCTTGTTTGCTCTTCCTGGCTTCATTCCCAGGCAGAGCCTCTCCACTCCCTGTCCCAGCAGCTCTGGCCTCAGGTCCTTCTAGCCTCAAGGTTTGATGACAGACACTCGCATCTGTGTCCCAGGGATAACAACACAAGTCCTAGCATCAACAGTGGTTGGCTTGGCTTGGGTTCTGACCCTCTCCCATGGTGGGCACAGGGGCAGGGCGTGCTCTGGCCAGCTGGGGATAGGGTTCTGCCACTCAAACCCCAAGGACTCATCGGGGGGAGGGTTGGGATGGAAGCGCTGCCTGCTGAACCAAGGGGGCAAAGGTTGAGTATGCAAAGCCATCCATGGCCACTGCAGACTCTTCCAGCTTGAACGTTCTTCCCCCACTCCTTCCCCGAAGAGTTCACTCGGCCAACATTTACCCAGCACCTACGGGGCGCCAGACGGTAGAGACACAAAGCACACACAATCGAGTTGAAGACGGATGTCCCTCTGGGGCAGACACGTGGCACAACAGGACACAGTCTTTGGAGCCCCGCCACTTCCTGGGCATCAGCCCTCTGGCCCTCAGTTCTCCTAACGGTCAAATGGAGCAGCAGTGACAGGATCACGGTGACGCCCCGGCTTCCGTGCTGGGCCCCTCGGTGGATGCTCAGCCACTGCTTGTCTTCCTTTCTTTCAAGCATTTAGAGAACAGAGGCAAGATGTAACTGAGATTTCCAAACGAGCTGCTTACGTGCATCCCCTTCGGGGACTTGCAAATGCTTTCCGCCCGTCAGCCTGGACTGTGCCCGGCATGCGAGGTGCCACGTCCTCCTTCCTGTTGACAGGCAGCTGGCGATCAATCGGTGCTAATGAAGCTCTGGTTGTGAGCTCCAGCGCGAGGACAGGCCTCCTGAGCACTCTCCAGACCCACTCCCCAGGCCCACTTTCCTCCCTGTTGAAAATAATCAGTGCTGAGATGTTCCGTGTGTGGTAGAAGAAAATGAGACAGTCTCACATCCAGGCTTTTTGCAGGGTGCAGGGCGTGCCTGCCCAGACACCCTTGAGTAAAAGGGAAAAATGAAATTGGTGAAATGTGGAATAATTTGAAGAAATTAGACCTAGTTTGTCCAAGATTAAGGGTAGTTCTTCATTAAGTGGCCCAATCTTTCTTGCTGGGGAAAAAGCAATCATTTCAGCCCTTTAATTTCCTTAAGCCTCCCTGTAAGGGCGGGTGTGCAAAGGCTTCTGGGGGTGGTTATGAGGTTGTCGTATTTTAATCACCCACGACTGGGCTTGCCAGGAGACACTGCAGACATTTCATAGAATTCTCAATCAGCCACTTTAAAAGCTCACCGAGAACTTTCTCTGGAAGTCCACCCAATTTTCCAGAGGGGAGGAAATTTCCATTCTCCTTGGTACCTTTGGATATGCTAATCCCAGGTAGCTTCAGAGTGGGGGTCCAGGACCTTCACTGGCTGGACCCTCACATTGGGGTCCAGGTTCCTCAGAGACCCTCTTAGCTCCCCAAGGGGTATATTTGCTTCACAGGTCCATGGGAAAACCACGAGAGGGCAGACGGGGGCTCTGGAGGTGGCTGAGAGCAAGAAGAAGGAAAGAACCTTCTAGAAGTTCCCACAGAAAGGAACAGGGGGCTTCAGAGTGGATGTGGGGTTGGGACAGGCACCTCTAAAGAGGGCCTATGTTCTCAGACATGGAAGGTGGGAGGAGTGGTCTGGGGACTGGGCAATGGCCCAGCAAGGTCACCATGGCAGCCCTGGGGCCCACTGAGAAGCACAGGCAAGGAAAGCAAGATTAGGATGAGTCCCTGGGGCCAGGTCTCACAGGGTCTTGGCAGCCTCTGTCCAGACCTGAGATTTGATTCCTGGGGTTTTAAGCAGAGGAGCGACAAGCTCTGATGGATGGTTCTTATAGGTGCACTGAGAGCTGGTAGGAGCTGGACTGTGAGAAGAGGGAGCCCCATGGCCTGGGCTGTGGCAGGAAGCGGCTGCTCAGCCAGGGTGGGTGAGGTTTGGTGGGAGGCAGTGAGGAGCCGCTAGACTTGAGAGTGGCCAGGCCCAGCCCTGTGGAGTTGCCGCGTTTGAAGGCAGTATTGGGGTGGAGGGTGCAAAAATTCCCCTCCACCCCTTCAAGGGTTTTTGGGTGAGAATTAAAGTGATACAAGACAGATCAGCAGGAGAAACGCACACAATTGACAGACCACACGACTCACAGGCATGGGAGCCTTCCTAAGGCCCGGAGGCGCAGTTACAGTTTGAACACGTAGGCACTGCCTGAGACAAAGAGCAGGACGCTTGAAAATGGGCCAAGGCCCAGGGGCCCAGGCTGGGGGCTGGCTGGGTGGAGAAGTGGCTGGGACGATGAGGATTAGTTTAACGAGGTTTGTTTGCACAGAGTTCCGTTGGCCCCAGCTTCCTGTCCTTGGAGATAAGAGTGGCAGTTTCCTTTCAGTATGGGGAGGACATCTTTCACATGGGAATTTCGTCTCCTGCTTTTGAGAAAGAAAATGAAGATCAGAGGGATCTTCTAGCACCTCTTGCTTTTCAGGTCCCTTTAACTCAAAATAATCAACATGCCAGAGTGGCATATTTTGGGGTGCAGATTCTTAATATTGGTAGACCCAACATTTGGGACGTAGAAGGAAAATGTTGTGGTGATGGATAGATGTGTGTGTGTGTGTGTGTGTGTGTGTGTTGGTATGCGTGTTTGAAGATGACCAGAATCCTCATGGAAAACAGCAAGTGTTAGGGACTTGACTGTAGAATGATTGGTGAGGTGTGTGTCGCAGGGAGGGTGGGTGATAAGATGACCCACAACAGCCAGGTGAGGTGGTGTGCAACTGTAGTCCTAGTTACTTGGGAGGCTGAGGTGGGAGGATTGCTTGAGCCCAGGAGTTTGAGTCCAGCCTGGGCAACATAGGGACCCTGTCTCTTAAAAAATAAAGATAAGAAAGATAACCTGCAAGGGTGTTGTAACGCCTGGAGATGAACAACAGCAGGAAGCTGTAATGCACACACACACACACACACACACACACCCCAAGGCCTGAAGGGGCAGGGGTATCCTAGAGTCCAGAGAGAGCTGGGGCCACAGTGAGGACAGAAGGGACCCAGCCACTGGCAGGACCAGGGCACCCAAGGAAAGGGAGCAGGGAAGAAATCCCAGCCTCCCTGTTCTCCCACTCTTCACTTGGAGCCTCTCTTGGCCAAAGCCAATGAACAGATGCCAGGAGCCCAGAGGACCTCGTGCCCGGGCCAGCCTCCAGGGCGCAGAGTGGGTGGTGCAGGGCCAAGCACAGAGGGGTCATTCTCTTATTTATCTGTGATTGTGCTTCGATCTTCTCTTTTCTTCTTTGATCAGCGCTCTTCACAGTGCCTCTCCGAAATGAAGAGCTTCTCTTGGGGCAGAAACCAACACGCTGCTCCCTTCTAGGAGAAAGTCTCACTCTGGGAGAAATGTTCACTGAGCCTCAAGGTGTGTTCCCAGACGGTCCCATGGATTTACACGCCGCCGGCACCAGGTGCTAAAGCAGCTCAGACCCCACTTTGAGGAGCTCTGTGTCCCTGGGAGGGAGAGCAGGTGTGTTGGGAGGCTGACCCACGTATTCCCTCCCTGCGGCCGTCCCTCCACAGAAGGCCACTGCTTCTGTGTGTGGCAGGGGGTGGGGGGCTCTCCACATACCTGTGGCCCTCTCAGCCCAGAACTGTTCCCTTTGCTGGCCCTTCCCACAGAACCCACGCCCTGTAACCGCCCAAGGCTTCCCCTACCCATGCCTTCCTAAACTGTCCCTTTAGTATTCGACTCTTGGAGTGTGCCTCTGCTTCCCACAGGCCCCTGAGCAATCCAACTACTGTCCTTTTGGATGAGGCTGTGGATGCTGAGAGAGGGGCTGTGGCTGGTGTGAGAGGGGAGGGGCAGCCCTGGTCAGGGGGTGAGGGATGGGAAGAGGCCAAGGAGAAGCGGCTGTGCAGACAGGGTGGCAGGTCTGGGGCTAAGGCAGGGTTCTGCTCTCCCTGTGACACAAGACACCCCAGGGAGGAGAAGGGGAGAGGAGAAGGTGAGACGCTGGCTGACAGAGTCCGCCAGGGAGAGCATCCTTCTAGGTCCATGGGGCCTGAAGAGACAGAGCAGAGGCTTGGGTTGTGTCTGGGCTCCGGGCCTGGCTGCCCGCTTCCCACACTGTCAGTCCTCTTTGAAAGGCCCTGGGATTAGGTTTGCCTGTTCAAACCACCCACCCTCCCATCCCTGGCAAGCTGAGCCCCAACTCTGGGGCCCCTGGAGGCAGCAGCCCAGCCAGCCCATTCTGCCAACACCATCTGGGCCCACTTAGGCCTGTGGTTGGGGCAGGGGGGCAGAGATGCCCTGGCCAGGCAGGGTTCCCAGCATGGGGGGCCGGGGGTGTCCCACAGCTGGAGGGCCGCCAGGGCTGGGCTCCACACGATGGCAGCATGTACGCACTGAAGCTCGCTGGGACCGCCTCGGCTGGGCTGGGACCCAGCACTGCCCTCGGCTCTCTGGCCCTGCTCCCCACTTTTGGAGGCGGCTGCTGCTGAGTCGTCCCAAGTGCTGTCTGGGAAACCTTTGCATCTCTCCTGGCCACCTGCTTCCCCTGGGGCCCATGAGGACCCCTCAGGCCCCAGGTCCTTCATGCGCAGCTCATCCACAGGGAGGGTCCTCCCAGGGTGGGCAGGGGCAGGGTGCAGGTGACTGGGGACCTCTGGTGCCTCCTCGCATGGGCTGGCATCCTCTCCACACCACGCAGAGCCTCTCCCAGCCCCTAGCTGGCCTGATCTTTCTCCTTTGGCCTGAGGGTGCTGGCAGGCGCTGCCCAAGGAGCAGGTGTTTCTCTGAGAGGGGTAGTGTGCTGGAAGGTGCAGTTTGGGGGGCCTGGCCCAGGAAAAATGGACAGATCCACCTGTAGGGCAGACAGGGAGGACCCAGACCCAGAGCTCCACCTGCAAGGTGAAAATAAAACCAGGCAGCCCTTCGCCCACCTGAGACAGTCTGGGCCCTTGGCTGGGTATGGGGTCCTGCCCTAGGTACTTCTCCACCTTCCTTCTCCCTGCCGGCTTCAGCATCTTCTCCTGTGCCCCAGACAATTGCACACTGTCCCCACTTTGTTTCTCTGCCTTCTGCTTTTCTGCTTCAAATGTTCTCTGCTGTGAACTTGGTCATACCCTACAAGACCCAGCGCCAAGGCCGGGAGCTGTGGCAGCCTTGGCCTCGGTGTCCCACTGCCCCAGGAGCTGTTGGAAGGAAGGCTCAGCCTCTGGGGGAGGCAGGGAGCTCTCCCCCGTGCCTGTGAGGTGTTCTAGGGGGCTTGGTGACTTCAGCTGAACAGTGGTCACAGCGCGGGCTGGTGGGTGGCAGGTGTAGGCTCCATGTCCCCAGTTGGCAGTGAGAGGGTGAGGAGGAAAGTGACGGGGCCCTGCAGGCTCCTTGCCTGTACCAGGAGAGGTTTCATTTATCTACAGCAGGGTGCTCAGAGAGGGTCGATTTTGCCCCCGGGGGACAGTAGGCAATGCCTGGAGACATATTTTTACATTTTAATTATTTAATTATTTTCTTAATTGAAAAATGTACTTTAATATTAATTTTTATTTTTTATTGACATATAATAATTGTACATGTATATGGGGTACATGTGGCTTTGTTTTATTTAGAGACAGGGTCTCACTATGTTGCCCAAGTTGCTTCAAGCCATCCTCCCGCCTCAGCCTCACAAAGTGCCGGGATTACCAGTGTGAACCACCGTGCCCAGCCCCTGCGATATTTTGATACAAGCATACAATGTGTGACGATCAAATCGGGATATTTAGGACCTCCATCACTTCAGACATGTATCATTTCTTTGTGTTGGGAACATTTCAACTCTTCTAGTTATTTTGAAATATACAGTAAATTACTGTTAACTATAGTCACCCTACTGTGTTATTATTGAACATTAGAACTCATTCCTTCCATCGAATTGGATTTCTGTGCCCATTAATTAAACTCCCTTCATCTCCCACCCTCATTCCCAGCCTCCTCTCTACCCCCATGAGACCCACTTTCGCAGCTCCCACATGGAAGTGAGAACATGCAGTATTTGTCTCTCTCTGCCTGGTTTATTTCACTTAATGTCCTCTGGTTCTATCCATGTTGCTGCAAAGGATAGGATTTCATTCTTTTTGTGGCTGAATATTATTCCACTGCATGTATATACCACATTTTCTTTATCCTTCATTTGCTGATGCACACTTAGGTTTGATCCATATGTTGGCCTTTGTGAATCTGCTGTAATAAACATGGGAGTGAGTCTATCTCTTTGATAGGCTGAGTTCCTTTAACTGGAGACATTTTTGATTGTCACAACTTGGGGCAGACATGGTGCTACCAACATCTGGTGAGCAGAGGCCAGGAACACTGCTAAGCATCGGCAGTGCACAGGCAGTCACCAGGGCAAAGAATGAGCCAGCCCCAAACGTCCACAGGTCTAGGACTGGAGGCTGGGAGAGGGGGGAGAGGGTTGTCCCAGGCTTCCCAGCAGGTACGTGGGAGTCTTTCCGAGGACCTTTCCTGTGCTCAGAGCCTCTTTTTCCTCTTCAGAGTCCAATCTCAAGAACCAAAGACCTGAACTGCAGACGAAGCTTCCTTCCCACCTCCTGGGCTTTGAGGAGCCTGCATTCCCTGCCCACTCTTCTCCTGCTGTGCCCACAGCAGGGCTGGTGAGCACGATGGGAGGGCACCTGGGTCCCCACCCGCTGGTACAGCTCCTGCGACTTCTCTGGGCTCAGTTTCCCTCTCCATAGGGGGAAATGGCCAGGGTCAAGACCCTGGAGCTGGGCTCCTGCCAGCCCTGTTGCCAGGCTATAATGGCAGATGTCAGTCTGGGTGGAGGCAGTCCGTCACGCTCAGGCCCACGCAGGCACTGACATCAGCTCCCAGCCATGGGAGACATGTGCACTGTTGATCCGGGGGCCCCTCGCAGGAATGAGCGCTGTGAGTCCCGCCTGCCTTATTGATAACTACCAAGCATAAACAAGACGCCTGGAATGTTTAAATGACCGGGCCAGTCTGTTCCAGAAGATGCCTTACATATATCAAGGCTATTTTAGGGTGCGGCAGGCCCGGCAAGAGGAGGGTGAGGGGCTCTGTGCTGATCTGGTTACGACCATGTGCAGGGACAGTGAATGCCAGCGTATCTGTCCAGTGACCTCACAGGAGTGGCAGACGGCTCATGACCCCTGTGCAAAGTGTCCGTGCTGGAGGCCCAGGACAGGAATGGCGGGAATGGGTGGGAGGAAGGGAAGTGGCGACTGGCAGAGGAAGGCCTGGGCTCTTAGGGGCTGTTTGGCAATCCCTCTTGAGCTGAGCATGCCCACCCTGAGAGCCAAACCCACCAGCTAGGGGAAGGACACCCAGACAGCCTCGGGGGGCTCAGGCTTGGGGGAATGAGAAGCAGGAGGGAGAGGGGTACAGGACCTTGCCTGCAGGAGTTCCCAGGGACAGGCTGCTTCCTGGCCAGGGGCCTGGCTTAGGTACCTCGCTCTCTGCTGCTTCTTAGTGACAGCAAAAAGGAGGAGGAAAACGCTGATCCTCTGGTGGGTTCTGGGAGGAGGCTATGTTTGAGAATATTTTCATGGGGTGGTGTCAGTGCCGCAGGAGTTCTGGCCCTGGTGTGTGCCACCTCCCCCCCCGGCCCACACACAGGTTCTGAGCTTCCTGGAGCCTGCCCCAGCCCCTCCTGCACCTGCCTCTGTCCCCGCTTCGGCTCTCCTTCTCACTGGGACGCTCCCACTTTCCCCCTCTTACAAAGAGACTAGGCCCAAATGAGGCTGGCCAGCCTCTCCCATGCCCAGCCCCTGTGCCAAGGACTTGTGCTGGGGTTGGGGTCCCAGATGAGAAGGCTCCCCCCACCGTGGGCTGGAGGAGGCCCCTGGAGAGGCTGCAGAGCTGGCTCATTCCTGTGTGGGGGTAGGACGGACGGGACATCAGGTATGACAGGCATACCCAGAGGTAGGCTGGGGGTCCTGAGGCAGACAAGGCTCATCCTGACCTCCGAAATGTCCGTGTCCCTTCATCCTCTTTCCTGCAGGATTTCAGTTTTCCTAAGGGCTCCACGGGGAAGGCTGGCAGGGCAGCAGCATGGAGGACTCCTTGCCATTTTATAGGCTCCTCGTCCCTATGGAGGGGCAGTGTGGACATGGGGTCAGCAGTGTTCAAACGGTGATCCCGGGGCTGACACTTCAGCGGCCCTCGTGTTGGGGGGTCAGGGCTTGTGGGGGCCCTTCCTGCCTTTCCTGGCATGGCCTTTCTTTCCCATGCTGCCTGGGCTGCCTGGTGGTGTCTTCTTTCCCAACAAAGTGGTCCTGATTTTTTCATTTCTCCGCATGACCTGCTGTCCTTCCCTCTCTTCTATCTCAGAGTGCCAAATGGGCCATTTTCCTCTTCCCCAGCAAGCAGGGCCTGGAAGGGGTGGAACTAAGGCAAGGCTGTGCAGGTCTGGCCCCTTCCTTACCCTATTCCTGCCGCCCAGAGTGGAGCAGCTCTCTCCACGGAGCCGTGCCCCCAGGACCACCCGAAACTCACTGCTCCTAAAAACACCGGTGCTCCATGCACCCACCACGCTGCCCTGGAAGGCTTGCATTTCCCCCTCAATTTTTTTTTCTTTGCTTCCAAAGCACTTTGGGTCACCCCAACAGTGTCCTGCTGTGTTCCCTGTGTGGGCAGGGCATGGGGAGAATGAGAGGATTGGACTCCGTGTCTGTTTTCCACCCTGGAGATGCAATCAATTAGGGAAGCAGCTCAGAGCGTGGTCACTCGTCCCCAACACGAAGGCTGAGCCTCTTCTCCACCCAGAGACATAGCTGGGGCCCGTTTTCATCTATTTTAATTTGGTTGACAGACATCAGACCTAAAACAGACCTGCCGTTGGGAGAGGAAAATTCCTAAATGTTTTAATTTGCTCCATCCGACTCGAGCCAAAGAAGCCATGGGCTTACTTTTTCCACCTCCCGCCCCCCTGGAAGAGAGCGTATGTTCAAGTTCATCTCCGATACAGATCACCGCCTGCTCTCGGCGGCCCTTGGAATGGCCTTGCTCAGCACATAAAAAAAAAGATCCTGACATTCTCTCTGTCCTCTTGACTCTTCCCAAAGTAGCATCTCTCTGTGGGCAGTATTGCCTTGTAAGGCAGGCAGTAGGCATGAGCCAATGAGTGTGCGGTCAGATCCTGGAGGACAGGGACAGGGACAGTCATAAACGGCACCGGGGATTAGCTGTGGCTCGCCGAGCGTTTGGGAGTGGGGAGGAATGAGGAGATGGCGCCAAAGGAGGGAGAGGTGTTGGTGTGCTTTTCGAATGCCAGAACTATAATTAAGGGGTGAGAAGATTCATGCTAACCCGTAACCAAGGCTGCAAGAGAAATCATGAAATCCAATAGCCCCAGGAGTCCGGATTTGGAATTGCATGTGGCACTAGCTTTGAAGCCTATTTCAGAGTTCAGCACATTTATCACGGGGTGCTCAGGCTCTGACAGCGTCAGGTGGCGAGTGGCCGTCTCGTGGTGCCCAAAGTAGCTCTCACTCTCTCTCAAGCCACCTGTTTCGGGACTATCTCAAAAGACTTGAAGGGGCTTTCCAGAGAGCCCTGTGTGCATGGGTGTGTGGGTGGATGGGGGGACTCATCCGGACAGAGGGCTTTCCAAGGGCATGGGCCTGGGGTACAGAGGAAGTTTCTAGGAGAGCCGACTGACATGGAGAAAACTTCTGTTCAGTTGAGCCCAGGGCTTGAGGGCAGTGGGTGCTCTCGTCCCTGGCCATGGGTTTGAAATGTGGTTTCCAAGTGGCATAAACTCAGGTCACTGCAGAATCTGGTGAAAGGTACCTGGAGGCTCATTCCTCCTTCTCCCTGCCTGTGTATGTGCTGCGCATGTTTCTGTATTATTAAAAGCAGTAAATAAAAAGGTTGGCCCTGTCTTCTCAACCCACGTGGATGTCCACAGCTACCCTCGGAACACAGGGAGTCGGGCCTCCCGCTCCTCCCTCCCTCTCCTACCACAGTCTCCGAGAGAGACGATTCCTGGAGGATCCACACAGACACACTCGGTTGTGGCCAAGCCATGTGGTCATGCTGTTGCCACAGGCATTGGCCAAAATCCTTTCTTAGAAAGCCCGGGGCTTGGTGTTCCCCCTGCCATGGGAGGGTGTGGCCCTACCCAGCACAGTGGCTCCGCTGCTCGCTTCCAGCTTGTTTCTGAGGGAAATGGGGTCCTGGTCCCCCCCTGGAAGGCCAGAGCAGGAACCCACCCGAGAGGGTCTCGTGCTTTTTAATGACTCCACATTGGTCAGCAGATGCTCAGCCAAGTCGGATGAGACCGGGTTCTGCCTTGGTGTCCGTGTTGCTAGCTGGGGCAGGCAAAGGCATGAACTTGCAAAGTCTCGGCTTAGTTCCTGGCACTCTGAGGTCCACCTCCTTCCTGAGGCTGGTGGTTACCGTGCTAATGAGCTAGGCCGCAGCGGCTATTAGACATGGCTGCGTGGGGTGTCCTGCCAGCCCAGCCCCGTCACCACGGGCTGCCTCGAGCAGCTCCCCCAGCACCAGGCACTCCAGATGCTGAGCAGCAGAGTCTGCCCATGAAGGATGGATGCACTACCCCTGCCTCCATATTCAGGGGTCTCAGGCAAGGAGCCCGTCCTCACTACACCACACATGGAGGGCATGAGGCTGGACCACACCAGAACGTCCCTCCCCCCGGAGCCTGGAGCTGCAGGTCTTGATGCGGAGAGGTTTCCATCTGGTAAGTTTGCGCCGTGCCTTCTTTTCCCTGGCCTTTGCCTCTGCCGGCCTCAAGTTCCCCTTGCACCATCCACCCGAGGCCTGCTCCGGGCTGCGCCCACTCCCTGCACTGTGCCGCTCTGGGCGCCGTTGCCAGGGCAGCCACCCTCCCTCCCAAGCTGCCTCTCCAAAGGAGCAGTGGCCAGCCCCTCTGCAGCCCACCCAAGTCCTCCCTAGGCTTTCCTTTGGAAGTCAGAGATTCTGGGCTCAAAAAGTACTCACTGCATCAGAGGCGTTTCCAGCAAGAAGGCACCACTTTGCAGAAGGCCACGTGACCAACTTCCAGCACCTTCTCCCGCTGCTCCTCACGACTCCTCCTGGGAGCAGCCTCCCTGTCCTCATCCTCAGCCAGACCCTTTCAGAGGGGCTGCTGTGTGTTTCAGTGGGTTTTCTCTTCTCTTCTCCTGTTTCCTTTCTTCTTTTATTGAGGCATAATAGACATATGGAAAAACACACATATTATAAAGGCACCAACTGGTGAACTGTCAGAAAATGAACACACCTGTGCCATGCACCCCGATGCAGACACCGGGGACCCCAGCACCTGGCAGCTCCCTCCTGCTCCTTCCATCACTGCCGCCCCACCCTGAGGGTGACCCCCATTCTGATGTCTGATGCAGAACCAGTCAGACCCACAGCTGGGCTCCGCTTGTGCATATTCCTGCTATAAGTGGAGTCGTGTCGTGGGGGAGTGGATGCGGTGCCCTCAGACTCGTCACTCCATGGTGACCTGCCGTGGGACCACGCCAGGGTGCATTTCTCCTTTCTCCTCCGACAGATGTATGGGTTGTCAATGGGGACCCAGCTTTATAAAGGACGAAACTGAGGCTCAGTCCATCCAACCTCAAAGTCTTTACCCCTCTGCCTAACAAACAAGTGGAAGATCAGGAACACGGGGTGCCACCAGCCCAGCACATGAGTCCTGTTCTTGATGACATGAGAGATCCCAAGAATCAGGGACCTGCTGATTCGTGTGTGGCCCAGGCCTGGGAGTGCTGCCCCTCAGGACTTACTACCAGAGCTCTGGGCTGCTCTCCCACTGCCCAGAGCACATGGCCCTGGGGGGCTGCTCAGAGGACCTCCAGGGGGTCTAGTCTCCCCTCTGGGGTTGCACCTGCCCCCTCCCCTTGGGAGATTCAGTGGGGTAGAGATGGCAAATTCTGGGGGGCTGGAAGTAACAGAAACAGGGAAGACCACGTGGAAGTTGCAGTGGCAGGGGCCAGCAAAGAGCCAAGCATTCCTTCCTTCCTTCATTAGTTCACCAGATATTTACAGAGTGTTGTCCTGTTGCCAGGCGTCTCCAGGCCTGTGCAGGAAAAGACAGAACAGGTTCCAGCCCTGGAAAGGTGCTGAGCAGGCACAAACGGGTGGGGACCAGAGAGCAAATTGGGCAGCAACAAGGACCTCGACGAAGGGGGAGGCTGCACCCAGAGGGGAGGGTGTGAGGCTGGGGGCGGAGGGGGTCAGTGGCACGCGGAACCCCTGCAGGACAAGGCCTCCAAGGAGGGCTGCGGAGGAGTGTGCTGAGGGCGTTTGGAGCCAATTGAACTTTTTTTCTTTTAGGATTTTATTTATTTATTTATTTTTAGACAGAGTCTTGTTCTGTCGCCCAGGCTGGAGTGCGGTGGCGTGATCTCAGCTCACTGCAACCTCCACCTCCTGGGTTCAAGCAATTCTCCTGTCTCAGCCTCCCGAGTAGCTGGGATTACGGGCTCCAGTCACCAAGACTGGCTAATTTTTGTATTTTTAGTAGAAACGGGGTTTCCCCATGTTGGCCAGGCTGGTCTCGAACTCCTGACCTCAGGTGATCCGCCCGCCTTGGCATCCCAAAGTGCTGGGATTACAGGCATGAGCCATGGCACCCAGCATTCTTTCAGGATTTTAAAAAATAGTTGTAAAATATACGTAACAGAAAATCTGCCATTTTGACCATTTTCAAGTGTACGGTTCAGTGGCGCTAAGTATATTCACATTGTTGTACCAACCATCACCGCCATTTGTCTTTAAAACCTTTTCATTATCCCAAACAGAAACTCTGCCCCCATTGAACACCCCTCCTCCCCCAGCCCCTGGCAAGCACCATTCAGCTTTCTGTCTCTGTGAATGTGACTGCTCCAGGTCCCTCATATATGTGGAATCGTAGTGTTTGGCCTTTTGTGACTGGCTTATTTCACTCTACATCGTGTCCTCATCGTTCATCCATAAAGTTAGCCGGGTGTGGTGGTGCATGCCTGTGGCCCCAGCTACTCAGAGGCTGAGGCAGGAGGATTGCTTGAGCCCAGGAGGTGGAGGCTGCAGTGAGCCTCGATCACGCCACTGCACTTCAGCCTGGGTGACAGAGTGAGGCCCCAACTCAAACAAACAAACAAACAAACAAACAAAAAACTGCTCATCCATGAAGTAGCATGAAGTAGCATGTGTCAACATTTTCTTCCTCTTTAAGGCTGAATGACACTCTCTTGTATGGATTTCCCACATTTTGTTTGTGGGTGGACGAGGTTTGATTCCACGTTTGGGCTATTGTGAATGATGCTGCTGTGACCACGGCTGTGCAAGTATCTGTGTAAGTCTCTGCTTTCAGTCCTTTTGGGTGTATTCCTGGAAGTGGAATTGCTGGGCCACCTGAGCATTTTAAAGCCAGAAGTTTCATGCCCAAGTTTGCATTTCAGAAAGCCCATTTAGGGGCCTATTTGGAGGGTGGGCTGGAGGAATGATGCTGGAGGCAAGGTCCCCTGGTGGGGGTGAGGCCCTGGTAAGAGACAATGAGGCTTGGACTAGGCCAGGGAAATGGGTGGGAAGGTGACACAGGAATGGGGGTCTTTTTCTGAGCCGGCCTGGTAACTCGTTGGCTGTGGACAGTAAGGAGATGAGAGGGTGGAAATGGCCCAGTTGCAGCTGGGAGGGCTGAGGCTGCTAATGACACCATTATCCCAGTTGCAGGGTCCAGGGTTTCCCTCTCGGGCATGGAGGAAGGGGGAGATAATGAGTTCAATTTGGCTGATTTAATCATTTTTTCCTTCATGAATTCAACAAACATTGCTGGAGGGCCCATTATGTACTAAGCGCTGTGCTGGGTGCCCCACACATAGCCGAGGGAGAGAGGCAGCTGCCCCCACTCCTGTGCAAGCTGCAGCCACTATGCAAACACACGCTTCGTTTCAGATGCATTGAGATAAGGGGAGCATCAGGGCAGGGCTCTGAGTGCTGTGGGCACCCAGAGGGGCTGCAGGCACCAGGGGAGGGACAGACAGGTTTCCAAGGAAAGTGAGGGGCCGGATAGGGGTTTGTGGGGCTGGCAGAGGTGGGCCACTGAGGCCTGGAAGGACCATTCTAAGCCTCAAAGGCCAGGGACGGACATGGAGGGGCTGGAGCCCGTGAGAGGCAGGATCGGGGAGAAAGAGGGTCAGGAGAAAGGCAGGGTGGAGGCCCTGGGGCCTCACAGCAGGGCTGAGGGTTTGCAAGGGAGCGAGGTAACAGGGAACCACGGATGGTTCAGGAGAGAATGTTGTCACTTTGGGCAGACACCTGAACTGGGGTCCAGTTAGGGAGGTGAGGGGGTGGACCCAGGCCACAGCAGAGGAGGACAGGAGGAGTGGGGGAAGGAGAGCCCCCAGAAGCTCTCTGGGCTCAGCAGCACAGATCAAGGTAGATTAAGGGACCTTCTATTCCCACTACTTCCCCTTGAAAGACTCAAGGAGGTGGGCCTCTGGCCTGCTCATGCCCCTGCCTGCACCCCAAGGTGAGGGCCCTGTGTGGGAGAGAAGGCCCGACAGGAAGCCCCAGTCTATCCGCCATGCCTGGGGCTGGGGCAGAGCCGTGACCACAGTAGAAAGGCCTGTATCATTCCTCCAAAAGCTGTGCCAGGGCTAGGATTTCGGGCTCTTGGGGAGGGACAGCAGAGCAGGCTTGAGAGAGTGTGGTTGAGGAGGGGAGCTGGGGTGGCGACCCATGAATTAGGGTCCATTGACCCGGAGGTCGAGGCTTCCAGAGCGGGCCAGCCGGCAGCCCCAACGTGTGAGGCTGTGCACCTGCTGGGGAGGGTTTTTTTGATGGCGACGGCGTGAGGTGAGCGGGTTTGCTCTGGGCGGTCGAGGATTAGCGCCGACTGAGAGGGTCAGGTGCACCGGGGCTTTGTTCAGACCTGTTTGCCTTTTGTCCCCCGCCTGCAGAAAGCCCAGGCTGCATGATGTCATTTCGGATGCATTAAGCTGGAACAGCTCAAAATTGAATAATTAATTACACTCAGCTTCAATCGCAGTGACTAATTGATCAGGGGCTGCCAGCAGACACCTGGACAGGATTAACTGTGCACAATGAGGGCTGCGGGCAGGTGGTGGCCCCTCTGGACCCCCAGTCCCTGTGTGTGACTTAATTAAGGCTGACTTGATTTCTCTATCCTCACTGGAGATCTCAGGCAGGCCCCATCCAGGCCCAGGGGCTACGTGCGGGCTAGGCACCGAGTGTGGACACGTGCAAACGGCTGCGATCTGGAAGGATGCTAGCCCCTGACCACTGGGCCATCCTGTTCTAGGCCCAGATCCCAATGCTGCCTCCAACTATGATTATTTCTGTGGCCTTGGGCAAGTGTTTAATCTCATGGAGCCTTAGTCTCCTTGTCTGTCAAATGGGGGTTGTCATTGTTGTGTCCAGAGCTGTGTTCGGCCCTGGGTGTAAACTGCTTTTGTCACTGGGATTTTTGGTTCCCTCTGGGGAGGCTGTCCTTGTTCTCACCTCCCTTGCTTGTCTCTGGCTGGAGCAGCTGGCATTCCCAGACCTGTCCACCAGCCCTGACGCTCCTTATTTATTCCCTGGAGCCACCTTTCTGTGTACACAGCAGCATTTGGGGGCCTGACTTACAATCCTGCTCTCTCAACGCACAGCCATCATGCTGGGGGATTCACAAGCACATGGATGGCACATCCAGCTCCTGAAAGGGCCAGCAAGTACAGTTGCGCATGTTGTGCACTGCACAATTCAGACTTTGCTGTGAGTGGTATAATGTGCAACTACACAATGGGGCATACCAGCCTTATTGTCACATTGCAGAGTCTCTTTTCTGTCTGCCTCCTCACTGTTTCCTGGTCTTCTGGAGTTCAGTAACCTCTGTCTCCATGTCTCCTCAACCCCACTCCTGGAGTCATATCACAGGGGGAACTGTCATGTGGAAATGGCAAACCCCAACGCCTTCTGCCCTGCCGGCTCCCAGCACATCTGCCAGTGGGTGTGGAGAGCACTTGTCTCTTTGTTTCTGCTCTCCCCATTCCCTGCCCATCTGGTGGCTCCTCTTCCTTGGTCTGCAGACACACTTGAGACTCTCCCCTGCTGGCATGCAAGCACCCTGGGGTGACTCGGGCTGCCCCTCCCAGCCTCGTCTCTCAAGTGGGTCTCCACTGACCCAACTCTACTTCATATCAAATGCACTTCGCCCCCTGCCTTCTGCTCCCCTGCAGAATCCCACGGCACGGCATTCTCCCCGTGACCAATCCAAGGGGCACTCTCTGTCCTCATCACACTGCAGAGTCTGCAGCCTTGATCGCTGCGGCCTCTCTGGCCCCTCCGCATCCTTGGAGCTCCCTCCTTCCTGACTCTGCCCAGCAGTCTCCTTGCTGTCCCTCTGCTTCATGTCCCTGGGCACTGTGCCCTGTACCCCTTTAACTGTTGCAATCACCCGGGTCTCCAGCCTTGGCCTTTGGCTCTTCCCAGCTGAGCAGCCACACAGACAACCATGATGAGCCCATTTTGTTTCTTGCCTGTTCTTTGTCTTTTTCCTCTAGAAAATGAGGCAGTCATCTTTTGCTCTCCTAAGTGGAGCAGACTAAAATGAGCCAACAGGCCCCCCATTGGCATGTGGGTGAGGGGCCTCAGCCATGATGGAGGAGGACTGTGTGGTGACTGAGCAGTGAGGGCTTGAGCTCCCAGATGCATGGCCCCAGGACCTTCCTCAACCTCCTCCTGAGCCTTCCTTGGAGCACGGCGAGTCCCTGGCGCTCCTGGGCCTGCCATTCCCTTGTTCTTCCCTGTTCTTGCCTTTGCATCTGGCACATTTGCCAGCCTTATGATCCCAGCACTGGCGTGTCCTGTCCATTGGAGCACAGGGCTGTGCCAAGTCCCCGCAGATGAAGTCACTCAGAACTCAGGTCCCTTCTCAGCCACTTGGGCCTAAGGTGCCCTGTGTCCTGGCGCCATAGTGCCAAGGTTCGAATCCTCCGCTGGTCTCGGCCATTGTGCAGTGCAGGGAGTATGTTGGTACAACTTCCCCTTGCTTTTTTGGCAAAATTTAGAGGTGGCTGAATGTGAATTTCTTAAGACAGAGGTGGGAGGAGACCAAAGAAAGTGTGCCCTCCTTCAACTCTCTGTCTCCGTCACAACTGGACGCTGCTCTGGATCGTGGGATGAGAGGAAACAGGAAGGGGCAGGCATCCTCCTCTTCCCAGACAATGGGGCCCATTATCCCTCCGGGGGGACGTTCGGAGGCATCTGGCCCTGCTGTCCACCCACTTCCAAAGAAGGGAGGAGCTCGGCCAGTCTAACCAGAAGCTGTCACTGGCTGATGTCCTCCCTGGTGCCCAGCCAGCCCAGAGAGGGGCCGCTGAGCCCCGAGTCTGTGTCCTGCATGCCAGGGATGTGGGATGGGGGACCTCCAAGCATCCAGTGGCAGTGCCCCCGGGCATGAGACCGGAGCCACAGGGTAGATAGGGTGTATTTCCCCAGAGCCATGATTTTATCCAAACGTAAGGAATTTCTTGTAAATCTTTATTTTTGATGTGACAGAAGTGACTTCTTGTCACAGATTCAAATACAGAAGAATGTATGCTCCCCACCAAAATAATCACTGTTAACTGGTTGCTGTGGCTCCTTCCAAATATTTTTAGGCATATACAGCCATTTAAATAAATATGTACATATGCACATTTTTTTAAACAGATGGAATCATCCCCCCCGCCCCACACACACACACGGTTCTTCAACTTGCCTTTGCTTTTGGCGAGGCGCTCACTCCTCCCCGTGCCCATACACGCCGTTCCACTTCTCCCTGTCTATCAGCAGGATAGTGAATAGTATTCCTTAAATGGGTGTCACCACGGTTCATCCAGCCATTTTTCTAATGATGGACACAGAGGTCACTGCAATTTTTTATAATTACAAATAGTGCTGGAAGAAAAAAGCCCCAAACACCTCATCCATTTTAGCCGAACTCAGCAAAAGGGCATTTGAAATGTTGCATCTGAAAGGTTACACCAATCTACACCCTCAATAATGGCATGTGATTTAAAAAATTATACTGAAACTAGTGAGGCTGCAGAATGGCACAGGAAGCAAAGCCCACATGTTTTTTGAACATAATATCAGATGCAGAGGGAGGCACGCTGTCACTTTCCTTCTCCGTGGCCCTTTGAGGCCCTTTGAGGGGAGTGGAGCCCTGCTCCATGGTGTAATAATTCTTGGAGTGGCTGTGACCACCCATCCGTCTGTCAGAGCGTCCTGCCTGACCCATCTGACTTCTCATTTATCACCCCATTGGGCGGAGTTGACCCCACTGGGGGTTTATGCATTTCTTAAAAGACCCCTTTCAAGTGAGGTAACTGTAAAGTGCCTGAGGTTTTGGGAGATGGGGACTCGTCAACAAAACCCCATTTCCAAGGGGAAATCTCCTAACTCTCCCGAAAAGAGACCAAAACTTTCCCCCACATTTCTTCCCCGTCCCTGAGGCATGACCTTCTGGGTGGCAGGATTGCAGGGTGTCCTAGCTTTTCCAAAACCTCTCTCTTTAGAAGCGTCTGGCTTTTGGAACCCAGAACCATCAAGGGAGACAGGAAGAATGTTTGCAATTCTTCAGTTGCCGGACCCCATCGCAAAGCTTCCCCCAGGCCCTAGGAGAGGGAGCTGGTATGGCCAGCCGCCTGCCGGGCCGGGCCCACCATCTTTGCTCTCTTGCCATTCTCAGAGCCTTTAAAACTACAGACTCTGCTTCAAGCAAAGAGTCACTGGGCCCCCGGCCCTGGACTACGCCATTCAGAAGTCAAAGGTCATTCTAACGCCTTTCCTGCAGTTTTGGGCTGGCTTAGCGGGGTGAAGATCCGGAGGCAGTGCCCCGCATGACAGCGGAGGGTTCAGCACCCCTCCCGCAGCCCTGCAAGCCCCAAGAATGCACCTCCTCCAGGACGCAGCACTTAGCTTCCATTTCCTAATGCAAGTCTCTGCCTCAGTTTCCCCATCTGCAAAGCAGAGCTGAGAACCTGTTTCACTCACCCCAACGCCTGCACGAGCTAGGCTCTGGGGCTGACTCTCGGTGTCTCCTTTTCTAATTGTTTGTCCCCACTGTGACTTGAATGAGAGCAGAGTGTGTCTCGGAGTCCTCTCATCCCAGCAACCCCAATACTTAATAGTGCCCTCAGCCCAGTCACTCTTTGTAAAGGAATAAACGGGTGAATCCCAGGACCTACTACCCACCTTATAGTCTTGAGTAACATCCAGTCTGTGCCTGACCCATGGAGAATACCCAGTAAATGGTCAGCCCCTAGAGCTATCCGCAAACACAAATCCTTCACGACTCTCACTGAATGGGGGTGCACGGGAGTTCCCCATTAATTGACATGGAAGAAACATTTTTTTACTAATTTTGCACAAAGTTGGGTGTGCATGGGAGGGGCACCCTCTCTCTCTCTCGGCCTTCACAGCACCCACCGCCCTGTGCAAGCTCAGTCTGGCCCAGGATCCAACCTTCTTATGTATTTATTTAAACCCTGCCTCATTCCGGAGAGAATTTAAGGCCTCACCATGAATACCATCTTTGTGTGGCCTTCCAGCGCCAAAGGCCAGGAAACCCAGGCCAGGCACGTCTGGAGGTGGGGCCCCCCTGTGGCCTCAAGGCCTGGGCCAATCCTGCCTGGCGGCCTGTCCCCATTTCCTGCCATCTGTGGGGAGAGGCCTCCCCAGCCGGCTACCTCCCGCTGTCCTCTGACTCTCCCCCTGCAGGGCCACCCAGACCTTGCTCTGAGGCTCTCCCGATCCTGGAACAAGCAGATCTTGCCAAGTTCCTGTATTGGAAGATAAATCATATTGAAATTCTCTTTAAAACCCATAGATGAAGCAGCACCTTGGTGTTCGTGTATTTGCGCACACAGAGCTGCCCTCCCGTGATGGTGCTGGGAGACCAGCAGCCTGCAAGAGAGAGGGTTTGGGGGAGGACTTCCTGTCCAGAGCTCCATGCATGTCTCAGGTCACTGGAGGGAGGGCATAGCCCCGTCCTCACCTAGCACAGGGCGGGGCAAGGCCGGGAATGTCTGTACTGTGGGTCTCTGCCTAAAATCTGTCCCTGGTTCCTGGAAGGCATCACTTGATCTGGGACGGCCACCCCTCCCAACTCATCAAGATGTTACATCACCCTAACCTCTTGGCTGCCCCCTGGAATCCAGAGGATGGCTTTGAAGTCTAAGGGATATCTGGGGCTGATGAATTCAGAGGCCTCTTAAGTAGGGCTTGGGGTGCACATCCAGGATTAGGCCATCTCCTCAAATTTAACGGCAGGTTTGAATGCAGATGTTTCTGTAGTGAGGTTGAGCATAGCTCCAGAAAGCTGTGGCCACGGAGGACTTCTGCAGGGTGGTGTCAGGAGCCTGAGTGGCCTGTACTCAGGGGAGGCCCTCATCCCAGATGGATGAAGGGGCCGTGAGCTCAGGAAAGACTGAGTGGCCTTCCCTTCCGTGCGTGGTCTCAAATCCCTGAAATGCTTTGACTCCCAGGCCTGCAGCCCTCCAGGAGAATTGTTCAGACTTCAAAGACTTGTTTCAAATGGAAAGAAAACCTCCGCAGACCATGGGGCTCAGGAAACTTCTCCTAAAGATCTCTTGCACCCCTGAAGCTTCTGATTGAAGAATGGGAAGAAGTCTGCAAAAACCAGAGTTGCTGTTGAGCCTGGTGCTGGTCAGTTATTAATAAAAAGACCAATAAATGTAGGTCCCACATGGAGGCAAAGCTGAAACCAGACTGCAGGCACTTAAACATTCCGGTCTGCACAGGCTCTGTCCTCCTCCCAGTGGCGCCTGCTCCACTTGTGGCTGGGGGACATTTGGGTGGTCCTACCACCTGTTGGAAGTGCTCAGATGCCTGGAACCAAACCAGGTCCTGAACATAGGTTGGGACGTGGCACTTCATGTTGGTGCCACCCTTGACTGTCTGCTAGGGAGGTAGCCTGGGCATAGGATTTGAAAGGTGAACATTTCTGAACCTCCCAAAAAGATATGCTGTGAATTTCAGACAAAAACAGACCTGAATTCAAAGACTGTGGGCTCAAGCTGTCTCCTCTGGCCCTTGGCATTCTCTTCCCACGGGTGGCTAAAAGCATTCAGGATGACGCATGTCAAAGCAGTCTGCACATGGCTGCTCGCTGCTGATGCGCACACAGTCCTGCAGGCCAAGGCCCTGCCCTCGGCTCCTACCACCCCTGCCTGAGAACCAGGACAAATGAGATCCTGTTAAGAAACTGCAGATTGATGATGTTTGTCCAAATTGTTGCAGGAAGGCAGGTTACAGCCATCAGGCTTTCCAGACAGGGGATCAGCTAGTTGGCCAGCTTCTATGGTCTAACAGAGGCAACCACTTTAGAGAAACCTTTCAGGGTGGTCCAGAGGTTACAGGCATGGACAGAAGGTCAGAAAGTGTCCACAGGACCTGGGCTTCAAGCCGCCAGAGTTTCTTCAGGGGTAGGAGTTGTCAGGTGAAGACCCTATCCTCCTCCATCTGCTGCCTAGCAGGAAATGGAAGAGGGTCTTGGGGTGGGCTGAGGAGCACAGGCAGGGCAGGAGGGATACTCCAGTGGTCCTGGCCATGTGCTAAATGTGCATGAATTTCTGACACCTAAAATAGCCCCGGACACGGGACACAGTGCCAGGAAGCTCCTGTTCAACATCTCAGCAACTGGTAGCTTCAGGGCTGAGAATAAGAAACCATCATTTGCAGTTTCTATAGCCCTAGAGGGGACAAACATGATTCCAGATTGAGACACTGGGAGAAATTGTAATAAATCTGGTCATTACTGGTTGTGTGAACTTGAGTGTGCTATTTCTTAGCTCTGTGTCTCTGTCTCCTTAGCTGTGAAACAAGGACAGCGAGCTCTCTTGTAGGATTCCTGTAAGAATCGGCCACAACAGACTGCGCAGTCTGCAATCAGCAGAAGTTGCGCCCTGCCTCCCACCAGATAAAGGCCCTGCCCGGCCCCCTGATCCCCAAGTCTGAAAATGATGAATCATGTACTCCGCTAGGAAATGCAGGCAGCCGTGGCTCTGTCCTGTGTGCGTCAGCTGGCTTTAGGCAGAAGAAAATTGCAGGCTTCAGAGGATATTGTGAATTTGCTCATAGCGGAATTCCGGGTATTCTGTGTCGATGGAAGAATTAAGTCCTGTCTGTGGGATTTTTGGAATGAGGAAGATGGCAAATAATTAAGGCACTTAATTGGGAGAAAGGCATGTCTCCAGGCTCTAAAGAGGGAAAGGCAGAGAGAAACAGGAATGAACAAGAAACATGAGGCTCAGAGGACTTAGGTGACTTGCCCTCAAACCCACAGGGAACAGGCAGCTGAACAGAAACACAGGGCCAGGCCCGCCCGGCACCCAGGCTCCCCTGATCCGCCACAGGCTTGGGGAAGAGCAGGGATTAGCCCCTGTGACTCCAGGCGGAAACCGCGCCACTCCTCACGGAGAAGCAGGGCACTGTGGACATGGTGTATAATGTCCTGGTCTATTTTAGGGCCTCTGCTGTGAGCACAGGAATCCAGGCATATGGGCCCAGGGGCTGGGACCACCTGTCAGGTCCTTCCCGGCCGAAGGCGCGGGATGGGTGAACCAAGGTTGGAAAAAGTCAACGCCACCTCCGCTCCTCCAATTTTAGATCCACACCTGTCTTACTCCAGGACACAGAGCTATCCTGCTGGGCACTTGACATGTCCTATTTAGGACAGACCCTCACCCATGGCCAGGCCAGCATCCTCTCAATCTATCATTAACCGGTGCAGATGGCATGAGGGAAGCGCAGCTGGGTTTTACTTATAAGGCCCGAAGGGAGACGGAAAGGTCTTCCATGCTCCCTCTCTGAGTGGGCACACGGCAATGGGCCAGAAGTCAGGGGCTGGGGGCCAGGATGCCTCTAGAGGCTACCCAGCCTGGAAATTTTGGGAGTAGGGGTTTTGAGATCTCAAGGACAGTGAAGTGGAGGCCCACGGCTGGAGCACAGACCGGCTTCAGGTCGGCCCTTTGGTTTGTCGCCATCTGTCAGCTGAGCAGCTTGGGAAATCTGGCCCCTGATCTGTAAAATGGGGCCAAGAACCCACCCTCGCCAGCCTCTTATGGAGATTAACTGATACCCTGCTGGCGCCATGGCTGGGGCCCTGCCTGGGTACATGCTGCATGAGGCCCAGCCTGCCCTGCCTCAGCCCTGGGTTGGCCGCGCTGTCCTGACCTGGCCCCGCGGGGTGAAGCCAGGGGGTTTCAGGCCTCACTGCCACTCCACAGGACGAGGGACATTCAGGAATAGATTTTGCCTAGGGAGCCCGGCCCCACCCTGCCCCTCTCCAGAGCCGGTCCCCTTTTTCTACCTAGAGAAAAAGAGCAATTGGTAGAAACTTTCATCCTCCAAGGCAGACCACCCTCCACATCTCTGTCATTCTCCCCACGAGTCTGTGCCCTCAGAGCTGCTGCCTTCTGCACTGTGCAAAGCCTCTTCTCAGGGACTGCATCTGCCCCGCAGTCTTGACACTCAGTGTCTTCCTAGTCCTGTCCCATCCCCACACTTCTCACATCCACCCCGTGGTGAATGCCCTCACGATTTGCTGGAGTCCTGGCAGTTTTGCTGAGCTGGGGCCCGAGTGCTTGTGACCCTCCAAACCACCTTAGATGCCGTGTCTGGACTGTTCCTTGGTTTTCTGGAGAAAGTCAGGGGGCTGTTTTTACAGCCAAACAATGGGGGTCCCCCCACTGGCAGGTTCCATCCTTTTTGTCGGGCTAAACGGAATGCAGATAATTAAAGCTGGCAGGTGGGGGGCAGGGGTGCTGGTCAGGGTGGGCACTGGGGAGGTGAGAAGATGTCTCAGCAATGTGGCTGCTGAATTCCCATTTCTGGTTGGGACAGAGTCACAGGGAACAGCCACATGTGTGAGAAGCAACCACCAACACTAGATGGAACAGATGGACCTGGCTCAGGACACTGGACATTATGGAAAGGTGAAAAACATGAATGTGTCCTACCACTGCCCCAGCTTACTTCCCTGGGTGAGATGTGAGGCTGTGGCTCAGGGATGGAAAACGCAGGCAGTAGCCTGAGGATTTCCTGAGTTCAGGAGACAGAGCTGAGCATCTCCGGAGACCGAAGCAGTTACTGCTCTCAGGACAGAGCCCTGGGGGGGAAAGAGCTACACAGAGAGAAGCCCTGGGGAATGACAGGGGTGCCCCTCAAGGATCCAGCAGAGGCCTGATCAGTTCATGCACAGAAGGAAACTACACGAGGCTGCTCAAATCCAGCAATAAAGAAAAGAATCTTAGCCAGGTGTGGTGGTTCACGCTTGTAATCCCAGCATTTTGGGAGGCTGAGGCGGGTGGATCACCTGAGGTCAGGAGTTTAAGACCAGCCTGGCCAAAAAGGCAAAACCCCGTCTCAACAAAAATACAAAAATTAGCTGGACATGGTGGCGTGCGCCTGTAATCCCAGCTACTTGGGAGGCTGAGGCAGGAGAATCACTTGAACCTGGGAGACAGGTTGCACTGAGCCTAGATCATGCCACTGCACTCCAACCTGGGCAACAGAGTAAGACTCTGTCTCAAACAAAAAAAAAAAAAAGAAAGAAAGAAAGAAAGAAAGAAAAAATCTTAAACTGTCCAAAAAGATTAGGGAGACCAGTGCCCAGCGTTCATGTAGGGCGGGGACTAGTGTCCATTTCCACCAAGCAGCCTGGAAATGCTCATCCTCACAGGGCATTGGAGAGGTTTCTCAAGAAGCGAGTGCCTCCATGAGGGAAATAATTAACCCCAGATTAAATGCTGCTTCAGACCTAATGAATGGTAAAAACAAGATCCAAAAGGATCAAACTCTTTCCAGGTAAATTAACTGCATCCCAGAACAAAGCTGGACATTTTTAGAAATACATATACCTCCAGCACACAAGCAGGGTAAAATTCACAACATCTGCAAATTTACCAGGCATTCAAAGGGGCAAAAAATACACAACCCACAATTAAGAGACTAATGAATTAATCAAAACCAACCCAGAACTTATCCAGATGTGAGCATTAGCAGAAAAGGACATTGAAGTAGTTATTAGAACTGTCTCCCTGGCTGGGCGTGGTGGCTCACGCCTGTAATCCCAGCACTTTGGGAGGCCGAGGTGGGTGGATCACCTGAGGTCAGGAGTTCGAGACCAGCCTGGCCAACATGGCGAAACCCCACCTCTACTAAAAATACAAAAAACTGGCCGGGTGTGGTGGTGCATGCCTGTAATCCCTTCGGAGGCTGAGGCATGAGAATCGCTTGAATCCAGGAGGTGGAGATTGCAGTGAGCCAAGATTGCACCACTGCACTCCAGCCTGGGTGACAGAGTCAGCTCCACCTCAAAAGAAAGAAAGAAAGGAAAAAAAGAACTGTCTCTCATACGTTCAAAAAGTTAAGCAGAGACACAGACGATATTACAAAAGAACTGAATTGGACTTCTAGAAATGAAATGTGTGGGGTGAAAATTACACGGAGTGAGACCATTGGCAGAGTACACACTGCAGAAGGAAAGCTTAGTGAGCTTGAAGATTTACCAACAGAAACTATACAACATAAAACATACAGAGAGGGAGAACAATCCAAAAAAGTTAACATGGCATCGAGAGTTGTGGGACAATTTCAAGCAGCCTAATATGGAGGTAATTCCAGAGCCTGAAACGGAGGAGAGAGAGCGGTGGGGGGCGGCGGGGGGCGGGGGGTACAGAAAAAATATTTGAAAGAGTAGTGGCTAAAATTTTTCCAAATTTGATGAAAACTGTAAACCCTCAGATCCAAGGAACTCAATGAACCCTAAGCACAAAAACAAGAAAAAAACCGACCAAGGCTCAAAACCAGTAGTAAAGAAAAAAAAAAGTCTTAAATGCAGCCAGAAGAAAAAGGACATGGTACAAACAGAGAAACAAAGATAAGGATCAAGGCAGATTTCTTGTTTGAAACAACACACACAAGAAGATAGAGGGGCAGCAATCTTTCAAGCACTTAAAGAAAAGAACTGTCAACCTAGAATTCTAGCCCCAGTGAAAATATCGTGTAAAAACAAAGGTGAAATAAACCCAGGCCAACGAAAGCTGAAAGAGTTCATCACCAACAGATCCACACCTCAAGAAATGTCAAAGAAATCCGTCAAGCATAAACAAAATGATATTAGAACTCTGGATCTACACAAAGAAAGAACACCAAAAATGGTAACTATATGGGTAAATATTCAATTTTTTTCTTTAAGTTTCTTAAAAGATAATTGATAGTTAAAAATGTTGATAGTGCATCGTAGGGTTTACAATATATAAGTAAAATGTGTAACAGTAGCATAGAGATTGGGAGTGGAGAAACGGAAGGTTCTTATACTACAGGTGAAGCAGTATATGACTTGGAGGTAGACTGTAAATGTTAAAGCAATGGCAAAAATAATGAAACAGAGTTCTAGCTAATAAGCCCACAAAAAGATAAACTGGTATAATAAAAAATATAAAGTAGTCCTAAGAATGCAGAAAAAGAGGAGAAAGAAAACAAAGAATGGTGGGCTAGAAAACAAATAGTAAGACAATAGGCTTAAATTTACCTAAGTTTATAATCACATTAAATTGATAAACGCTCCCATTCACAGATAAGCAAGACCCAATGCCGCCTACAGTAAATGCCCCTCTGGGATAAAGACACAAATAGGTTAAAAGTAAAAGGATGAGGCCAGGTGCAGTGGCTCATGCTTGTAATCCCAGCATTTTGGGAGCTCAAGGAGGGTGGATCACCTGAGGTCAGGAGCTTCAGAACACCCTGGCTGGCCGGGCGCGGTGGCTCACGCCTGTAATCCCAGTACTTTGGGAGGCCGAGGCGGGTGGATCACGAGGTCAGGAGATTGAGACCATCCTGGCTAACATGGTGAAACCCCGTCTCTACTAAAAATACAAAAAATTAGCTGGGCGTGGTGGCGGGCGCCTGTAGTCCCAGCTACTCGGGAGGCTGAGGCAGGAGAATGCTGTGAACCTGGGAGGTGGAGCTTGCAGTGAGCCAGGATCCCGCCACTGCACTCCAGCCTGGGCGACAGAGAGAGACTCCGTCTCAAAAAAAAAAAAAAAAAGAAAAGAAAAAGAACACCCTGGCCAACATGGAGAAACCTGTCTCTACTAAAAATACAAAAATTTTAGCTGGGCGCAGTGGCATGAGCCTGTAATCCCAGCTACTCGGGAGGCTGAGGCAGGAGAATTGCTCGAACCCAAGAGGCGGAGGTTGCAGTGAGCCGAGAACATGCCATGCACTCCAGCCTGGGCAACAGAGAGAGACTCCATCTTAAAAAAAAAAAAAAAAAAGTAAAAGGATGGAAAAAGATACACCATGATAATGCACATCAAAAGAAAGTTGGAGTGGCTATATCAATGTTAGACTGGTAGATTTCAGTGCAAAGAGTATCACCAGTGCTATAAAAGTTCATTTTAAAATGATAAAGAGGTCATTAATCCAGAGGACACAGCAATCCTAAATAGCTCTGTTTCTTTCTTTCTTTCTTTCTTTCTTTCTTTCTTTCTTTCTTTCTTTTTTTTTTTTTTTTGAGACAAGTCTCTCTCTGTCACCCAGGCTGGAGTGCAGTGGCGCCATCTCGGCTCACTGCAAGCTCCACCTTCCGGGTTCACGCCATTTTCCTGCCTCAGCCTCCTGAGTAGCTGGGACCACAGGCGCCCACCACCATGCCTGGCCAATTTTTTGTATTTTTGGTAGAGACAGGGTTTCACCGTGTTAGCCAGGATGGTCTCGATCTCCTGACCTCGTGATCTGCCCGCTTCGGCCTCCCGAAGCACTGGGATTACAGGCGTGAGCCACTGCGCCCGGCCCCAGATAGCTCTGTTTCTAATAACAGAGCTGCAAAATACATGAAATAAAGTCTGGGAGAGCTGCAAGGAGAAATTGCCAAGTCTGCAAATAGAGTTGGATATTTCAATATCCCTTTTTCAAAACTTGATGGAACAAGGATATAGCACACTTGAATAACACTATCAGCCAACTTGACCTGACTGACATTTATAGAACACTCCTCCCAACAACAGCAGAATACAAATTCCGTTCAAGCGTACCCGGAACATTTATAAAGATAGATCATATTCTGCGTCATAAAATAAGTCTCAGTATATTTAAAAGGATACAAGTCACACAAAGTATATTCTCTGACCACAGTGGAATGAAATTAGAAATCAATAACAGACAGATGTCTGGGAAATTCCCAAGCACTTGGAAACTAAATAACACATTTCTAAATAACTCATGAGTCAAAGAGGAATAAAAAGAGAAAGCAGAAAGTATTTTGCACTGAATGAAAGTTAAAATACAACATAGAGGCCGGTTGCCGTGGCTCACGCCTGTAATCCCTGCACTTTGGGAGGCCGAGGCAGGCGGACCACCTGAGGTCAGGAGTTCGAGACGAGCCTGATCAACATGAAGAAACCCTATCTCTATTAAAAATACAAAATTAGCCAGGTGTGGTGGCGCATGCCTGTAATCCCAGCTACTCGGGAGGCTGAGGCAGGAGAATCGCTTGAACCTGGGAGGGAGAGGTTGCAGTGAGCCGAGATTGTGCCATTGCACTCCAGCCTGGTGACAGAGAGAGACTCCATCTCAAAACAAAACAAACAAAAAACATAGAATTTCTGGGATGTCTCTTAAGTTGTACAAAGGCAGAAATTCTTAAATTCCTTCTAAAAAAAACACACTATAGGCCGGGCACAGTGGCTCACACCTGTAATCCCAGCACTTTAGGAGGCCGAGGTGGGCGGATCACCTGAGGTTGGGAGTTTGAGACCAGCCCAACCAACATGGAGAAACTCCATCTCTACTAAAACTACAAAATTAGCTGGGTGTGGTGGTACATGCCTGTAATCCCAGCTACTCGGGAGGTTGAGGCAGGAGACACTTGAACCTGGGAGGCGGAGGTTGCAGTGAGTCGAGATGGTGCCATTGCACTCCAGCCTGGACAACAAGAGTGAAACTCTGTCTCAAAAAACAAAAACAAAAACAAAACACACACACACACACACACACACACACACACACACACACAATGAAACCTCATTCAAGTAGACACAGATCACCTAAATAGTTGTATGTACATGAAAAAAATTGTTGTTAGAAACTTTCCACCAGAAGGCCTGGCATAGTGGCTCACGCCTGTAATCCAAACATTTTGGGAGGCCCAGGTGGGAGGATCGCTTGAGGCCAGGAGTTCAAGAGCAGCCTGGAGAACACAGCAAGACTCCTTCTATACAAAAAAAAAAAAAAAAAATTAGCCTGGCACTGTGGCACATGCATATGGTCCTAACTACTTGGTATACTGAGGCAGGGGAATCACTTGAACCCAACAGGTTGAGGCTGCAATGAACTATGATTGTGCCACTACACTCCAGCCTGGGCAAGAGGGCAAGAGTCTGTCCCTAAAAATAAAAATTAAATTAAAAAAGAAACTTTCCCACAGAGAAAATTCCAGGCCCAGATGGCTTTGATAGTAAATTCTACCAAACATTTAAGGAAGAAATAATTCCAATTCTACAAAAACTGTTTAGAGGATTCAAAAGGAGGGAATGCATCCTAACTTATTCTAAGAGACCAGCATTAACTTGGTTTTATGAAAACCAGATAAAGTTATTACGAGAAAAGAAAACTGTAGACAAATATCTCTTATTAACATAGACACAAAAATCTTTAGCAAATTTTAACAAATTGAATCAAACAATATGTAACATGAAAAATATTTATTATCAAATGCGGTAATTGTATTTTAAGAATATAGAATTGGTTTAACATTTGAAAATCCATCATCAATGTGGCCAGGTGCAGTGGCTCACTCCTGCAATCGCAGCACTTTGGGAGGCCGAGGTGGGAGGATTGCTTGAGCACAGGAGTTCAAGACCAGCGTGGGCAACATAGTGAGACCCTGTCTCTACTAAAAATAGAAAAAATTAGCCGAGTGTGGTGGTACATGCCTGTGTTCCCAGCTACTCGGGAGGCTGAGATGGGAGGATTGCTTGAGCCCAGGCAGGAGACGGAAGTTGCAGTGAGCCGAGATTGTGTCACTGCATCACTGGGTGATGGAGTGAGATCTTGTCTCAAAAAAGAAAAAAGAAGAATATCCATCAATGTAATTCACCATGTTAATGCATTAAAAAAGAAAAACCATGTGATCATCTTAACCGACATAGAAAATGCATTTCATGAAATTCAACATTCATTTCTAAGAAACACCTTCTGCAACTGGGAATAAAAGAGAACTTCCTCAATGTGCAAAAATCTTATAGCTTCCATCAGACTTAGTGGTGAAAGATTGAATTCTCTCCCTTTGAGAAAAGTAACGAGACAAGGATGTGTGTTCTCACCACTTATGTTCAACATTGTTCTGGTACAATGACACCAATGAGACAGATGAGAAAACAGGCAAAAGGAAAAAAAGATAAAGAAATAAATGAAAGGCACTCAGATTGAAAAGAAAGCAGTAAAACTTTATTTGCAGATGGCATGATCATCTATGTTGGAAATCTCTTGGAATCTATTACAACAAAGCTCCTAGAATCAATAAGTGAGTTTAGCAAGATTGCAGGATACAAGATCAATATAAAAAAATCAATTGCATTTCTACATACTAGCAACAAATAATCAGAAATTGAAAAAAAAATGCCAATAACATCAAAATACATGAAATTTAGGGATAAATCTGATGGGAGATATGAAAGGTCTGTACAAGAAAAACTACAAAACATTGCTGAGAGAAATTAAAGATGTAAATAGAGAGATACACTTTGTTCATGGGCTGGATGACTTAGTAAGATGTCATTTCTCCTCAAACTATTCTACACAGCAACACAATTCCAAGTGAAATCCCAGAAGGGCTTTTAAAAATAAAAATTTATAAACTCATTCTAAGTTGGTTCTAGAATTCATATGGAAATTCAAAAAGACCCAGAATAGTCAAAGCAATTCTGAAAAAGAATTTTCATTATTTATTAGGATAATGCCACTTAAAGCAATTCTGAAGAAGAATAAAATTGGTAGGCTGATACAGCCTGATTTCCAGGCTCATTATAAAGCTATGGTAATTTTTTAAAGCGTGGTCTTGGTAAGAAGAGAGACAAACAGATCAATGGGACAGGACAGAGAACACAGAGATAGATCTACACACATAAAGACTCCTAATTTTTGACAAACACGCAAAGGCAATTCAGAAAAGAATGGATAGTCTTTTCAACAAATGATACTGGAACAATTAGATATTCATATGCAAAAAAAAAACAAAAAAAACCCCACAGTCTTGTGTGGTGGCTCATGCCTGTAATCCTAGCACTTTGGGAAGCTGAGGCGAGCAGATCACTTTGAGCTCAGGAGCTTGAGACCGGCCTGGGCAAAATGGCAAAAAATACAAAAAAATTAGCTAGGTGGATGATGTGTGCCTGTAGTTTCAGCTACTTGTGGGGCTGAGGTGAGAAAATCACTTGAGCCCAGGAAGTCGAGGCTGCAGTGAGCCGAGATCATACCAATGCACTCCAGCCTGGGTGACAAAGCAAAACCCTGTCTCAAAAAACAAAACAAAACCACCACAACAAAAAAACCCCCAAAACAAAACTCCAATTCATACCATACAACAAATACAAAACTGACCTCAAAATACATCATAGACCCGAATGTAAAACCTAAGACGGTTAAACTTCTATATGAACATACAGGAGAAAATCTTTGTGACACTGGTTTAAGATTTCTTAATGATGGGCCGGGCGCAGTGGCTTATGCCTGTAATCCCCGCACTTTGGGAGGCTGAGGCAGGTGGATCATGAGGTCAGGAGATCGAGACCATCCTAGCTAACACGGTGAAACTCCGTCTCTACTAAAAATACAAAAAAGCCGGGCGTGGTAGCCGGCGCCTGTAGTCCCAGCTACTCGGGAGGCTGAGGCAGGAGAATGGCATGAACCTGGGAGGCAGAGCTTGCAGTGAGCCGAGATGGCACCACTGCACTCCAGCCTGGGCGGCAGAGTGAGACTCCGTCTCAAAAAAAATAAAATAAAATAAATAAAAATAATAATTCTTAATGATGATATCATAAAATAATAAATTGATAAATACGACGTCATTAAAATCAAAACTTCTCTTCCTGCAACACTTTTAAGAGAATGAAAAGATAAGCCATAGACCTCAGAAAATATTTGCAATGTATGTATTTGAAAAAGAACTTTCATCCAGAATATATAGACTCTTAAAACTTAATAATAAGAAAATTAACAGGCTGGGCACAGTGGCTAACACCTTGAATCCCAGCACTTTGGGAGGCTGAGGTGGGCAGATCACTTGAGTCTAGGAGTTCAAGACCGCCTGGGCAACATGGTGAAACCCTGTCCCCCAAAAATACAAAAATTAACTGGGCCTGGTGGTGTGCACCTGTAGTTCCAGCTACTCGGGAGGGAGAGGCAGGAAGATCATTTGAACCCGGAAGGTTGAGGATGCAGTGAGCCATATTTTTGTTTTGGTTTTTTCTTTTTTTTGAGACAGGGTCTCGCTCTGTCGCTCAGGCTGGAGTGCAGTTGCGCGATCTCCGCTTAAGTGAATCTTGTGCCTCAGCCTCCTGAGTAGCTGAGGTTACAGACTTGCATCACCACCCTCGGCTAACTTTTGCATTTTTAGTAGAGTCGGGGTTTTGCCATGTTGGCCAAGCTGGTCTTGAACTCCTGGCCTCATGTGATCTGCCCACCTTGGCCTCCCAAAGTGCTGGGATTATAGGCATGAGCCACTGTGCCAAGCCTTCAGTGAGCCATGATCATGCCACTGCACTCCAGCCTGGGTGACAAAGTGAGACCCTGTGTCAAAAATAAATAAGAAAGAAAGAAAACAAACACCTCGATTTAAAAAATAGGCAGAAGATTGGAGCATATGCTACACCAGTGAAGATCTGTGGATGGCAAATCAGTACACAAAAACCTGTTCAACATCGTTATTTAATAGGAAAATGCCAATTAAAACCATGATAAGATCCCATCACACAGCTATTAAACTGACACAGATTTCAAAGATTGACCCTATCAAGTGTGGGTGAAGACGTGCAGGAACTGAAACTGTAATATATCACTGAGGGGGTTGTAAAATGGTGAAACACTTTAGAAAATAATTTGGCAGTTTTTTTTAAATGAAGAACGATACACGATAGTCCTTCCACCCCTAAAGATTACCCATGAGACATGAAAGCAGATATCCAAGCAAAGATTGAGACCCGAAGGTCACCCCGGCTTTATTTGTAATAGCTCCAAACTGGAAACAGCCTTAATGTCCATCAACAGGTAAACAGATCAACAGATGGCATTTTCCAACAAGGGAGTTCTAAGGAATGGAAAGGAATGAACTGCTCATATAGGCAGCGATGTAGATACGTCTCAGAATAATTAATGTGCGGGGAGAGAAGCCAGGCTCAAAAGAGTACATTTTTATAAAACTCTGGAAAATTCCAAGGAGTCTGTAGAGACAGTACACCAGGGGTTGCTGGGGAACAGTGTGGCAGGGCGGTCAACTGAGGAAAGGGGGCCAGCTTCTGGGGATGATGATCTGTTCCCTGTCCTGACCATGGTGATGGTGTTACGGTTGTATACCTAAGCTAAAATGGACCCCTTAGTACAGTTTAAATATAAGCAGTTTATTGTATGCCAAGTCTACCTCCATCAAGTTAAAAAATACAGCTACAAACCCTCGTCCTTTTGGTACCGCTGGGATGGAGTTAAACAGGTCTCCAGGTTTCCAGTGAGAAAGCACCTTCTGGAGAGTTAGGCTTGGAGGAGTCTTCCTTGCCCTCAGTAATTACATGATGGGACTGAAAACCTCGGCTTGGCTGCTGCATTGCCCTGCCCTGCTGGAGGGAGAACACAGCTGGCTAAGTGTGGGTTTGCCAGGAGATGGAAGAATGAGGGCTATAGTCCCTTTTATCCTCTCTGGGGCAATCTCAGTGGGGCCCACAGGGTGAGCAAGAGAAGGTTGAGATGAGGCTGATGGCATGTGTTGTGGGGCATGGAAGTGCCCAGAAGTACCAATAGATAACTCCACGCACAGTTTCCATCCTCCACCCACATCACTTTGACATTCATTCGTGCCTGAAAATGCTCTGGAAGGCTCTTACAGAGCCTACCCAAGAGAATCTTATTGGCAGAGAATGTCTCCGTGGGAAAGGGAAACTGGGGGGCGGCCCCATGGCTGGCTACAGGGCTGAAGGCTATGCCCTGGAACCACCAACAAATGAGAAAACAGCAGAGTTTGCTGGACCCAGAAGCCCATTCCCCTCCCACATCCCTCTGGTGTGCACCAGTAAGCACCTGTTACTGTCAGTAGTTCCAGCTGGAGTGTCCTGATCACGGAGGAAGCTACCTTCACTTTTTACTCACAAGATTCTCTGCGGTCCAACTCTCTGATAGCCAGGACGAAGCACATGAGAAAATGAAATTAAAATAGCAGAGGCTGGCACGGTGACTCACGCCTGTAATCCCAGCACTTTGACAGGCCAAGGTGGGAGGATGGCTTGAGCGTAGGAGTTTGAGACTAGCCTGGGCAACATGGCAAAACCCCTTCTCTATACAAAAGTAACTAAGTACATAATTAATTAATTAAAAATAAATAAAATTGCAGCGCTATTGTGAGGCCTAAAGGAGAGATGGTTCCGTCCAGAGCTTGTGCCTGGCCTGTGGGGAGGATTGGCAGGGAGGGCCCTGGCCGGGAGGCTGTGGGAAGAGGACGTCGCAGCCGAGCTGTCTTTCTATGGGTATGAGGACAGCGCGGAGGGCATCCGGGGAAGTGGCTTCTTGGGAAGTGGCCTCCTGGCTTCCTGACTTTTGCTTGCTCCGCATCTCCTGTCCTCTTGGTTGGCTGTGCTGACCTAGGACTGGGGAAGCCCCTGGCCCAGGCAGGAAACAAAATGGAGCTGCACGCAGCGGCCCGCACTGTTAGACCCAAGCTATCCCCCTGCACAGGGCTTGGGACGAAGGTGCTTGCTCAGCCATCTCTGGGCTGCCCCTCAGTGCCCTCTCCTTCTGAGGGTCTTTCTCCTTGACACCTCCCTCAGGGGCTGCTCCTACTCTGCACAGAGAGAGCCCCAACAAGCGTTCCCTCTGTTACCTTCTCCTTCTGGTCTTGAGGACACTGGCCAGCGCTGTCTGTGGGCCACACCACCGGGTGGTGTCAGGCATTGTGTTCCAGTGTCCACCACCTGCTGCCCATGCCCACCCTGACCCCTGGGTGCTGGCCCTGGCATGGCTGCCAACCTTGCCCCGGGGACCCAAGGAAAGCAGTGAGGCCCAGCTCAGCCCTGCGCTCTGCAGGTCTCCCTGGTAAACGGCTTCCTGGTCCTCATCGGAAGGCAGGGGCCGCCCGGCGCTCCCCTGGACCTGACGGGGAGGCTGTCTTGCTCGTGTCCGTGGACCATCCACCCACAGTGGAGCCCTAGGGATGAGGAGGGACATGAAGTTGAGTGGTGAAGGGGAGACCCCATGGGAGGTGAGAAGCCAGCCCAGGGAGGAGGGTGAACAAAGTCTCCTTTTTTTTTCCAGACCTCTTCCAGCCCATGCTACATGACCCATGAGAAAGAGCAGAGCTGGGACGCAGGTCCCCGGGACTGGCATCTTCACGCTGTATCACACAGCGGCCTTTCATCGCCTCCTCTGTTCAAGGGAAACCAGCAAACCTGCTCCCTGGACTTTGTGGGACTGAGGCTGCCGCTCTGGGGAAACATTCCATCCAGTTCTGGACCCAGGAGGGCTCATCAAGTATTCATCTCACCCCTTTGCATTTCAAAAGGGAAGGTTTTCAGGCAAGGTGAGCTTGCATTCAAAGGAAAATGCATCTCTCAAAGTCAGCAAAGGCCCCCAGTCCTTTTTGGGGTTCAGCTTTTACCCCATGCTGCATGTAATCTACCTGGTCAGAGAGAGATGGCTTCACAAGACACAAAGGTGAATCTGCCCGCATCCTCCCTGGTCCTCCCCTGAGGCCACAAGGACACCCCTGGGCCTGTTAGAGCTAGGGGCACCTTAAAACTGAGCATGTCTCCCGACCCTCCAGGGGTGACACTGAGCTCTGTGGAGAAGCCCTTTCCTCCAGGACTGTCTTCTGAAATGCCAGGAACCCAACTGTGTGTGACAGGGCTCCCCCAGGGAAGCAGAATGGGGAGGGAGTTTAGAAAAGGGCTAAGAAACCACACTCTGCACAGCCACAGACCATTGCATTCTTCGGTTTTTGTTTTGTGTTTTCTCTTTTCTTCTTCTTCTCTCTCTCTTTTTTTTAAACAAGAAACAAGAATTATTCCTGTAATTGTCTTAAAGGTTAAAATATTATGACGGTTCCCTGATCGGGCTGTTGGGAGAATTAAATGCGATGAGGCTCCAGGGAACGTCAGTGTGGCTTTGGGGACTGCTGCGGCTGTGTACGAAAAAGGATGGCACTTCTGCCACCAGGATCCTTTCCCTCAGTCGTCCATGGGGAGCTGTTTGGGCCCCTCAGTTAGTCACTCATCAAATCCTGGCTCCTGGCATCTTCCACGTGTCAGAATCCTTTACCAGTCCTCCAGGGAGACCCTGCCTGCATCCTAATGGCACACTCAAGTCTTTGAGAGGAATTTTCAGTCATCAGGAACTTTCGGGGCCAAATTCTTACTAGAATATTTAAGCGCTCTGGATCTGCCAAGCCCCTGCCCCCAAACTCCTTTCTCCAGCAAGGGCTTGTGGCACCTGAGCCCCCAACCTCCATGTCAAATGTTGAGAAGCTCCTCATGGCTGCCCTCCCCAGCCCTGTCTCCATGGTTCTGTGATGGGGGATTTTGCACCCCGAAAGTTGCCTTTTCAGCAGCACACAGAGGCCTGGGACTGTTACAGGACTGGGATCTAACCTTAGCGCTGCCAGTGGAAAAAGTCAAGTGACTTCACTTTTCTTTTCTTTTCTTTTTTGAGACTGAGTCTCGCTCTGTCACCCAGGCTGGAGTGCAGTGGTGCGATCTCCGTTGACTGCAATCTTCGCCTCGCAGGTTCAAGTGATTCTCCTGCTTCAGCCTCTGGAGTAGCTGGGATTATAGGCATGTGCCACCACACGCCTATTTTTTGTATTTTTAGTAGAGACAGGGTTTCACCATGTTGGCCAGTCTGGTCTCAAACTCCTGACCTCGGGTGATCCTCCTGCCTCGGCCTCCCAAAGTGCTGGGATTACAGGTGTGAGCCACTGCACCCGGCCGCTTTTCTAGTTAGGCACCTATAATATTGGAGAATAACAAAAATACACCTCCAGGGATTCATGTGAGGATGCGGCGAAATAAATGTCAGGTCAAGGTCAATCGCCTCTGAGATCTCAGCGAATTAAAGAGTTGGCAGCGATCTGGCAGCCTGGGGGTCCCTGAAGAGCCCTCCTCACAGTGGAGTTGGGTGGAGGTCTCCCCAGCCCCCAGGAGACAGTGATGAGCTGGCCCAGCTCCCAGCCTGAGCTATCCAATCCTCTGAGCTCCTCTCCCCGCCTGGGGCAGGGGTGGTGCTGGCTCAGCAGGAAGCGAATGGAAGCAAACTGCCCTGGGGGTGGTGGTGTTTGGTCTGAGGAGCGGCTCCTGGCTGTTGCTTTAAGGAGAGAAGCACTGGCCGGGAGCGGTGGCTCATGCCTGTAATCCTAGCACTTTGGGAGGCTGAGGCGGGTAGATCACCTGGAGGTCAAGAGTTCAAGACCAGCTTGGCCAATATGGCGGAACCCCGTTTCTGCAAAAATACAAAAATTAGTCTGGGCGCGGTGGCTCACGCCTGTGATCCCAGCACTTCAGGAGGCCGAGGCAGGTGGATCACCTGAGGTCAGGAGTTTGAGACCAGCCTGGCTAAATGGTGAAACCCCATCTCTACCAAAAAATACAAAAACTGGCTGGACATGGTGGTGGGCACTTGTAATCCCAGCTACTTGGGAGGTGAGGCAAAAGAATCTCTCGAACCTGGGAGGAGGAGGCCGCAGTGAGCTGAGATGGCGCCACTGCACTCCAGCCTGAGTGACAGAGCGAGACTCTGTCTCAAAAATAAAAAAAATAATAATAAAAGAAGAGAAGATCGGCTGTGGTGGCTCATGCTTGTAATCCCAGCACTTTGGGAAGCCCAGGGGGGCAGATCACCTGAGGTTGGGCGTTCGAGACCAGCCTGACCAACATGGAGAAACCCCGTCTCTACTAAAAATACAAAATTAGCTGGGCGTGGTGGTGCACGCCTATAATCCCAGCTACTTGGGAGGCTGAGACAGGAGAATCACTTGAACCCAGGAGGCAGAGGTTGCAGTGAGCTGAGATCACGCTATTGCACTTTAGCCTGTGCAACAAGAGCAAAACTCCGTCTCAGGAAAAAAAAAAAAAAAAGACGAAGAGAAACAAAGCAGAATTCATTTTCCACCACTCTAACCTGGTCATGCTAGCTTGAAAATGTCCAAAGGTGGTGGGGTTGAGAAGGTAGGTGATCACGACGGGAGGCCTGCCCAGCCCCAACCCCTTCTTAAGTGCAACCCTGGGGACTTTGGAGTCAGGCTTTAGGGTCACCCTAAGGCTGCTGAGATGGAGAGCAGGGACCCAACCAGCGGTGTTGCGGTTTGCCCTGCATCATGCCGCTGAGTGCCAGGCTCGCTCGGCCCACCGGTCACTGGCACGCTTGCTTCCCACCACTATTAACGGTGTTGTGGTCTCCTGGTTCCCATGCCTGGAGGGGCTTTGGTACCCCGTGACCTCAAGTTGCCATATGCCTTGACTCTCTGCATCAGCTCACTGCAGGAGGGTCCCCGTGCCCCTTACAGTGCTGGCGCCAATATCGTAGAAGCTACATTGTGTTTCATTCATTTGCTTACTGGCTGGGGATGGGGTTTGGGATTGCTGGAAGACTTTGCCCATGCTTAGGGAAATGTTCCTCCACGACCCCAAAGAGCTTTGCCCTTCAGGCCCCGGGCGAGAACGAGATAAATATGCTTAGTACTTGCTCTCACTTTGAACTTGGTAAATTTCAATCCCAAACCACCCCTGAGAGCCTGTCTGGAGACACTTGGCTCCTTTAAGAAGAGAGGCCCCACAGGGTTGGAGAAGATCAACAGCCCAAGGAATTACCTTCTGCTCTCCTGCTGTCTCACAAATAGCTCTGTCAGCTGGGGGCCTGAGCACTGGAACTGGCAAAGCACCCCTGTGGAATGAGAATGGACTCCTTCCTTGGGGAAGAGTACACTCCTCTTTTGTTTTTTTGGCCCTAGGGACTATAGAATCGAGTTCCGCATTTTTGATGTAATTTGACATTTGCAGGGTTCTCAAGACCTCCAACAGCGCTGAGCCCAGGAGTTGGATTGGGCTACTGGCTACTAGGTGATTAGGAAGTGAGGATTTCATGCCCCAGATCCTAAATAGGGGATCACAAACTTTGCAGGTCTGTGAGAGGCTATTTTCCTCTTGCCACGATTCGCCAGTGGCGCGTGGTTCGCCAGTGGTGCGTGGTTCGCCAGTGGTGCATGGTTCGCCAGTGGCCCGCAGTCTGGAACACCATAACTGGTGGGTACAATGACATTCCCTGGGTTCTTCTTTCTCCCTGCTCCACTGCTGCCAGATTGTGTTTTGCTGCTGCTTTTTTTTTTCCCCCAAGACGGGGTCTTGTACTGTTGCTCAGGCTGGCCTTGAACTCCTGACCTCAATGGATCCTTCTGTGTCAGCCTTTTGAGTAGCTAGGATCACAGGCGTGAGCCAGCACATCTGGCTCAGGCTGTGGTTTGTGCCCTCAGTTTACCATGAATTGCCAGGCATTCATTCATCTCTGATCCTTGGAGTGGTGTGTGGCTGTTCCCTGATCTAGGGGACTGGTGTCACCAGAACGGCTTTCCTCACCCACACCAAACTGTCCAGGGTTCGCTCTGTGCTTCTCCTACCTGGGATGAGAGAACTAGAACAGCAACAACCACCCTTCCCTGGGATGACTTTGGTAAATTTCACCCTTTGAGCAGCTCTGTAAAGCCTGCTGGGGATGTTCCTTTAAGAAGAGGAATACTAAAAAGCCCACCGAATTTCAGATGAGGCTTCCCACTCCTCTTACTGTTTTGCAAATGTCTTTCTCTGCCTGAAGCCTCCGCTTTGGGGCTAGCAAAGCGCCCTCCTGGCCCCCTCCGCCCTGAGGGAGACTTGCTGTCCTCTCTTCTTTTCATCTCTGGGGGCCAAGGAA
Organism: Homo sapiens; assembly: GCF_000001405.40. Classification (NCBI taxonomy): domain Eukaryota; kingdom Metazoa; phylum Chordata; class Mammalia; order Primates; family Hominidae; genus Homo; species Homo sapiens. The sequence goes on from NC_000014.9 coordinate 100,809,252, forward strand.
TTGAATTTTGGGGTATTTGAGGAGATTTGGCATCTGCAGCTTCATGCCAAGATGCTAACTACTCCTTGGACAAGAGAGCACATAGTCCTACCACTGAACTGGGTTTGCCAGTAGCCCGCGGTTCGCCATTTGCCCGCGGTTCTCTGATACACTTTAATTTGCTACAAAGGATCTGAGCTGCCCTGACCTGCTAGGCTTCCTGGCCCTTCCCTGCACCATCATTCCCTGTGATTCACCACACTTCACCCTGGTTTGCAACTTAATGCGTCTCTGAGATTCTCAGATCCGCAGGTTATCATTGCGGGGTATCTGTGTGAAATAATGCCAACCACTAATCCCAGGTAACTTTTTGCACCCTTTCGAGTATTTGCTGAAATTCTGCAGTAGGAATTGCCCCAGACCTTCATCCTGGCTTAGGGAAACCGTTCTGAGGGTCCCAAAGACCCAGTTCTCCCGTCGAAAACCCACCTGTGACCCCAGTTCTTTTCCTTGATGGTTTTTGCAACCCTGACCTGCTCAGTGAGTGAGAGGTGCCAGCCAGTCTGGTGTTCTGTAAAACTGGAGAACGGAAGACCCATTTCCTAGCATTGTTGTACTGAATAAATGGAATGAATTTCATGGTATAGTTACTGAAAACACTACGAATTGTATAAGCATTTTGGTACCCATTCCCCTTCAGAACCACAAAATCCCTGATCTGCAGCTGGGGCTTGGGCGACCACACTACACTAGCTTTTCTTCATGTGTGGGGTGGACAGGTGAACCAGGTGAACTCTGCTCGGGTAGCTCCTTAATGTCTTGTGTCCACTCTGAGGTCATCCCATGTGGGATAAGGCAGGATAAGAAAAGCAACAACCATCCTCCCTGCCACCCCAAGATGAACTCTGTAAATTCTGTTCCTTACAGCCTGCCTAGGGACACCCTGTTTTTTTTTTTTTTAATGGAGTCTCACTCTGTTGCCCAGGCTGCAGTGCAGTGGCACGATCTCGGCTCACTGCAAGCTCCACCTCCTGGGTTCATGCCATTCTCCTGCCTCAGCCTCCCGAGTAGCTGGGACTACAGGCACCATGCCTGGATAATTTTTTGTATTTTTAGTAGGGACGGGGTTTCACCGTGTTAGCCAGGATGGTCTCGATCTCCTGACCTCGTGATCCGCCCACCTCGGCCTCCCAAAGTGCTGGGATTACAGGCGTGAGCCACCGCACCTTGGCCTGAACACCCTGTTTTTTAAGAAGAGTAAGATAGGGTAGAGTTTAAAAGACTAAATAAAGAAAAAAAAAGAAAAGAAAGAAGGAAAAAACCAACTTGAACACTCTTGAACATCAGGGATGGGGCTACCCCCACCTGGCGCTGCTTGTTATGTAAATGACTCTCACCCGAGGAGGCCGGCAGATGCACCTGGCAGCTGGCTTGATCTTCCCTGAGAATGAAACCTGCTTTAGGTCTGAGTCTGAGTTATTGAATTTTGGGGTCTCTGAGGAGATTGACACCTTTAGCTTCACCCCAAGACTGCTAGCTCCTCCGCGTCCCCAAGTAGAGGGTGGGCAGCTGGGCATCTTGGGAACTGGGGCATTGTTTACACCCCAGGCTGGAATTGCTAAGAGTTTGTGGATCTGTGAGAAATGACTTCGCTCACTGGGCTGGGCCTTGCCAGTTGCCTGTGGTTCACCAGTTGCCCGCGGCTCACCAGTTGCCCGCGACTCACCAGGTGCCTGCGGCTCACCAGTTGCCTGTGGCTCACCAGCTGCCCGTGGCTCACCAGCTGCCCGTGGCTTACAGTTGCCCGAGGCTCACAGTTGCCCATGGCTTGCTAATTGCCAGCGATTTGCCAATTGCGAGTGGTTCGCCAGTTGCCCGCGGTCCGCTAAACCCGTAATCCTGTGGTACTGTAACTGGCCACAATGGACTCGCCCTTTAGGCTTCCCGGCCCTCTTTTGCCCAAATGCAGTTCTCAGCAGTGCAGTTCACTGTGATTCACCACAATTCGCCATGGTTTGTGATTTCATGGGTCTTGGTGATTCTCAGACCACAGGTTATCTACGGTCCTCAGGCAACTTCCTGCTTGCCCATTTGGAGGAAAGCTGCTGCCAAATTGCTCCAGGCTTGTGTCCTGCACCTCCCCCATCCGAAACTCTACATTTCAAGAGAAATGGAATCTTGATGCTTAGGCAACCCTCCCCCAATGCTCTTGGTTACAATGAATTAGCCAGAACTCAGCCCAAGGAATCCCTGCTGGAGGCCAATGGTGGGGGATGGTGGAGACAGAAGTGGGAAGGGCGGCACCTCCCATGCCCAGGTCCGCTTCTGCGCTCTCTGAGCTGTTTGAGCAGAGGTGGTGGAGACTGGGGGTCCTATCATTGAGGACTAGGTGGGTGTGGTACTTCTGCAGGCGCAACCCTGAGCTATCATAAACTGCAGCCCCAGCCTCATTCTCATTCCAACACACAAGAGCGCGCCATGGCCACACGCACACTCACACGTATAACGCACATGCACACTTTTGTCTGGAGCAGCTCCATCGCCATGAGATACATATTGATTGTTTCCTGGATCAAAAGGTGCAGGGGCTCAAGCTGTGTGTTGTCTGAGGAGGAGAATGAGTTATTCCTGTTCCCCGCCACTGGACAGAACTGTGGATCTTGCTTTTCCAAAGGGGAGAGCAGCAAGGCTGTCAGGAGACAGAAGAGGCTGGGAAGACCCGAGCTCACTGGGCAGAGGACCCCTTGGTTCTGTGGCCCCTGAAGCAACTGTCTCAGTGGGATGAGGTTTTTGGGACAGTGGTGTCTCTCTCGGGGAGAAGTCATAGCTTGAAGAATTCTCCTCCGCCCTTGACTTGCCCTACCTTCCCTGAGCTCTTTGTCATCTTGTTTGTGTCAAAAAGGGTGGATCTTGTCCTCTGTTTGAAGCAAGAAAAGGAAGTATCTGAGTGGTTAGCCCTGAGGGAGCCTTTTCCTTTTGACCTTTGACATTTGATCTGTTGCCAGTGATGGCAGGAGAGAGATGACGCTACAGGACCCGGCATGGCAGGGCCCCGGTGCTGGGCCTACTTGTCCTCTTAATGTCTCCTTCTCAAGCTGGTCACTTCCCTTGGGGCAGTGGAAGGAGGAGAATGACCTGGATGGCCAGATTGGCACTATCTCAGTGCTCCCATACAGAGCTGGGGCAAGTCTCTGGGCCTCTGTAAACCTCTCTTGAGGCATCTGTAAAAGTGGAGGATGGAAGCTCTGTTGGGGAGGATTTGGTAGTAAAAATAAATTTTAAGAGGAGTCCCGAACTAGTAGCACAGGGAACCCTAAAGAGCCCTGCTCTCCACTGGATGGAGAGCTGGCTCTTCCCAGGTCCCAGGAGGCAACACCGACTTTGCTGAGTCCCAAGCCTATCATGGGCTTTCCCACCCAGCCTGGGGCAAGGAGTGGAATACGCTTAGCCCAGGCAATGGATGGAAGCAAACTCCCCCAAGGAAGGTGGTATTAGTCTCCCTGGCCATTCCCAGTTGGAGTTGATTTGTTCCTTTAAGAAGGGGAAGGATTCTCGAGCACTGGAGTTTTCAGGTCCCCTCCCAGTCTTGAAAGTTTGCAAATGACTCTGTTTTGCGGGAGGGCTGAGGCTGAAGTCCTGTCCATCTCTATCCTCTGACTCTGAGGACTGAAGACTGGGCTTTAGGATCTCTGGGTCTTGAGGAGGCTTGGCACCTGCAGAATCCACTCCAAGACTGCCTGAAGCCTCTCGAGCACTTCTTGCCAGCCACATGTACTCTTTGAGCAAATGAAAAGGGGACTTGGGGATGTAAACTTTCAAGACTGGGAGGGGACCTGAAAACTCCAGTGCTCGAGAATCCTTCCCCTTCTTAAAGGAACAAATCAACTCCAACTGGGAATGGCCAGGGAGACTAATACCACCTTCCTTGGGGGAGTTTGCTTCCATCCACTGCCTGGGCTAAGCGTATTCCACTTCTTGCCCCAGGCTGGGTGGGAAAGCCCATGATAGGCTTGGGACTCAGCAAAGTCGGTGTTGCCTCCTGGGACCTGGGAAGAGTCAGCTCTCCATCCAGTGGAGAGCAGGGCTCTTTAGGGTTCCCCGTGCTACTAGTTCGGGACTCCTCTTAAAATTTATTTTTACCACCTATCAGTGATTTCAAGCCAGCGGTGGGCCACGGCCGGTGCACCGGGGCCTGCCAGTCTGCTCTCCTGTGGCTCAGCAGGATTCACTATTGCTGCCCCGTGGCCCCGAGGTCCCATGGTTGGTAGTGCACAGGCACCCTGTGGCCCTCACTGTGGGGTTGATGTTGATGATCTTTGTGCTGTGATTTGCGGTGTCCCACCATGATTCCTGTGGCAGTGGGTCTGGAATGGCATGCTCCCCCTGGGTGTTTGATGAAGAGTTTGAATGGAAGCTGCCACAAGACTTTCTCCCGAGTTAGGGAAACTGAGAGGCTGCAAGACCCAGCTCCTCTGCGGAGAGTCACCTCGAACTGTGATTTCTGCATTGAGCCGTGTACACCAGAGAGCGGCTAGGATACGGTGATGCCCCTAACCTGGGACAAGTGTGTGTGTGTGTTTTGGGGGGGGCTTATGAGCCTTCTCACAACTGAAGGGAGAATGCTAACTTTCCAATCGGGAGGTTGTGCGCAGATGACACCCCAGCTTCCTTTGGGGTTCTCTGTTATCCGTGTGGCCAAGAACTCAGTTCAACATCCTGAACTTTCCAGTGTCCCTGCCCTCCCAGCAGGCAAAGGGGATGGAAGGATTGTGAATCCAGTTCAGCAGGGTGATGCCTCCTGGCGCAGATGCCAGGCCTGCTTCTTGCTGGGTAGATCTGTGCCTCAGTTTCCTCATCTGTAAAGCGGGCATGGTCAAGGACCTACCTCTTGGGTGAAGATTAAATGAGCTATTAATAAGGATAAAAAGCTCTTCAAACCCTGCCTGGCACATACTAAGTGCATGCTAAATGCTGTACTCAGTTTGCAGACTGATAACGCTGTGCCGGATGTCCTTGTCGCTCTGTGTCTCTTTGCGCTGTGCAAGTATTTCTGCAGGGACAATTTCTAGGAGTGAATGTCTGGGCTGAGACTCGTGTGCATTGAAATGCTGGGTACATATTGCCAGAATGCCAACCGAGAAGTCACACCTAGTTAGACTGCAGACATAGTGTAAAGTTGATGAGAGAAGCTTCGTGGGATGGGGTGGCCTTCTAATGGTATCTTAAGGAACTAACAGTAGTCCCGCAGGAATATTTTGATATGGTCCCTCCCAATCCAGCCATTCCTCAGACCAGGTGGCTCCCGAGCCACCCCAGGCTGTAGGATGGGGGTGAGAGGTGCTAGATAGTCACAAAACTGAACTAGCCTGAGCGGGGTGAGGGCCTAAAGCAAACACAGCCTCAGCACACGGTCATGCTGGGGGGATTTGAATCTTGGTGTAGAGTGGCAGAGATGGGGAGTTTCCACTTTATTTAAAGGGAACGTGAGTTCAAGTGTGAAAATCTTGACCTAAGGGAACACAGCTCGGCTTCTGTGCTCTGTTCAGCATAAACTTTTACTTGGGGGCTTGCTGGCCAGGCTGATCTCAGATCTCTGGCCCAGGGATCCCTGACCCAGCCTGCCAGGAATGTGGGCTGTGGGGATGAGGCCATCTCGACTTGGCACAAAGGGCTCCTAGAAGTCATTCAAACCCCGTTTCTGCCGTGCATTGCCTTCCCCTGGATTTGGGACCTAGGTACGGCATAGACTTCACTATGCAAATGAGTGATGATTTCCGCCGAGTGCCCAACCCCCTTCCCCAGAGGTCTAAGCTGTAAAGCAGAGGGTGGCCCAGGAGGTGCCCCAGAAGGGTTGTAGGCTAAGCTGCTTCCTTCCTACCTTCTGGTCAAACGCATACCCTCCCATGGTTCTTGTGCCTTCAGGCTCCCAATTCACAGAATACACAAGGACTTGGGATGAAGCCGGAGTGACCGTGGGCTGCCCTGCGTCTCCCAGGTTTCTGGAGCTGTGTGGCTAGGGGCTCCTTGGAGCCAAAATAGTTTCTCATTGGGGTGTCTGACCCATAGGCCTAGGACCCCCATTTCTCCTGGCCCAATCACTCACCAGGGAGGACATGGCACACGCAGAGTCAGCATGGCTGCCAGGTTCCAGGCCCTTGTTACATCTTTGCCTTGTTCATTTGGGGTTGCTTATTTCAAGCCTTTCCCTCCAGGAAGTACTACCTTATGTTCTAAACAAGCCCCATGATGCTACATGTATAATTTGAGATGCTATGATTGGGATGTGGGAGATGGAGCTAGCGCCTGCCTTCTTACCCCTTCCAGGTCCACATTTCTGTGGCCCTGGGATGGGCAGGAGGGAGCCTTCCCATTCCAGGTGGACGTGCTCTTCCCCTTTGGTCAGGATGGCAGGCCTGCGGAAACCCCTGCCAGAGAAGCGGTTACCGAAACGGGAGTTGGAGAGGTCTCACCAGGGAGCGCTGGAGACCTTAGCCCGTTCACCTTCTCCCCTCATCTTCCTCCCTCTACCTCCTGCCCCTACACTCACCCTAGCCTCCTGCCCAGCCTGGTGGGAGAGGTCAGCTTATATAAGGTCCCCTGGCCACTTCCTGACCTCCTCAGGGGGGATCTTCAGCCTAGGTCCACTCAGATTTCTCCAAATTAGGGCCCCGGTATGGGCTGTGGAAACCAGCCCTAAGTCTGGGCCTGAGTCATGCCTGCTGTTCAGGGCTTACGGGAGGGCCCTTTGTGTAACTCCAAAGCAGGGGACCGGGATTGCACACTCAAGCCTTTCAGGAACAGCTGAGGCTGGGCAACCAGACAGTTTTGCTTGGATCTCTGGGGTGGCCACGTGGCCATACATTCAATGCTCTGAGATGCCTGTGCCCTAAGCTAGGCAGGAAGTGACTTACAGCTGAAAACAGGATTTGAATGACTTCTGCTCCGGGGAGGCCCCTCAGTATAAACAGTGAGAATTTCTGGGAAATGTACATAAGGCCAGACTCTCGGGAGGGGATATGGGCCCAGATTCCTGATGCTCCCACCGAAGTGAGAGGTGCCAGCTCTTCCTGGGCATCCCAAACCTCCACGGGCTCTCTCTTGTGGTTAAATGACAGCGTCTTACTTCTCATTTCATCTTCCCAGGGAGAGCGTTCACTCACTCTCAGGGCCTGGGCTGAGCAAGCTAGCCATCTAACATCTAAGCAGAGGCATGCAGAGTGCAGCCTGAACACAGTAGGTGTGCAGCTCAGCTCCCTTGTTGGCTCTGAGCTCAGTGAGGCAGGGAGCTTGACCCATCACTTGTCATTTTATCCCTAGCCATTGGCATGTAAAATAATGCCAGCCCTAGGCACCCAGGAAGTACTTCCTGAATGGAATGAATGAATGGATAAGTAAGACAATCTGGAATTGTCTTTTAAAGTTGCCAGAACTCAGGCTAAAGGTGCAAATGCTCTGCTGGTGTATTTTGAAGCAGCCTCTTCTGAGTGTGCCTGGCCTGGCCTCCCTGCCTATGTTCCCTGTGCTCCCTACTCCAGAGTTCCACCTCCCCAGCCCTGGACCTTGACCCTCAACATCCCTATTTAGTTGGGTAACGTGTGAGGCTTTTAGAAAATAGTCTGTCGCCAGGAGTGGTGGCTCATGCCTGTAACCTCAGCACTTTGGGAGGTTGAGGTAGGAGGATCTCTTGAATCTGAGAGTTCCAGACCAGCCTGGGCAACATAGAGAGACTCTGTCTCTTAAAAAACAAACGAACAAACAAAAAAACTTGATGTAGTGGGAAGCGCCTGTAGTCCCAGCTACTTGGGGTGCCGAGGCAGGAAGATTGCTTGAGCCCAGGAGTTTGAGGCTGCAATGAACCATGATTGCACCACTGTACTCCAGCCTGGGCAACAAAGTGAGATCTCGTCCCAAAAAAAGATAAATAAAAAGAAAATAGTCTGTTTTAGTCTGTATTCAGAGCAAGCCTGTGGCATGAATATCAACTTTCCTGTTTTTGCAGGGGGGAAACCGAGGCCTGGCAGGGCGAAGTGGGCAGGACCCTTCTCAAAGGGCCAGGGTGCTAGTGGCCACTGTCCTTCCCCCACCACCTCCACGCCCCCATCCCCCCACAGTTCACGACTGCAAAGGCAGCTTTAGGTTGGGAGCTGGTGGAGCAAAAAGGCCGTTCAAAGGCAGCCTTCGTTTGCTTTTCCTTATCATCACATGTGCAAGGGCAGCTCCGTTTACCTAGAGGCAGGCGTCTTTGAGCTCATCCTTTCCGCAAACACCTAAAGGGTATGTTGAACATTTGAGCCCCTGTCTCAGAGGGCGCAGCGTTTGCACAACATAAGCCCTGGCGGCTCGGTAGACGGGTATGGGGGGTAGACTCAGGTTTCTGGATGAAGCACTGAGAGCCAAGGTGACCTGCGGTGTTCCGGGATGACCTTTGGTGACCTTCGGTCCTGTCCAGTGACCTGGGGTGGTGAAGTTACCCCAAATGGGAGGAAATGAACTCTGGGTGGGCGAAGGCTGCAGGACGTGTTGGCATGATGGCTGTAGAAAGTGCACACCAGGGCTGGTGTGGAGGGCGCCTCGGCTGCTCTGAGAATCTTCCACTACCCCGGCCTGGGATTCCCAGGAAAGGCTGGTGGTGGAGGCCAGAGAGGCTCACAGCCCTTGTCAGCCAGGCCTGGAGCCGTTCCTGCAAACAGGAGCCCGATGTAAAGGTTCTGAGCTCTGCATTCTTGTGGAGTGGGTGGCACTGTGAGGCCTGCTCTCCTTGGGGCAGCGGGGGCTCTCTGCAGGAGGAGGGAGGATGCCATTTGGGTTACTGAGCACCTACTGTCTCATTTAACCTTCTCAACACCCGGGGGTGGGGGGGTGGGGGTAGGTACTATTATCCCTATTTTACAGGTGGAGAAATTGAGGAGAGGTGAAAGGATCCCAGCCAAAGTCAAGTGGTGGTATCAGAATTCAAGCCAGGCTGTCTGAGTTGGGAGCCTGTGTTCTCACCCACCTTGCCTCATGGCCTCCTCACTGCCAAATGTCCCATGCCAGGCTGCAGAGTCCCCACCCCAACCAGGAACAAGAGAGCCACAGGAAAGACGGCAGGGGCAGGCCAAGTGTCATGGGAATATTTTTATCTGGAATATTTGTTTTCCCACTGAGCTTGTAAATGACATCTCAGATCCCACACTCTGAGACAGGAAGTCCTAAGTAGGAAGAGAGCACCCTACCCAGCCCTTGTTGGCCACAAGGAGGGAGGGCAAGGGGCCAGGTGGCTGTGTTAGGGTGGCCAGCCTAGGCTGCTGATGGCCAGTGAGGCTCAGCCAAAAGGCTGGGAGTGGGGATGCTTGTTTCTCTTTTCCCTCTGACCGATTATGGGGACTGGCAGAGCCCATCCCCAAAACCACAGAGGGGCGCAGCTGTTTTGGAAGGCATTTCAGAGGAAGCATTCAAGTCTGTCCCAGACTGTCCCACATCTGTGGGAAGGGAAGGGCAGCAGGGCACCCATGGCACAGGCCTTTGCTCATGGACCTAGCTGATATATTGGATTAACTATTTAAATTTAAATTTTTTTTTTTTGAGATGGAGTTTCACTCTTGTTGCCCAGGCTGGAGTGCAATGGCACGATCTCGGCTTACTGCAACCTCCGCCTCCCAGGTTCAAGCGATTCTCCTGCCTCAGCCTCCAGAGTAGCTGGGATTACAGGCATGTGCCACCATGCCTGGCTAATTTTGTATTTTTATTAGAGACGGGGTTTCTCCATGTTGGTCAGGCTGGTTTGGAACTCCTGACCTGAGGTGATCCGCCTGCTTTGGCCTCCTAAAGTGCTGGGATTACAGACGTGAGCCACCGTGCCCGGCCAAACTTTATTTATTTATTTGTTTGTTTATTTATTTATTTATTTATTTATTTATTTATTTATTTATTTTTGAGATGAAGTCTCGCTCTGCCACCCAGGCTGGAGTGCAGTGGCACCATCTCGGTTCACTGCAACCTCTGCCTCCTGGGTTCAAGTGATTCTCCTGCCTCAGCCTCCCGATTAGCTGGGACTACAGTCACCTGCCACCATGCCTGGCTAATTTTCGTATTTTTAGTAGAGACGGGGTTTCACTACATTGACCAAGCTGGTCTCGAACTCCTAATCTCAAGTGATCTGCCCGCGTCAGCCTCCCAAAGTGCTGGGATTACAGGCATGAGCCACTGTGCCCAGCCAGGTTAACTTTTACGAAATTACAAAATAAAATTTTTCTTCTTACAAAATAAATGCAAACTACATGGAAGACAAGAAGGTCTCTTCATCCTCACTCCATGTCATATGGCTAGGGCCTGCCATAAGTACAGCACACATTTTTCCCCAATTTAATCTTCTCAACTGAAGAAGGTATTTTGTCCCCATTGTACAGATCATGACAATGAGGTTCAGAGAGGTTAAGCAACCAACCCAAGACCACACAGGTAGCAAGTGGACTAGCACCTGCAGTCTGATGTTGGGGCCCAAACCTTCAATCACCAGGCAAGACTGCCGGTCACCCTGCAAGCTGCACTCAATGGTTTGAAAGAAAGGCTGCAATCAGCATTTGTGACATTGTGTTTATGGGGTGGTCAGCCATCCCGCCAGGTGCACAACGTGTGGCTCGGTAGACTCTGGGCAGCACAGGCCACTGCATGGAGTGGCACTCACCCTGCACTGCCATGTGCTGCCCTCTGTTTGATTCTCATCTCCTTTCAGCGTCAGACAGCGGTGGCAGGCAGCGGTGGCAGGCAGCGGTGGCAGGCAGCGGTAGTAGACTGATGCGGTAGGCAGTGGTGGCAGGCAGCGGTGATAGGCAGCGGTGGCATTGGTGGCAGGCAGTGGTAGGCAGCAGTGGTGGCAGCAGTGGAGGGCAGCAGTGGCAGGCAGCGGTGGCAGGCAGCGGTGGCAGCAGTGGTGGCAGGCAGCGGTGATAGGCAGCGGTGGCAGTGGTGGCAGGCAGTGGTAGGCAGCGGTGGCAGGCAGCAGTGGAGGGCAGCGGTGGTAGGCAGTGGTGCCAGGCAGCGGTGGAAGGCAGCAGTGGTAGGCAGTGGTGGTAGGCAGCGGTGCCAGGCAGCAGTGGTAGGCAGCGGTGGCAGGCAGTGGTGGTAGGCAGCAGTGGCAGTGGTGGCAGCAGTGGCAGTGGTGGCAGCAGTGGTGGTAGGCAGTGGTGGTAGGCAGCGGTGGCAGGCAGCGGTGGCAGTGGTGGTAGACTGCCGTGGTAGGTGGAACTCATCATCCTATCTCCCAGGGATTGTCACTTTCCCCCGAGCCCTCATGAGCTTCTGAGCAGCTCTACGAAGCAAGAGTCACATGGATTTGGGCTTTTTGAAGAAAGTTCAAGGAGATTCCTACCTTTGCTGGTACCCTCCTCTGGGCGTGGGCTGCGACATGGACATCAGCAAACTTAAGCTCAACGAGGGAAGATTGTGTGCCCTCTGGAACCTCTGACCGCTGCCTCTATGTGCACGGGCCCCTAATCACAGTGCGTCTCCTACGCACCCTTGGCTCCCCCAGGAGCTGGTGGCTTCTGGGTTAGCTCTGAGACAGAGGTATCACCAGGCTTGGCTCAGGGAGGCCAACTGTGTGCTCTGGAACCATCCAGACCCTCAATGTTTAAATTGAAAGTGTGCCCAGCCTCGGCCCCCTTCCCTTTGACATTAAGACTTAAGAAGTTTCTAGTCCTTGTTGAAACCTAGTACAAATGCCTCCTCTAGGAGCCTCTTGGGTGGGGTGGGAGTTTTTCAACTGTCAGCAATCTTTTAGTTAAAAAAAAAGAAAAAAAGAGCAAACTTTCCAGTCCTGTTCTACCTGGAACACAGTTTCTCCTCTGGGGCCCCTCCCCAGGCCTCTGCAGTTCTCTGTCAACACAGCAAAAGCCACCCCCTCCCTAGCCGCAGGCAGTTGAATGGAGCAGTTCTTTGCTCCACCGAAGGAAATATTTCCATGGAGTGGGGCCAAGAAAACCCCTTGCTTGAATCTGGGGCTGGCCCACACCCAAAGCCAGGGGGCCCCGGGTGGGGGTGGGGTGGGCAATGTGGCTGTCTTTTCCTAGTGTCAGGATGTGACTTCTAAAATCCAACCCATGGCAGTGGTCTGCTTCACCAAGACCCCGTTCTTGGCCTGCTTGGTCTTCTCGGAAATGGATTTCTCTAGGTCCCCCCAGTAGGAATGAAATCATTGAAGTGCACTTTTTTTGCTTTTACCAGCTTGGAATTTGTTCACCTCTGTGGCAGGTTCAGGAGAGTCCTTCCAAAGATTGGGCGCAGCTAGGTGACTGCCACTGGCACCCACCTCTGTGCCCACCCCACAGCTATCACTCATGCATGAATGCCTCTGTCCAGGAATGGGGACTTATGCTATGCAGGACATGAATCCTGGGTCTCTTGATTTTTATTTACTTAACAGGAAAAGATTTTTAAATTGAGGTCAATAAAGAAGAGGCTAAAATGGTCACTTTTCTTGTACCGTTACATTAAAACGAATTTTTTTTTTTAACAGTTGGGGTCTTATTATGTCACCCAGGCTGGCCTTGAACTCCTAGGCTCAAGTGATCCTCCCCGCTTCAGCCTTCTGAGTAGCTACGACTATAGGCATGTGCCACTGTGCCTGGCTTTGGACTGCAGCATTAAAACACACAAACACACACACACTATAAGAGGAATACATGCCAGTAAAGGAATTCATAAAAGTAGAAAGGAAGAAGAAAATTCACTCAGAATCTATCCATCCAGCACAACTAATGGTACCATTTGGGGGCATTACCCTCCAGCTCTTTTTCATTGGCACTAGTTATTATAAAAAGTAGTCCCAAAGAGCAATGTCCCCTGCCTGTCCACATACCACGCTCCTCCAGAGGCTGATGAGGAAAAGGGCAACTCTGTGGTTGAACATTTACTCTTGGGTTACTGTTAGTCAACGGGGAATGGCTGGAAGTCTAGCTAACTCAAATATACAGATGCGCTGCCTTGAAACCCAGCAGTCTACCTGGAATTAAACTTCATCCTTGGCCGTCTGTGAAAGGCGTTGAACTTTATTTGTCTTTTAGTATCTACAATTTGGCAAACTCTTCCATGCAAGGTTGGGGCTGTGCCCAGAACTCTGGTTTTAAGGGGAGCAGAGTGTTCCCGGCACTGGGAGCTGGGGTCGGTGTGTTTTCTAGAAGAGCTGCTGTCAATTTCAAGATCCCAGAAGATAGGCCTGGTGTGTTTGATCATTTCCTCCAAATCCTTGACTACTTGATGTCAAGCCTCACCTCTTATGGGAGGCAGACATTGTATTTGACAATGACAGGCTTCCCCTTGTCCCACGAGAAGGAAAAACTCAGCCCCATGGAAGACCGCCCATGCGCTCAACTGCTTCTCTGACTTGAGCTGAGGTCTATGGCAGAATGGGAGGGGGTTCAGTGATGTTCAGAGGCTTGAAGGGCCAGAGGCTGGCACTAGAGCTGGGGATTGGGACTGCAGTGGCAGCTTATATAGGAAGAAGTCAAAGCAGCCTCCCTATCCCGGCAGCCCCCTGGGGGGAGTGCAGAAGAGGAACTCAAGAGATCTCTGGTGCATGCTAAATTTCAAGGGTACGGGGAAAACTGGGACGTCGGCTTAGAGGGGTAGGCACTTGGGGTTTGCTGTTTGTAAAAGTTCAGAGTATGCTTTTTGAGAAGAGAGTATATTTGCCCATGCCTGGGAGATGGGTATAGGAGGACCTTGTCTTCATTTCCTGGCTGGCTCTTAGGAGGTTTGTCCCCTTGCCCATAAGTATGTACATGTGGATAGGAGGCTGCTCACATGGCTTTTGAGGGTTCTCAAGTATGAATTAAAAAAAGAAGAAAAATGTGTGCTTTGAGTTAGATCTGAGAAAAAAAAAAAAAAGGCAGCAAGCTAAGCCATGCGTCTGGGACACTGGCTCGCCTCCAGGATTTCAGGAGAGTTGGGTTTCAGCATGCACAGAGAGAAAGTGCTCCATTTCTCAAACCTGGATTTCCTTGTCTGTTTTCCCCTATAGATACAAATCTGAGCCCTTGAATGGCCTTTTTGAGGGAGGAAGGCATGTATAGCATTGCTCAGATTGAGAAATAGTTCAGATCCAAATATTACTATAGGTTTGGCTCCTTCAAGAATTTCTTCCATTGCTTTGGACCAATAAATATTTAAAAAGTTAGGTTCTGAGCTCCAGAAAAGCCAACAAAAACATTTAAACATATGGATTTTTTTTTTAAATTGTGGTTAAACCATGTTCAGTGGAGATTAGTTTGCAGCAGTCTTTTCTTTCTCTCTTTGCCTCGCATTCCTGCTCCCCCCCCTCATCATTTTCTTTCTTTCTTTTAGGAAGCCAGAAGGGTAAACATGTTGCCATGGAGTTCTGTTTAAAATAAAATACAATGGAAAGAAAAGCAGCATGATGAAGTAACCACATGGACTGCAGGATACACCTGATACTAATTACTGTCATGCAGAATGTTCTGGAAGACATTTGACTCGCCTGATGT